>NC_000011.10:78631453-78934483 GCF_000001405.40 Homo sapiens
AGCTTCTGAGATCAGTACAGTACCAGGGCTCACCCAAAGACTGCAGTTGCTATGGCCTGCCTGCCACTAAAATTTGTAGGTGCCTCAGGCCACATTAATAAATTGCTGGGGAAGTGGGCTGAGACTTGGATTCCTCCTGCTTGGGCAGCAGATTCCCCTCTGGCCCAGGGATTTTCTAAATAATTCCTGTGTAAATACCAGTGAAATTCTTCCCAGTGCTTTATTCCACTGTGACAGAGTGAAACTGAGTTCCAGTGCAAACTCCCACACTCGCTTTGCTGTGCCTTCCCTAAGCACACAGATTCTCTCCTGTGGCTGTGCTGCCTGGGGATGTAGGTTGCAGGACAGTGGCGGAGGCAATATAGGACTTCCCTTCTTACTCTCTTCAATGTGTCTTGGCTTGTTTTCATTTTCTTTCTCTCTCTCTCTCTCTTTTTTTTTTTGATAAGATGTGGCTCTGTGGACCAGGCTAGAGTGTAGTGGCACAATCCTGGCTCACTGCAACCTCCTCCTCCTGGGCTCAAGCCATTCTCCCACCTCAGCCCCCTGAGTAGCTGGGACTACAGGCACATTCCACCAAGCCCAGATAATTTCTGTATTTTTTTTTTTTTTTTTTTTTGTAGAGATTGAGTTTTGCCATGTTGCCCAGGCTTGTCTTGAACTCCTGGGCTCAAGTGATCCATTTGCTTTGGGCTCCCAAAGTGTTGTGATTACAGGCATGAGGCACCAGCCCATCTTTCCTTGTTATCAGGCCAAAACCAGATAATGTGAATGCTCAGCTGATATCCGGTTCTTATGAAGGTGTAGTATCTTGCAAGGATAGTTGTTTAATCTGATGTTCCTGTGACTGTTGGGGGGTAAGGGGAACGATTGCTGGAGGGTTCTATTCAGCCATCTTGCTCTACCTCCTGAGCAATATTTCTAGTCTGAGTTCTTAAAAAAATGCCAAATTGTTTCAATACTGTTTCTTGAAAAGACTATAAATAACCATTAAATTTCTTTAGCACCTTTGTCAAAAATCAATTGACTGTGTGGGTCTATTTCTGGTCTCTGTTCCATCCCGTTATTCTTTTGTCTGTCCCTTTGCCAATACATATCATACTGTCTTGATTACTGTTGCTTTATAATAAGTCTTAAAATTAGGTAACATATGGTCATACAACTTGGTAAATTTATTAAATCGTTGGATTGTATACTTGAAGTAGTTGAATCAAATAATATGAAAATGTCTCAATAAAGTTATATATTAAAAATCAGGTTGTGAACTTTTCCAACTTTGTTTTTGTTTTTAAAAATTGTTTTTGGGTAAACCATCAAGGTGACTGACTAGAGAAACCCGGCATCCACCTCCTCCACAAAGAAGGATCAAAACAGTGAGTGGTAATCACATATTGAATAGATAATTACATGTCAAATATAGAACCTAAGAAAGAATACCAGAATTCAGCAGGGAAATGATAGAGAACCTCTGAGCCACAGAAGGAGAAGGGAGAGAAGCAGCCAGCGTGACTAGGATCAGCTCAGAGTCAGGATAAACTCCTCAGTGTGGGGAAAGGATAAATGAGAGATCCTCAGTGGTTCACATTTCCACTGTGGACTCTTGCAATGCTAGCCACAGGAGAGGCCCTCAGCCTTTGTGGGTTCCGAGACTAGTATAAGGAGCTGTGTAGTCTTTGTGATGGCATTTTTCCAGAGAGGGAGTTTATGCTGGGTCCCACACATCTCCGTAAGGCCCAAGCAGCTGCAGCACAATTACATTTTGAGAGCCCAACCCCAACACACTACATCCTTCCCTGAGGCTTAACACCCCCTACATTTTCACATCCCTGGACCCCTGCAGACATCCTCCCTGTATCCATCCAGAGGGCGGCAATATTGTGACACCAGCTAGACAAAGCAGTACATGTTGGTCCCTAGCACTCTAGCCCATACAATGTCCTACACCCTGGGAAACTGGTGGTACAGTACACTGGGGACATTTGTCCCTAGGAAAAAGGGAGCTGAAATGCATGTTCCACAGATCCTGATAGACACCTATCTGGGGAAGATTTCACGGACAGCAGCAGGGCTACCGAGTGCCAGCATGCACTTTCAGGGGCCGGAAGACAGGCTCACCTCACCCATTGCCACGACTGCTGACCGAGAGTGCCACCCAAGGGCCTGGGGATTGACCCACCCCACGTGTCACAGCTTATGCAGGCCATGGTGGGGGGTGGCTCTGAGCACAGGCCTGTCCTGCCTAGCCTGCTGCTATGACAGTCATTCTGCATGCACCACTTGGGAACCTGGGAACTGGCCTACTCAACTCACCTGTGCCACTGCTGGCACCAGCACGTGCCATCTGGAGGCCCAAGGGGGTTGGCCTACCACTGCTACTGCTGTTGCTGATGCACACATGCCTCCTGTCCCTCTGGATAAGGTCCTGAGGACCCACTACCTCAACCCACTCTTGCAACTTCTGGCATTTGAGTTAGCCACCTGGGTGCCCAAGGGCCAGCCTGCCCAGACCTGCTACCACTGCTATTTGTGTATGCTGCTAGGGGACCCAAAGACAAACATGCTTGGCCTACTTGTGCAACCACCTACTAGTGCCCAAAGACCAGCCTGCCTAGCATCCCCAACTCCAGCAAGCCCTCATCTCAGCCTCCATTAACAACCACAGCCTAAGCCACTGAGGAACTCACTGACATCACTGATACTAATTACAGCCCAAGCAGTCATATAGAGACTATGCTACTGTACCCACCCACCCACCCAGAATCAAAGCCAAAGCACCCTACCCAACCAACACTATAGATGTATCTACAGAAAATGTCTTTCCCTGTGAAAGGCAACGCACACATTTGAAAGAAGCAACTCTTACACCACATGCATAGATATGAACATACAGACACAAGAAATATGAAAAAACAAGAAACATGACACCTCAAAAAAAAAAATCACAAACATTCTGCAACAGATTCCAAAGAAAAAGAAATCTATGAAATATCTGAAAAGGAATTCAAAATAATGACATTAAAGAAGCTCAGTGAGATAAAAGACAACACAGATAAACAATACAAAAAAACCAGTTTATAATCTGAATGAGAAATTCAGCAGAGACAGATATCATTTAAAAAGTACCAAATATAAATCTGATGTTTGAAAATTCAATGAATGAAATAAAAAATAAAATAGAGAGTTTCGAGTATAGATTAGATCAAGCAGAATAAAGACTTTCTGAACTTGAAGACAAGTCTTTTGAAATAACATAGGCAGACAAAAAAGGAAAAATACATAAATAAGAATGAAGAAAGCCTGTGTGACATATGAGATACCATAAAGCAACCCAGATTTCAAACTTGGCCAGGCGTGGTGGCTCACACCTGTAATCCCACCACTTTGGGAGGCTGAGGTGGGAGGATTGCTTGAGGCCAGGAGTTTGAGACAAGCCTGGGCAACATAGCAAGACCCTGTCTGTACAAACAATAAAAACAATTAAAGAAAGCTAAAGCACTTCTTTGACTGGGCACAGTGGCTCACATCTATAATCTTAGCACTTTGGGAGGCTGAGGCAGGACTGCTTGAGCCCAGGAGTTTGAGACTAGCCTGAGCAATATACTGAGATCCTGTTTCTATTTTTAAGAATTAAAGAAAAAAATTTTAAAAAGAAAGAAAAATCCTCAAATGTTATGTGTTTCAGGATAAGAGATGGGCAAAGTCATAGAAAACCTATTTAACAAAATAATAGCTGAAAACTATTCAAGTCTTGCAACAGATATAGATATTCAGATACAGGAAGCTCAAGGATCTGCAAAAAGATTCAAGCCATAGTGGTCTTCTGCAGGACACATTGTAGTCCAGCTGTCAAAAGTCAAAGACAAAGAGAGAATTCTAAAAACAGCAAGAGAAAAGCATCAAATCACATCTGAGGAAATCCCCATCAGACTAACAGTGGATTTCTCAGCAGAAACCTTATGAGCCAGGAGAGAATGGGATGATATATTCAAAGTGCTGAAATAAAATAAATTTAAAAAAACCTGCAAGGAATAATACCTTACCAAAAAACCACCCTTCAGAAATGAAGAAGAGACCAGGCGCGGTGGCTCACACCTGTAATCCCAGCACTTTGGGAGGCCAAGGCGGGCAGATTGCCTGAGCTCAGGAGTTCCAGACCAGCCTGGGTAACATGGTAAAACCCCATCTCTACCAAAATACAAAAAATTAGCCGGGTGTGGTGGTGTGCACCTGTAATCTCAGCTACTCGGGAGGCTGAGGCAGGAGAATCACTTGAACTCGGGAGATGGAGGTTGCAGTGAGCCGAGATTGAGCCATGGCACTCCAACCTGAGCAACAGAGCGAGACTCCGTCTCCAAAAATTAAAAAGAAAAAAGGAAAAGAAAAAGAAATGAAGAAGAAATAAAGTCTTTCCCAGACAAGAAAAACTGAGGGAATGTATCACCGCTAGACCAAACTTAAAGAAATTCTTAAGGGACTCCTAAATATGCATGCAAAAAGACAATATCTACAATCATGAAAACACATGAAAGCTTAAGACTCACTGGTAGAGCAGATGCACAAATGAGAAAGAGAAAACCCTGAAACAATACCACTATAGAAAACCACCAAACTGCAATGATAATAAGAGAGGAAGAAACAAAGCATATACACAATAATCAGAAAAAATGAACAAAATAACAGAAATAAGTCCTGACCTATCAGTAATAACCTTGAATTTAAACTGGTTAAATTCCCCACTTAAAAGATATAGACTAGCTGGATAGAAAAAAAGACCCAACTATGTTACCTACACAAAACTCACCTCACCTGCAAAGACACATATAGACTGAAAGTGAAGGGGTGGAAAAAGATACTCCATGCAAACAGAAACCAAAAGCAAGTGGGAGTAGCTATACTCATATCAGACAAAATAGACTTTAAGTCAAAAAGTTAAAAGAGGCAAGGTCATTATACAAGGATAAAGGGGTTGATTCAACAAAAATATATAACAATTATAAATATATTTGTACCCAACACTTGAGCACCTAGATATATAAAGCAAATATCATTAGATCTAAAGGGAGAGATAGACTTCAATACAATAATAGTTGGGAACTTCACTACCACAGTCTCAGCATTGGACAGATCATCTAGACAGAAAATCAACAAAGAAATTGAATTTAAACTGAACTTTAGACCAAATGAAACTAACAGACATTTACAGAACATTTCACCCAATGGCTGCAGCATACACATTCTTCCATCAGCACATGGAACATTCTCCAGATAGACTATATATGGCCACAAAACAAGTCTCATTAAAATTTTAAAAATTAAAATCATATCAATTATCTTCTTAGAATACAACGAAATAAAACTAGAAATCAATAGCAAGAGGAACTTTGGAAACTAAACAAGTACATGGAAATTAAACAACATTCTCGTGAATGACCATTGGGTCAATGAAAAAACTAAGAAGGAAGTCAAAATATTTCTTAAAACAAATGAATATGAAAACACAATACACCAAAACCTATGGGATACAGCAAAAGCAGGGCTAAGAGAGAAGTTTATAGCAATAAAAGCCTCCATTAAAAAGGGAGAAAGATTTCAGATAAACAACCTAGTAATATATTTTAAAGTACTAGAAAAACAAGAAAAAGCAAACCCCAGGTTAGAAGATAAGAAATAATAAAGATCAGAGCCAAACTAAATAAAATAGAAACTAAAAAGAAAATACAAAAGATCAATAAAATGAAATGTTGGTTTTTGGAAAAGATAAACAAAATCAATAAACCACTAGTGAGACTAATGAGACAGAGAGAGATCAAATAAAATCATAAACAAAAAAGGATATATTACAATTGATACCACAGAAATACAAAGGATCATCAGATACTATTGTCAACAACTATATGCTAATGAATTGGAAAACTCAGAGGAAATGAATGCATTTCTGGACATGTATAATAAACTACCAAGAGTGAACCAGGAACAAATAGAAAACTTCAACAGACTAGTAACAGGAAGTAAGACTGAGGCCGGGCGGGATGGCTCACGCCTGTAATCCCAGCACTTTGGGTGGCCAAGGCAGGCAGACCACCTGAGGTCAGGAGTTCATGACCAGCCTGACCAACATGGTGAAAGCCCATCTCCACTAAAAATACAAAAATTAATTAGCCAGTAGCCAGGCGTGGTGGCATGTGCCTGTAATCCCAGCTACTTGGGAGGCTGAGGCAGAAGAATTGCTTGAACCTGTGGGGCAGAGGTTGCAGTGAGCCGAGATTGCGCCATTGCACTCGAGCCTGGGCGACAGAGCCAGACTTCATCTAAAAAAAAAAAAAAAAGATTGAGTTAGTAATAGAAAGTTTCCCAACAAAGAAAATCCCAGGACTGAATGGCTTTACTGCTGAACTCTACCAAACTTATAAAGAAGAATGAATGGTAATTCTTTTCAAACCCCTCCAAAAAATTGAAGAGGAGGGAATTCTTCCTATTTCATTCTTTTTTTTTTGAAACAGAGTCTCGCTCTGTTGCCCACACTGGAGTACAGTGGCATGACCTCCACTCACTGCAACCTCTGCTTCTTGGGTTTGAACGATCCTCCCACCTTAGCCTCCTGAGAATCTGGGACTACAGGCATGCACCACCACACCTAGCTCATTTTCGTATTTTTTGTAGAGACTGGGTTTTTCCATGTTGTCTAGGCTGGTCTTGAACTCCTGAACTCAAGCCATCTGCCCATCTTGGCTGCCCAAAGTGTTGAGATTACAGGCGTGAGCCACTGCACCCAGCCTTCTATTTCATTCTGAGGCCAGCACTACCCTGCTACTAAAGTGAGACAAGAACATGAAAAAAACAAAAAACCAAAAACCACTACAGGACAATATCCCTGAATAACACAAAAACAAAAATTCTCAACAAAACATTAGTGAACTGAATCCAACAATACATCAAAAAGATAATCCATGATCAAGTGTGATTTTTCCTAGGGATGCAAAAATAGTTCAACCTATACAAATCAGTAAATGTGACACATCACATCAATAGAATGAAGGACAAAAACCATGTAATTATCTCAATCAATGCAGAAAAAGCATTTGATTAAATCTAACATTGCTTCATGATAAAAACTCTGAACAAACTGGCTATAAAATGAACATACCTCAAAACAACAAAGACCATATATGACAAACCCACAGCTAACATCCTACCGAACACGGAAAAATTGAAAGTCTTTCTGAGAGGTGACAGCATGCTGGCAGCCCTCGCTCGCTCTCAGTGACTCCTCAGCCTCAGTGCCCACTCTGGCCGCGCTTGAGGAGCCCTTCAGCCCACCGCTGCACTGTGTGAGCCCCTCTCTGGGCTGGCCAAGGCCGGAGCTGCCTCCCTCTGCTTGCGGGGAGGTGTGGAGGGACAGGTGCAGGTGGGAACTGGGGCTGAGCGCGGCGCTAGCGGGCCAGTGAGAGTTCCAGGTGGGTGTGGGCTTGGCGGGCCCTGCACTTGGAGCAGCCAGCCGGCCAGCGCTGCCAGCCCAGGCAGTGAGGGGCTTAGCACCTGGGCCAGCAGCTGCGGAGGGTGCGCTGGGTCCCCCAGCAGTGCCGGCCCACCGGTGCTGCGCTCGAATTCTAGCTGGGCCTCAGCTGCCTCCCGGTGGGGCAGGGCTCAGGACCTGCAGCCCGCCATGCCCAAGCCTCCCCCCAAACCCCCACCATGGGCTCCTGTGTGGCCTGAGCCTCCCCGATGAGTGCTGCCCCCTGCTCCGTGGTGCCTGATCCCATGGACTGCCCAAGGGCTGAGGAGTGTGGGTGCACAGCGCAGGACTGGTGGGCGGCTCCGCCTGCAGCCCTGTGCAGGATCCACTAGGTGAAGCCAGCTGGGCTCCTGAGTCTAGAGGGGACTTGGAGAAACTTTATGTCTAGCTAAGGGATTGTAAATACACCAATCAGCACTCTGTGTCTAGCTCAAGGTTTGTAAATGCACCAATCAGCACTCTGTATCTAGCTAATCTGGTGGGGACTTGGAGAAACTTTATGTCTAGCTAAGGGATTGTAAATACACCAGTCGGCACTCTGTGTCTAGCTCAAGGTTTGTAAACACACCCATCAGCACCCTGTGTCTACCTCAAGGTTTGTAAATGCACCAATCAGCACGCTGTGTCTAGCTCAAGGTTTGTAAACACACCAATCAGCACTCTGTATCTAGCTAATCTGGTGGGTACTTGGAGAACCTTTGTGTCTAGCTAAAGGATTGTAAACACACCAATCAGCACCCTGTGTCTAGCTCAAGGTTTGTAAATGCACCAATCAGTGCTTTGTGTCTAGCTAATCTAGTAGGGACTTGGAGAACTTTTGTGTCTAGCTCAGGGATTGTAAACGCACCAATCAGCGCCCTGTCAAAACGGACCAATCAGCTCTCTGTAAAACAGACCAATCACCTCTCTGTAAAATGGACCAATCAGCAGGATGTGGGTGGGGCCAGATAAGGAAATAAAAGCAGGCTGCCCGAACCAGCAGTGGCAACCCGCTTGGGTTGCCTTCTACGCAGTGGATAATTTGTTCTTTTGCTCTTTGTGATAAATCTTGCTGCTGCTCACTCTGGGTGTACACTGCCTTTATGAGCTGTAACCCTCGCTGCGAAGGTCTGCAGCTTCACTCCTGAGCCAGCAAGACCACAAACCCACCATGAGGAATGAACAACTCCAGATGCACCGCCTTAAGAGCTGTAACACTCACCATGAAGGTCTGCAGCTTCACTCCTGAAGCCAGTGAGACCACGAGCCCACCAGAAGGAAGAAACTCCGAACACGTCCGAACATCAGAAGGAACAAACTCTGGACACACCAACTTTAAGAACTGTGACACTCACTGCGAGGGTCTGCAGCTTCATTCTTGAAGTCAGTGAGACCAAGAACCCACCAATTTTGGACACATTTCCTTTAAGAACTGGAACAAGACAAGGATGCTCACTTTCACCACTCTTACTCACATAATACTGAAATCTAGCCAGAGTGGTCAGGCAAGAAGAAAAAAAGGCATCCATATTAACAAGAGGAAGTCAAATTGTCCCTCTTAGCATACAATGTTATTTTTTTATATAGTAAGACTTTAAGATTCTACCAAAAAAAGGGTAGAATGGATAAAGGAAGTCAGTAAAGTTGCAGGATACAATATCAACATACAAAAATCAGCAGCATTTCTATACGCTAATAATGAACTAGCTGTAAAAGGCATCAAGAAAGCAATCCCATTTATAATAGTTACAAAAATTACCCAGGAAAAAATTAACTAAGGAGATGAAAGACGCTTACAAGGAAAACTACTAAATGCAGATAAAAGAACTTGAAGAGGACACAAACAAATGGAAAGGCATCTCATGCTCATGGATCAGAAGGATATTTTTTAAAAGAACATACTCTCCAAAGCAATCAACATATTCAATACAATCCCTATCAAAATACCAATGACATTTTTTATAGTAATAGAGATAACAATCCAAAAATTTCTATGGAATCACAAAGACCTGGAATAGCCAAAGCAATTCTGAGCAAAAAGCTGGAAGTATCACACTACCTGACTTCATATGTACTACAAATCAGTCCCAGCTACTCAGGAGGCTGAGTGGAAGGATCTCTTGAGCCTAGGAGTTCGAGGCTGCAGTGAGCTATGATCACACTACTGCACTGCAGCCTGGACAACAAAATGAGACCCTATCTCAAAAAACAAAAAAGAAAAGAGAAGAAAAGAATAGTTACATTTATAGAAACCATTTTATCCTGAAGGAATTTGCAACTCTTTCAATAAAACTATGAATTCAATTTATTAATAATTATTATAGTACTATGGAAGTTATTTATTCCATCTTGAGTGTTTTGGTAGCTTATAATTTCCAAAGAATTGACTTATTTCAATGAAGTTGTTGAAATTATATGTGTAGTATTGTGTATAGAAATTATGTATTCATATTCTCTAATTATCTTTTAATTTCTGTTGGATTTGTAGTGATAGCCTGTTTATTCCTAATATTGGTAATTTGTGTCTTCTCCCTTTTTTGTCTTACTAGAAGTTTTATAGTTTTATTCATCTTTTTAAATAACTAAGTTTCAATATTTTTGTTGGTTTATTTGATTTCTGCTCTTTATTATTTCCTTTTTTTCTGCTTGCTTTCTGTTAATTTTGCTCTTATTTTCTTGTTTCTTAGGGTAGAAAGTTTAGATTCTTGATTTGAGAACATACTCTTTCAATTATCTTAAAATTGTGAAAACTTATTTTATGACCCAGGATGTGGTTTATCCTGGTGAATGTTTCACGTGCACTTGAAAAGAATGTGCATTTGGCTGTTGTTGGGCAGAGTATTATATAAGTGTTAATTAAATCTAGTTGGTTGATGGTTTAGTACAGTTCTTCTATATCCTTGCTGATTTTCTGTCCATTAATTCTATTGATTACTAAAAATGGCATGTGGAACTCTCCAACTATAATTGTGGATTTGTTGATTTTTTCTTTCAGTTCTGTCAGTTTTCGCTTCATGCATTTTGAACCTCTGTTGTTAAATGCATGCACATCTAAGTTTGTTGCATCTTCTTGGTGAATTGACCCTTTTATCGTGATAATTTATCTCTGGTAATTTGCTTTGAAGTCTGCTTTGTTTGATATTAATAATCACTGTGGCTTTTTGATTAATGTTTTCACAGTATTTTTATCATTTTTCTTTTTTTTTTGAGATGGAGTCTTGCTCTGTCACCCAGGCTGGAGTGTAGTGGCATGATCTCGGCTCAGTGCAACCTCCGTCTCCCAGGTTCAAGCGATTTTCCTGCCTCAGACTCCTGAGTAGCTGGGATTACAGGTGCCCACCACCATGACTGGCTAATTTTTGTATTTTCAGTAGAGACGGGGTTTCACCATGTTGGCCAGGCTGGTCTCAATCTCCTGACCTCGCGATCTGCTCGCCTTGGCCTCCCAAAGTGCTGAAATTACAGGTGCGAGCCACGGTACTAGGCCATCATTTTACTTTTAACTTATGCATAGCTTTATATTTAAGATGATTTTTAAAATACAACATATAGTTGGGTCATATATTTTTATCCTGATATCTCTTTTAGTTGATGTGTTTAAATCATTTGTATTTATTGTAATTATTGACATCTTTGTATTTAGGCCTTCTATTTTGTTATTTGCTTTTTCTTTGTTTTTCATTTTCTGTCTTCTTTTGGGTTCTTTGAACATTTTTTTCTTGTATTTAAATTATTGTGTTTTTACTATATGTCTTTTAGTCATTACTCGAGATTGGAATAGATGTTCTCAATTTTTTGCTCAGAAATAATAAGAAATATTCACTACTTCAAGTGGAATGTAGAAAGATTATTATGTAGTTCTTTTTACCCTCCCTCCTCTGTATTGAAACCCTTTGAGACTCTTTTACTTTCAGACTCTTTTACTTTCAACAATCAAACATATTTTAAAGTACTTAAGAGAAGAATAATCTGTCATGTTTACACAATTATCATTTTTTGTTGCTCTTTTCCAGCTCCTGATGTTCCAAGAGTTCTGTCCAGTTATCATTTCCTTTGTCTGAAGAACTTCCCTGAGCAGTTGTTGCAGAGCTGATTGCTGATGAAAAATTCTCTTAGTTTTACTTCATTTGTGAATTCTTACTTTTACCTTCATTCCTAAAGGTTATTTTCACTGGACTTAGAATTCTGAGTTGACATTTGTTTTCTCTGAGCACTTTAGAATGTTCTGTCTTCTGGCTTTCATGGGTTTTGATGCAAAGTTCACAGTCACTTGAATCATTGTTTCCGTATAAGTAATGTGTTATTTTTTTCCGGACATTCTCTTTTTTTTTCTTTTGCTTTTAATTTCAGTAGTTTGGTTATAATGTCTAGGAATGAATTTCGTTGAATTTGTCTTGCTTGGAGTTTCCGGGGCTTCCTGAATCTGTAAGTTTATGTTTTTCTCCAAATTCGGAAAGTTTTCAGTTTTTATTTCTGTAAGCATGTTTTCTGCACTGCACTGTCTCTTCTCTTTCTCTGACTCAAATGGCACAATTAGACATTTTCATGTGGTCCCATACATCCCTGAGGCTGTATTCATTGTTTCCAGTCTTTTTTCCTCTGTGTTGTTTAAATTGGCTATTTTAAAATGTCTGTCTTCAAGCTGATTCATTCTTTTTCTGTCATCTCCATTCTGCCATATTGAGCCCATCCAGTGAATGTTTAAACTTTTGGTCATTGTGTTTTTTTAGTTGTCAGATTTTCATTTGGTTTTTCTTTATATATTTTATTTCTTTTCTGAGACTTCATACCTTTCATTTGTTTCAAGTATGTTCCTTCTCACTTTTGGAGCACTTTTATATTGCTGCTTTAGTCTTTCATAGATAAGGTCAACATATGTGTCATCTCAGTATTGGCTAAGATTTTCCTCATAGGCCAAGTGTCTTGACTACTTCAAATGTTATAACACTGGATCTTAATTCTATGGAGAGTTTTTTTTTTTTTTTTTTTTTGCAAGCATTTGACTAGATTGGGTTCAGAACATGTTTTGACCAACCTTCTATAGATTGTGGTTTCAATGTCTGCTTGGTTTTCCAAGACACTGTCAGGCTATTCAAATCTGTTCTGCATGTGTGCCACCCAATGGGCAGTCTGGGACCAGAGCCACGGACTCTTTTCTGAGTTCAGTTCTCAAAGTTTATGGCATACTGCGTAGGATCAGATCTATGCATGCGATGCTCAGGGATGAGTCTGGGCATTCACAAACGACTTTACCACTGTCTTGAGCTTCTCCATCATCACCATCTCCCTTGGTATTTTTCATTGCCCTGAGGCCCACATTTTAGGTTTTCCAGCCAGAAATCTCAGGCTTTATTTGCCTCTCTCTGACACACACTTGCTGCAGCTACTGCACCTGCATCTAGGACCAATTGGTGAAAGGACAGAGAGAAAATGTAGTGGAGGTTCACCCATACTCTTGACACCCCCGCTCCTCCAATCAGAGAGAAGCTTCCCCCATGTCTATGGGCCTCCGCTGTTAATGCTGCCACTCTCAGGGGGCCCCTTCCCACTCCTCGAGGTGAAATAGAGGTTTCTTTTGGATGCGCACCTCTGGACTTTCAACTACCTGAGTCAAGGCGTGGGGATACCAGAGTGGAAAAGGGAGGTGAATTCTGCCAGTTCAGTGGCCCTCCAAATTTTGTTCTTCTCCAATCTGGCTGCCACTATTTGCTTTTCGGCTCCACATAGCTGCTCTATGCAGCCTGTGCAGGTTCTCTAACTGCTCCACTTACTTGGATATTTTACTTATTTAAAGAAGAGTTCCAGTTAATGAAGGAATAATAGACTAAGAAGTCAGCATTTTTTTATTTAACGTCACCAAATCTTATCACTAGAAGTAGAATAATCAAACACTATGTGTCCCCCATTAGATGTAATAGAAAGTACCTATGAGTTAGTCTTGCTTAAAACAATTGAACCTGAATTTAATTAAGCCTTTAGTGCTACATGCCAGCTTCTAGGAATTATGAGGCCTGAGAACAAGTAAAGTGACACCATGAAGAACTAGCCGCTAAATCCAGGTTGTGAGATATCCTGGAGTACAAATAACCTTTTTCTTTAATAAATAAATAGCATTAAAAAGAAGGGAAAACTATTATAGAATGGAGAGACTTCAGAAACACAACACATAAAGGGGGGATAAGTAATAGTACTCACGAGATTCTTAAGATTCAATTAGAAGAGCAATGTGAAGTGCTTTTCACAGTGCCTGGCAAATGGTCAATGGAAATGATTACTACCTTGTGCCACCTCTCAGAGTCTCAGTCTCCTTTTGTTTGTAACACACTAGGAGATGACAGCCTCCCCCTGTCTTAACAGTTAAGGAATTCAGCCACCTTAGTCCTCCATCCCTCTGCACCTGGTCAAGAAGGTGGCCTTGGCAGTATCTGCTGCAGTGTGCACAGTTGGCCGGTAGATGGCAGCTCAGGCCAGTTTATCTGGAGCCTTGGACCCAGGAAGAGCTAGTTCTGTTTTTGCTGCAAGAGGCTAGGTCCTGCTTGACCACCCATCAGACAGTATTCACCTTCTCTTCCTAGGTAGGAGGGATAAAGCTAAAGGAAGAGAATCGGTGGAGCTTTTTAGATATAATAAGGGCTAGCAGTTTGCTGAGAATTCCTTATCTGCTGGGCAGAGAGGTATTCTTCAGACCCCATTAGACCAGGGCTTGGGCACTGCCTGGCCAGCTGTCCCCAAACTCTGTTTCTCATCCCGTGAGTCCCAGTGCCTGCTGCCTCATCCTGAATCACTGGTGTGCAGGTACAACCTGGCTTAGCTTCTCTTCCCACCAGACTGAGGGAATTAACACCTACACACTCATCCACACCTGGTGTAAGATGTCCTTGAGGGAAAGTTTGCAGAATGAGTAAATAAGTGAATGCCTTATGGATCTTCAGTTATATATCTCTCTTCCTAAGTAGACCAGTAAATTCCAGGACAGGGTGTACACATTTTCTTTTTGTCTCAGCCTAGGAGGGAGTCTGGGTAGTGATGAATCGTGCAAGCCTGGAACTAGGTTGCTCAGCTTCAACTCCCAGTTCCATCTGCTTGCTACCTCACATGCCCTTGGCAAGTGCCTGCCTCTCCGCCTGAAAATTGGATACTAACAGTACCTCTCTTGTTGTACTGTGGTGAGTAATAAATGAGCAAATGCATTCAAAGTGCCTAGGAAACTGCTTGACACATTGTAGGCACCCAGTACATGTTAATTGCCATCTGAAGCTTTCCTTGCAGTGGGAAAGATTTAATGAACTTACAAAAATGCATTCAAGGAAGAAGTGTAAAAGGCCTAGTGTGGTTGTCTGATAGAGGGAATGGCTCTCAAGAAATAGCTCCTTCTCCTCCTCCTTGTTCTGCTTGTTATTGCTGTTAGCATCATTGATTGTTTAAAGATGCCTAAGTTAAATCTCTCCAAGCCCCATGAGTCGTGAGTGCTGTTTTGTCCACCTTTTTCCAACCTCAGGCACAGCAGCAGCCTCTGTAGTTGTCTGTATGGTGCTGGGGGCACCACATTCAGAACTGAAGGATCCTCTTCACATTGGCCCAGGGAGCAGAGGGAAGGTAGGGACTGCTAGAGCTAATTTTCCTGCTTTTCCTTTCTGGTGTGAGAGTGTGAGGTGCTTTTAGGGCATCATCTGAGAGTCATTGCTGAACCTTGGGACTGTTGTACAGGTCGAAAGGGTTCTCCTATGGAGGTCGTCTGAACTCTAGGAAGTACAGGAGCAGGACAAGGGATGAGCATGATCTTACCTGATCTCACCCATGTTTTTCTGCCTATCAATTTGGAGGAATGGGAAAGTGTGACAGGTGGCCACTAGGTGGCGTTATCAATGTGAAGAAATCAGGGGTGTGTTAATACATCACCTGTCCTGTACAGTAGAGTGGAAGAGCAGATAAACGCCTAGCTGGAGAAAATAAAGCTTCTCATATAAATGCTTCCCAGCCATCTGGCAAGATTTTGGGTGGAAATGGAGACTAACCCAGGAGAATGTGCATGGTGTGTGCATGAATATTTAAGAAAACCAGAGGAGGAGGAGGAAAAGTCAAGTCTACCTGATTGGCCTCTGCCCACCTGTTCAGCCCTAACTCTTAAGGCCCCTCCCCTGGCTCCCCCACGATATGCCAAGCCACCCGCAGGACACATTGGTACCTTAACTCTACGACACCCTCCACCTGGAATGCTCTTCTTCATTTCTTTCTTTGAACAGTTAAGGGGTTGCCTTCCTCTAGAAGCCTCTCCTGATTTATCCTCCCCTAGGCAGAACAGGTTTGTAGTTTCTTTGTGCCCCACAGTCTTTACCTGTGCTCCAAGTCTTTGCCACTTAATGGACTTAGATGTTTACCACTGAGTGGGGGTTTCCTGGCTTGGAGCTGGTGGGAAGGTCTCGGCTGGTTCTATCCAGTCCTGACCCAACATGTATGGAAGGGCTTTCCTGCCCACAGCTTCCCCACCCATTTGGGGGGCTCCAGGGCTCATCCTCTGCCTCAGGTTCTTGAGAATGTCCTAGAATGCTGAAAGTTTGTTCACACTGGGTAAGCAGTGTGGACAGGGCTGCCTCCATAACTTGCACAGCCCAGTACAAAGTGAAAACACAGGACCTTGTTCAAAAATTAAGTGTTTCAAGATGGCAACAGCAGAGCATTAAACCAAGAGTGGGCCCTAAGCGCAGGACCCTGTGTGACTACACAGGTCGCACGCCTTTGGAGCCAGCCCTAAATTTGGAGTTGAGCGAAGTCTCAGGTGAGCCTTGTGCCTGTGGATGGGTGACTTTCTGGGCACTGGAAAGGTGGTTGTCCATCTTCAGATGTCAATGTATGAAGCCTGTCACATCAGAAACTCCCTCACTCCTGAGCTTTAAGATGTAAGATCGATAGCCTAGAACTTGGAGTTAGGTAAATCTGGACTGATGCTGATTCTATCATTTAATAGCACAAACCATCTCTGGGTCTTATAAAGCTCATCTGCAAAATGGAAGGTAATAATACCTACCATGAATTTTGTTGTAGGTTCAAATGAGATTAAATGTAGGAAGTACTGGGTCTGCAGCCCACACCTATCGTGTCTACTGAGCCACACTGCTTGTCCTCAAAAGCATCTGATTAGAGAGAACAGGGCAGATGTTGGGCCTAACAGTTGGGTGGCACTTGCTCAGTGAGGTGGGTCACCATGTGATGAAGCCCCAGTGAGCTCCTCCTGAGCTCTGTGGTCTCAGGCAGCATCAGCTGAGTCAGGCAAGAACTGATGGGGGGAACTAGGGAGACCTGGAGCAGCTCTCAGATAACAACATCACCATGGGGAGATCCATTTATCATTTATCTAACAAACCTGTGTACAAGGTTCCTGTGCCAGGTACCAGGGATACGGTGGTAAACCAAATAGGTGGGGTCCCCCCACCCCGCGTCAGCTTTAATGCACGTGATTATTGTGTCCTGTTCTCTTGGATGCATCCTTTGCTAGCCAATAAGCAACCAGCATTTACTAGGTGCCTACTGCGGCGTAGGATATGAGATTTCAGTAGATGCTGTGAGACTCCTTCAACCCTCTTGGATGGAAATGAATGAAGCCTGTGTGCTTTCATTCCCAGCAGCTAACACCTGGGAGTCTTTGTAGGCAGGCTGTCCTCAGGCTGCCAGAGCTCATTTTGCCTGAGTGCACGGAGAGCCAGAAGTGCCTGGGTAAAGACAGTCCCAGGAGCAGCCCTTAACTGATGACTGGCAGGTGCAGAGGTGTCAAAAGCCCAGCTGCCTGCCCCCAGGGGGAAAACTCCCAGGTGTGACTTGTTATGTTTCCACAACTCTCCTGCAGGACTTAGCCAAAATTATTCTCTTGGAACTTTGCTGGATTTTCACACCCTTGATCGGCCCTCCCTATTTCCTCTCCCTCATCTCTATTTGTGTACCCATTTTCCCTGGGACCACTTCCTAGTAACCTACTTTCAGACACATCCTTATCTCAGGATCTGTTTATGGGGAACTCCCTGACCCACAACAGAAAGAGGAGAAAAAAGGAGGTAGCAATTGTTCCTGGTCTTTGTGTTACTACAAACAGTGAAGCAATGGGCCAGGAGTCAGTCATTATGAATACTAAAGTACTACTTGGCAAATTATTTTTGCTATAAATTAGCATGCCTTCAGAATTGTCCCTGTAACGTGATCTTTCTCTTTCTTGCTTGCATTCTGAGATGCTTTATGAGTGGGGGAAAAAGAAGAGGTGTTCCTGCGTGCTGGGATTTGCAGATCACCGCCACCCACGTCATCGCAAATCTAGGCATACCTATGGGAGTGGGTCCTACATCAAACATCAACCATTGTGGGTTTTGCAGTGTGAAAAAAGTGGAGACATGCTGGATTGGAGCCCCAGGAAATTTTGGCTTCATGCTTACTGGACTTGGTTTCCAGAAGTGAGGCTCGGAGGCCCAGGCTCCCCCAGGTCCACATGAAAAACACACTTTCCTCTCACCTGATCTTTTCTCACTAAATCCACCTCTTCCAGGAAATTTTCTCGGGTTCCTTCCTCTCTTCACTCAGCCCTCCCTGAGTTCTCCTTTGGTACCGTGGAAAGCAGGTTTTGTTGGAGCTACTTTCTTAGCACTTGGGTACTCCCCCTCTCTCCACCCCCAAGCCAGCTGGAGGCGCTGAGTTTTTAGCCCAGATCACAGGCTGATAGAGCACATTAGGAACCTTAGCCATGGGCAGGACGTGGGGGCTGGGGCTGGTCCTGCTGTCACAGAATCATGGCTATGGGCAGGTGATGAGATTGTGTCCCCCAGAGCTTGGTTCTCCCCACCACCAAACCCATGTGAGTCGAGTGTGGACACCAGGGCACTTGTGTCCATCTCACTGCCACGTTATCACCTTGCCCTGCTTGTTCCTCTAGCCCCTCTGCCTAGACTGACACCTCCAGGGTCTGGACCAGACTCTTGGGTGTTGATGGGATTCTGCTGCCAACAGAATTCTGCTCCTGTACCATCCAGTCTGCACCCTCACACTCCGTAGTGTTGGAGCCCTGGCTGCTGTAAAACTGGCAATGTCTCAGACGCCAGACTGAGCTCAAGCTAATGGAGCCTCTTGAGTCCACTGGGTGGGCCTCAGGCCACCTCTCTGAGATTTCTGGGTTCTAGCAAGCTTGGATGCCGAGGCTTCTGGAATAGTGACAGAGAGCACATGCTCCTTAGTATCACAGAGTCTGTTTTCTGAATCTTTCTAGACTCCCTGATTGAGTGGTGATGCTTATCAGCAAAGGGTCCTGTCTTACACCTTCAGGTTTTCTGAGGCTGCTTAGGCTGGGATCTTGTATATATGAAGTGCTCATTAAATGGCTGTTGACTGATTGTAATTCCTCCTCCAGGCCTTGTCAAGGGCCTGGCTATGGTGTTTATTCATACAGTCATCCATTCTCTACTCATCCATTTACTCACTCATATAATAAATATCCGAATCTGAAAGAATGACCCCATTTCCTCTATTCTCATATCATAGGTTGTTACCCTAAGAACTTAGATATTCATCAGAAGGAATTTCAAAGCTCTACTGCGTCTTGGCCCAGGTAACGGGTACAATTCCTAACTCTGGTAGTCCTGGGAGTGGGCTTATTTTGAAAGCTCTACATACAATGGCAGCTTCTGACGTTCTTTGGGACAGGATGGGCTTGCAGATTACAGGGCAGATAGGAGAATGCTTCTGTTCTTCTCCTTGGGTTTAAGGCTGCATTGCTCCTGAGAAGTGATATTCGTCCTTGCAAGGTGTGTGCGTGTAACTCCACATATATGTTTTGGATTCTTGAAAGGGTGAAGAATGTATTTGCAACTCCTATTGTCCATGAGACATTGGAAGGGGGCTGGTCTGGGGGTGGGAACTGGGGCCCACCCTGGGGTTATTCCAGACTGATTAATTCAGGCTTGAGAAATTAATTGCTAGATTGCCTGACGCGGGCAGGGGTGGGCCCTTGTGTATGGATGGAGTTTCCCAGGGTCTGGGGAGAGATTTCTAGTGTGAAGGTTGGAAGGAGAGCCTCCCACAGAGGTGACTATGAGGACCAGGAACAAGGTCAGGGTGGGATGTGACCAAGCGGGAAGCCCCTGTAAGACGTTTAACGTTTAGCTTCTTAGACGCTTCTCTGGATATGGGAAAGAAAGAGTAGTACTCACTTTTAAGGTCTTTTTCCTCCTATGTTGTAATTTTCTCCACAGCCTCTGATGGATCAGGAAAGTCCTAATTACCCACACAACTTTGAGGGCAGGATTTTAGCGGGACCTGAGGACCTGGGGCTGGCGGGGAAGGAGAGGCCCTGGTTCTTACCTCTTCCTCCTTCCTGAGGGCCTTGCACAGCTGCAGCAGCTTTGCGAGGAGAGTGGCTGAGGTGGTGTGGGTGGGGGGCAGGGAGCGGGCAGCCCGTTCAGAGGAGGCGTGGCCTCCATTCGGAAGGGAACAGGAGACAAGGCCCTCTTTCTCAAATACATCAGAGGGAGTGGGATCTTCGAAGAAAGCAAAAGCTGACCTTAGGGTGACCCACGGCTGAGAAGCTGTTTTGGGTACTGGGAAACACACAGGAAATTAGACAGCCTCGTTGGCCTGGAGGAGCGCACATGTAAGAATGATCGAGTCCTGAAAGGGCATGTGCATGGCAGATGCTTAGGGAGTGCCTTTCCAGAGGGGAATGAGCAGCAAGAGTTTATTTCAGCTGGGCTCAAGGCAGCAGCTCGTGCAAAGGCCCATGTGGGTCAAAGTCTAGAAACAACTGTGGGCTGGTGCATGACCCATGCAGCAGACTGTGGCTATGTGGGGAAGAGAAGGGGCATTGATTGAGCGTATTGTCATTGATTGAGGGTATCTGAAGTGCCAGGCTCAGTGGCTTATTCTGTACAGTATAAAGGATAGTGTAGTTGGCAGCGGCTCTCAAGCCTGATGGGGCATCAGAATCACCTGGGAACCTGTTATCATTGCAGATTATAAGGCTGCACCCAGACCCACTGATTGAGAAATTCTGGTGGTGGAACCTAGCAATCTGTGTTTTAATAAGACTTCTGGGTGATTTGGATGCAGCCCAAAGTTCGAGAACCACTGGTGTAGTGGAAACAGTACTAGACTTTGGAAGGTGGGGTGGGCTGGTGGGGGAGGGAGGTGTGACGGGGACAACTCATATTGGGCACTGGGGAAAGTCTGCTGTGTTCTGAGTCATGGGCTACATTACTCGCATGTTCTTTCAAGTGCTCTAAGCAGTGACTGGGGGTGGTGGTGGGGGGTCTATATCACCATAATCTCAGCATAGATGGAAAATCCAAAGCTTAGAGGGGTTAAATGACTTGCCAAAGATCACACAGTACTAGAGCTGCATTCTGCACCAAATTTGGCTTGATTCCCAGAGCGAGATTGTCAGTGCCTATTGGGACCACTGACCCACCAACGTGCAATGGTCTGGGCAGCAAGGCCTGGAAAACCCACAGGGGCCTGGGTGGAAGGAAGAGCCCCAAAGCTTGCGGCTCCTTCCCTGAGGACCTGGTGGTGACCAGTCCTGAGGCTGATGGGCGAGAGATGAGGACTTCTATTCTAATTCCTGTCCTCAAAGGACAATTATTTGAATTTTCATAAGGTTTGCCATTCACACCAGGGAGCTGGGCTTAGCACGTGTACTCTTTCAAGAGACCAGCTGTTGTCCCTGACTCCTAGGGCTGATAGGTTCAACATGAGGTTAAGTGAGAAAAGCAGGGTGAAAAATTACCCGTATGCTGTGATGACAACACCTTAGATAAAAAACAACAACATTAAGAACACACAGAGGCGGGGAAAGCCCGAAGGAATTTTCTTCCTTTCTCATTTCCCAAGGTGTATTATGTAGTTACAATTATTTGTATGATGAATATACAGTCATTTATTTTTAAAGTGCAACGGCTCACATCCCTTGTGGAAGGCAGTGGCATGGTGGATGACTCTGTGTGCCCAGTGGTGGAGCAAGGCTCCCTCCTCTGGGAGGGTTGGGTTCGTTGGCCCCTTCAGCCTGTCCCTGAACGAGGGCAGCAGTGGGATGGGGAGCCACGCTGCACTAGTGATGTCAGAGGAGCTGTGATATTTATTCCTGTCATGCAATTGCAAAGTCAAGCTTCAGGGTCTTAGAGACCCTCTGGACATCCCTCTTGACAGAGCTGCAGCCTGGAGGGATTTAGAGGGACCCTGGGGCCTAGGACTGAGTCCTCTCCCAGGTCATCCTGATAGCAGCCAGCAGGGAAGTGCAAACCCAGGATGGCTCGGGGGCTGGGACAGGCAAGAGGAAGCCTTTATCTCCAAGCAAAGGCCACCAGACACCTGTAAACACAAAATAGTCTTTATTTGTCAACGAAGGCTACACGGGATCACTTCTGGTTTTGTTTTTATGCTTTTTTTTTTCTAGAAGGTATCTACATCTGCATTTATTTACAGCCTTGTTGGTATTTACACAGTCAAGATACAGTGTTAGAAACACAAAAGTGTTGAGAAAAAAACTTCTCAAAATTAGTTCCAGACTTCAGGAAAATGATTTCCACATGGTAAGGCCAGAGTCTCCAGTGTTGGTCATCCAGAAGCAGCTTGGTACAGACTCCTTTTGCCGAAGCTGCGGGTTCAGAGGTGCTCAGAACAACAGGTGGATTTAGAAAAGTGGGATTCTGGTGTTGGGTGAATCCAGGGCTGCTGGGGCACCGCCAGACACCTGAGGCTCAGCTCCTGCCAGGACGGCCGAGCGTGCTCCAGACTAGTCCTCCCTTGGCTGTTCGCCCTCAGAATAAATCACATTTTCTTGGGGACCAGGAGGTCACCTAGTACCTTGCCTTTGGCATTCCAGAGGGGGTAAGAAACACAACATTGGCCCTCGCCTGGGCCTTCCCACACTCTGATATTCCACATTCGTAATGAAACCTAAGAGTCACCACTGTCTAGGGCAGTCAAGTACACAAGGATGGTTTTTGTGAATGTGAAGGTTGGAGAGGATAAGGTTTCTCTCTATCACCTCAGCAATGAGTCTTTAAAATGAGTTTGCTGTTTTTGGAAGGTTAAATGAAAGGGCCTTGAACTGCAGAGTTCTTTTTTAATTCCCTTTCCTCCAGTAAAATATAGACAAGTGTATAAACCTAGCTGGGAATGATGTGCCTTAAATAGAGAGGTTTTCATTCTAACAAGGACCCCAAGGGAAAGGAAAGACTGGGTTCTTTCTGGGATCCCTCAGGAGATGTGTCCCCGGGCCAGGTCTGGCTCCTGGGCTTAGTGGCTGCCGTGAGGACTGGAGAATAGCCTGGACTTTGAGCAGTGGATGCTCAAATCCCCAAGCCTGACACCCTGCTGAGAGCTTGAAAGCTCATTCCTCCTGGGCAGAAAGCTCAGCATCACCGCCCTCACCACATGGCCACCACAAATACAAGACTGCAAGTGGTAAAACTGCATTCTAAGATTTCACATTGAAATCTTAGATTCCATTTGCATAATGGAAATCCCTGCCATCTATAAAGGTGATACTTTAAAGTTGCAGCTGCGAAGATTTGTTTTTCTTCTTTTTTCAAATTCTGATTCTTTGTTCTGTGTCTACAAAACACTGCCCAGTCTGCCTTGCCATCATCTTCTGTGCCCCCTCCTGGTTATTTGGACACACACCTCCTGGCCATTCTCACCCTCAGTCAGTTTCTTAGGGATCGTTTCCAATCCTCTCTCCCTAAGTAGAAATCAGGCACTGGTGTGGTCCTTGGGTTAATTCTCAGCCAACAATTCTGAGAGATGAGGGTCAGAGGCTGACAAGGCAGTAATTTACCTGCATGCCTTCCCCTTCCTCCAGTCTGCCCTCCAGCAATGTCTGTTTGGGGTGTGGGGGGGTGGGATAAAAAGGAAATCTCATCCTACAAAAAAACAAAGTTGGGGAATCAGTAAAGTCCTATTTAAGGTGGTGGCAGAGGGGCTGAGGATGTAGGACCAGTTGGCAGCTGTGCGGGGTAGGAGAGAAGGCAGGAACTGTAGGATCATACACCTGGGCAGGTGAGGGAGGCCTGGTCACTCTATCGAATGAACAGATTTGGTTGGTGAGTGTCAAAAGGGCCGGTCCTCTCAGGATGGGAGTCGATGCTTGGAGCCTATTACATAGGCACAGGGTTAGGCCTTCACACTCACCCTTGCCATGGGTTTGTGACTGCTGGTCTTAGCAGGAGGACAGCTTGAGGAGGGAGTCACTGAGTCACCTGCAGCCCAAATGGAAACCAACTCAAAAGGGCCAAGGCCAGAAGCACCACCTTCAATACAACAGCACCAATGTGGCAGTGAGGCGCATAACACTGCCTGTGCCACAGCTGAGATCCTTTTTCTAAAGCTTCGGGATCCTTCAACTTCTCTCCCCACAGAAGCTGGGCTGCTGTGGTGGTATGTAGCACAGGAAAAATATAAGATCCTTTAAAGAAACAAACACTCAGTCCAGGCGCAGTGGCTCACACCTGTAACCCCAGCACTTCAGGAGGCCAAGGTGGATCGCCTGAGGCCAGGAGTTTGAGAACAGCCTGGGCAACATAGTGAGACCCCATCTCTATGAAAAAAAAAAGAAAGAAAGAAAAAAATAAATGAAACACCCAATAATTCTGTTTTTGATCCCTAAAAGTCCACCCTATTCCTTTGGGGAGGGGGCTGTGGAGGAGGGACAGGGCGTGGGGGAAGCGTAGGGAGCTGGTTCCTGTGGACCGCATGCCGTTCCTGACCTCTGAGCAGACATCCCCAGCAGGTCTTCACTGATGTCAGGCAGCCAGGATGGGACTGATCAACTGGGCAGGAGCACTTTGCCCAAGGGCCCTTGGTATGAAGAGTACATTTTGAGAGGCGTAAGTCCCTTCTGGAGGACAAAACTTGTGTTCTTCAGGCCAAACTGTTTTCCATCTCATCCAAGAATGATCCTGCCAGATGGGAGCCCCCATCTCCAGCTCATGCCTCCCACAGCAGGCCTGCAGAGCACTGTATCTGACTCAGTAGAGCTCTGGATCCAGGGGCAATGGGCAACCAGTGGACAAGCAGGCCAAAGCGCACTGCTGCAGCAGGGTGGCTTTTTTTTTGGAAACAGGAAGAGCACTTAGCGAAACACATCCTCTAATCCCAGTGGGATGACGTTAAGGCGAAATCTCCTCTCCCCAAGAAGTTTTGGTTGCCTCCCTCTGCCAGGCAGAACCCAGACTACATGCTGCTCCGATCCTCATGCAGTCAGACCTTCTCAGTTTCATTAACTTGTGTAATATTCTGAAGACTATGTGAGTAAGGCTATAGAGGTGCCATGAGCTTATCAGTCCAACAAGGTTTCCACGGGGAATAGCTCAGACTCAGAATTCATTTTCCACACTTAATGTAAATGTAACCCATAAAAGTTCCATTTTCTAAGAAGCCCAGCTTAAAAGGAAGCATTTGGCTTCCCCTCCCATCTCCCAGAGCCTCCTGTGAGTGGTAATGACAATGGTAATTAGGCGGATGAACCAGGAATGGAATCCTTGAACAAGGGGCTCCCAGCTCTGGCTGTGACTCCCCCTGCCCTCACTGCTCCCCCAGCCTGCTGGCTGCTGCCTCAGCTTGGGCGTGCTCTTCAGGTGTGGGCTGTCCCTGCTTCTGAGAGGGCTCAGGCCTCTCCCTGACGACACAGGCACAGTTCTTCACAGGAATCATGCCAGCCTGGCCTCCCAGATCTACGGGCACCCACCTTGGGAACTGCCCTGCTCCTGGTGGGGTTGTATGATATGGGCAGGCCACACCACATCAGCTCTTCCCTCCTTTCTTCCTGTCACTAAAAAACACATTGGGTGGGCTTCTCTAGAGGGGAAGCTGTTTCAGAACTTCAGGAATTTCCTGGAAGCCCAGCCTGCCCCAGTCCAGCTCTGCGATCAGCTGGTACATGGAGGCAGATGGGACTTTGGGAACTGGTTAGAAGGATGCTTAGCTTATGCCTTCCTCTCTTTGGCTGGCTTTTTTTGTTAAGCATTTTTCCAGAATCAAAGGCCACCAAGCACCTCCCTCCACATTCCTACGTCTCAGTGGTGGCGGCTGAGTGGTGGAGGGAAGATACTCAAAGTCATAGAGAGAGGGCTTTGCCTCGGAAGGCAGGCTGGTGCCCTCGCCACCACTGCCATGCCTTTGCCATGGGTGGCCTTCTGTTCTGTGGACATGGTGCCCACATTGAAGGCTTGCTGTGCAGTGCTCGTTCTCACATCTGGCTTTGGGAGAAAGGAGGAGATGAACAGGAACATCATGGAGGACCAACCAATCACAGGCATCCTGGGTGCTTTCCCTCCCGGGAGGATGGGACTCTGAGCCCAGGATGTTATGTCACTGGTCTGGGGGAAAGGACCTGGGAGACACTTTCTCTATCCCAGCATGGGGGTGGCACCGACAACTACACAGGATTTGCAAAAGTGGTAGGGGGTTTCATTCAGCATCAAAATAGAAAGCTTGAACAGGAGTTTGGGGCAGCTTAAAAAAGGTGCTGAACAACACCATGAAATTCCCTGGAGCAAGATGAAGCCATCTATGATCCTCTGGAGGCAGAGAACAAGGTGAGAAGAAATCCACCACTCTTCTGCAGGAGCCCTGCCAAGGAGCCTCAGGTCCTACAGACCCTCCTCCCAGGCCCCCTTGGAAGGGGTGTTGTACTGGCCCATCACTCCCTTTACTCCTGCCCGACCCCAGTCGAAGAAGAAAGGGTTGCACATGAGACAAGTTAGCACAGACATTCATGTCCCACATCACACTGGGTACCTAGGGACAGACGAGGACACACCCCAGGAGATGCATCTCAGAGAGGAGATACATACCCCAAACGACAAGGGAAAAATCCTCAAGGAAAAAGGGAACAAAAGACAATAAAGTTTTCATTGTGATCACACTACAGAAAAAAATACCTTCTGTTCTTTGCAAAAAATGTGCGAAGGCCAAATCTGTGTTTTTCTTTTCTAAAAAAAAGGATGTTGCATGAGTTACAATGCAACCAGTATCTTTTTGTTTCTGCACTTGTTAAAAAATCATTTTTTTAAAAGTACAACACAGTCAGGTATGCGGCCACAAAAGAGTAGCTGTCTTTGGCAAGAAGTCCTTGGTCCTCTCTGTCACCTCCGGCCCATCTCGCTCTGTCTCATGAAGTGGATGTTGTTGGCGCTGTCTGACAGTTCTGGGTACTGCTCGACAGAGATCACGAAAAAGCCGTCGTAGCCTTGCACCCGCCCTGTGCTCAGCACCTGCTGCTTCTCCCCCTCTGTCCAGGCCCGCAGGCCTTCCTCCCCTTCCCGCAGTCTCTGCTGCTCGCGGGCCCACGCTTGGCGCACGGCTCTCTGCCGGGCCAGCTCCAGGACCCGTGCCTTCTCCTCATCCAACGTTGTCCCGTAGCGTGTGTTCAAGCACAGTGCCCCGTACTGGAGCTGGATGTCTGTGTAGCGTCTAGTCCTGCCATTAAGTACTGTGTTGATCTGGGACACAGTGACGTTGACCCCATTCTCCAGGGTTCGCCGCCCCCCACTGAGGCCCAGGATGGCCAGGTCACCTTCTGAAGGTCCTGGTTTCACAAAGTAATGGGTATCCACCCCATCAATGGTGAAGTGCAGGTTCTCTAGGTAGTGGGCATGGTTCAAGATGGCAGCAACCCTTCGCCCATCCTCATTGGCCACACTGATGATGTCTGTGGTCACTCGGCCATCCTTCAAGGCAAACTTGACCCCCTTGCCAAAGACTGAGCCGCTGGATGCAAACTTCTTGGTCTTTGGAGCCTGCTGGCAGCTGGTGATTGTGGAGCCATAGAGCTGGTCAAACCGTTCTAAGGTGACAAAGGCCTTGAGCTGCTTCTGTACTTCACACTGTACCCCGAGGATAGACTGATGGGGGAGGAGAGTGAGAGAGAGAGTAAGACAAAGGGGAAAAAACCCTGAGAACCTGGAGAATCAGCTTAAATAATGAAGTCAAAACCACACATATTTATTAACCTGCGGCATGTAGCTCTACCGCTGACCACCAGAACATCCAGGTGGTCGCCAGAAGGTCAGAACATCTGCTGACCTTCATCCATCCATCCACCCACCCTTCCATTTAGAAACTGTTCAGGGGGTATCTAATCTGTGCCAGGTCGTTTTGTGAGCACTGGTGACAGAAAAATGAATCAGACATCATCCTTGCTCTTAAAGAACTCATCATTTAGTTGGGAAAGACAGATATGACAACAATAATTGCAATCAAATGTGATCACTGGTGGCCTAAGAGAGGAACTAGTAATAGCCATAGCTAACATTTCTTGATGTTTCAGCCAAATAATTACCACTCATTATCTCAGTGATCTTCACAATCACCTTATACGGTAGGTGCTGTCATTATTCCAATTTCATGTCTAAGGAAACCAAGGCTCAAAGAGGTTGTCACTGGCTCACAGTCATACAACTAATAACAAGTCAACCTGCAAGCCCAGGTCTGTCCAATTCTAGAGGTTCAGTTTCAAGGGCTGCTGGAGAAGGAAGGAGCAAACAAAGCTGAGAAGAATCTTGGCTTGAAGGTGGAGGAGGTGGGGTTTGAGGACAGGCTCAGGCTTGAGTTGGGACCTGAAGGATGGGTGGGGGTGGTGGGATGCCGTCAGATGGAGGATTGGCAAGAAATGCATTCTTGGCAGGAAGGCATAACATGGTGAGAGGCAGTGACTGTTATTAACCCTCCCACCCTGCTTCACTGCTCTCCACTGCATTTACATCTGATTTCTAAGGAAGGCCTCTGCCCCACCGTGCTTCCTTGGGGCTCCTGGGGTGCCCCTACTCTTGGCTGCTTTAGGGGACAGGTCGGGCCCTGCCAACTTGGCGTATCATCTACCTGTCCCTTCTGTGGCTCACAGAGCTTGGAGAAGCCACACTCAGGAAGGCTCCAGGGCCTTATCAGCAAGTTAGGGAAATGGCTTTAGCAACAGGCCTATCGGCTTCTCACTGAAATTAAGTCCTCTTTATAATTAATAGAACCCTGTCTGTGAACAATTATTTCCTAGAGTTTCACGAAAGCTGGAGTGCTCAACAACAAAGATCTCCGATGCTTGCCAAGGGCAGAAATCAATAATTCATTGACAGGCGAGGTTGGCAGACAGGCAGTCAGAGACCGGGGCTCTCTGGAGTGCAGGAGGGAGCCTGGTGAGGGAGGAGGAGCTGTGCTGCAGTGCTCAGCCCTGGGAAGAGCAAATGCCAGGATATCTGGGCGGGGCCTGGAGGTGGTGGGAACTGGAGAGGCTGGGCAGCAGAAAGACGATGGGCTCTGGGGCCAGGCAGACTTGGGTTCTCCATTGAATTCTGCTGCTTTCAAACCCTGGTCCCCTCACCTGTAAAATGGGGAAATGTCTGGGCTGTTTACTTCTTTCAGCCATTTATTTATTTAGCAAAAATGCTTCATGCACCTACTGTGTGCTATCCTGTATGCTGGGTACTAAATGAGACCCAGTACTTACCCTCTTGGGGCTCATAATCTAGTAGCGAGACAAGAAAGAGGCATTAAAGTACAGTGTGGGAAGTGCCACCAGCGTACAGGGGTGCAGAATCCCATTCTCCGGGGTCTGGTAGGAGATAGCTATGCTGAGGCCTAAAGGAATCAATCTGGAGTAAGAAATATGGATATGAAAGTTTCTGACCACCAGCAGCAAGCCATCTGGCAACCTGCTTTCCTCCTTAGTCTGTCATCCCCTGGGCAAGCATCCCTTGAAGGCTTAGTCTCTGCCTGATTCATCCCTGCGTTCACTGGGCACAGCATGGGGCTTGGCACAGAGTTGGGTTCTCATAGAGAATTTATGAATGGATTGGGGTAGTAGGGAGGGGAGAAGCGAGCAAATGAATGCATGAAGTGAGTGGGTGGGATGAGACTGTTTTTAAAGACCTTTCCAGCTATACAATTCTGAGTCTTTGAAATTGGGTTATAAAAGCGAGACAAGAGAAAGTGAGTCTTTTTGAGCACCTACAGTATGCCAGGCACTGTACTCAGCAAGAGGATACAGAACAGGCACATCTGGGTTTGAATCCCAGCTCTACCCCTTCCTTGCCGTGTGGCACTGGGAAAGCCTCAGGCACGAGTCTGTAAAATGAGAACAATACGGCTGTGGGATCTTTGTGAGTTACATAGAATAACTCACATAAGGCCAGGTGCATTGAAGTACTCAGAAAATGTCACATTTTTATTTAGAACCCACCTTCTCTCCCTGTGCTTTTGTTCTGGATAGTGACCAAGGCTTATTATTTTTGTGGAACTCCAAACTCAGTGTAACACACAAAGCTCCTTACTGCAGCTTGTAAGCGTCTGTGTGTGGTCATGGCTGCGTCCCTAGCAGCTTCCTAGTGGTGGGTTACTAAGTAGTTGTTGAACAACCTCTGGCAGGCACTGTGGAGGCACCACATTGGTGTCTATCACTGGCCCATGCTTTTCTGAAAAGCTGAAGGGACCCCCTCCAGTAATGTCTGAGTGGCCTGAGGAGTGGCAGCCTTGTGCAGGAATTACCTTGCTGTTGTCCCACTCCTGCGTTTTCATCTGTGTGTGGATGAGCTCGTAGGAGGGTTCCATGGCATCCATGTCTGGTTTGGGATAACCAGGGATCACGTTGTGTAGCTGGAATCCAAAGGTGAGCAGCCAGCTGTTAACATCTGGATGGGAGGGAAGCAGAAACATCTCCATGGAGTGAGTGGACCTCATTTGCAACCCATCCCCATCTCACAGCCTACAGTTAGCTGCAGGGTGTGGTGAGGGTGTGGATTGCTGCTGGTGGGAGAGTCAACTGCTACATACACTTTTCATTCTATGAAAGCCAAATGTACTCCTGGGACCCAGCAATCCCCATCCCAAGTATATACCCAAGAGTGATGACACTGAAATAGAACCCAGGTTTCCGGACTTCCTTTTCTATTTTCACTTCAACTCCCAGGACCTCTAGCTTCATACCCGGGGCAGCTGTTGACAGATGAAGATCCCTCCCTTTCACCCCAACATCCATAGGAGATACTTACAAAGGACAGCCAGACCCACCAAAAGAAAAGATTTTAATGATTGACTTGCAAAGAGACAATTCACTTAAGAAACACACTCCCCTGCTCTCCCACCCTCCTGTGCAGTAATTAGAGCTTCAGGGTCAAAGTCCCACGGGTTACAGAGATGGCCTAGGCTGCGATCAGAGTCTTCCCTCTGCTTCTACCTTTTATACTCTGACAGCCCAAGGATGCCACAACCTCCCTGTGCCTTCATTTTCTTTCTTTTTTTTTTTTTTTGAGATGGAGTCTTGCTCTGTCACCGAGGCTGGAGTGCAGTGGCGTGATCTTGGCTCACTGCAACCTCTGTCTCCTGGGTTCAAGCAATTCCCTGTGTCAGCCTCCCGAGTAGCTGGGATTATAGGTGCCCGTCACCAGGCCCAGCTAATTTTTGTATTTTTAGTAGAGACGGGGTTTTACCATCTTGGTCAGGCTGGTCTTGAACTCCTGACCTTGTCATCCACCTGCCTCAGCCCCCAGAGTGCTGGGATTACAGGTGTGAGCCACCGTGCCCGGCCACCTTCATTTTCTAGTCTTTACATTGGGCTTGGGGATCAAGTCCCATAGGCATGGGAATAATTGATTTGATAACATTCCTTGGGGTTACTAATTATAAAATATTAGGTGTGGGGATAGATAGGATTTTGCCATGAACATCTGGCTTACTGGAGAATGGAATCAGGAAGCCAAGACATGAGGAAATGAAGAGGACCAGTCACCTGGCCCACTATTGCTGAGTATCTTCTATGTGCCCAGGACTATGCCGTTGAGACCCTCATCTCACATACTCACAACTCTGAAGGAGAGATGAGACATGGGCATGAATAACATTGATACAAGGAAAAAGATTAGAGGAAGGCGGAAGCCTTTCATTTAGACAGGCTGACAAGACCACATGCAGAAGGTGGCATTTAAGCCAGTTACTGAAAGCTGTGCCATTTTTCTCAGGCACTGGTAGAGATGAAGTGGGCCCTTCAGGCAAAGATGACTATACTAGGCAAGGCCTAGAGAGGGAAGGTGTGGGTACAGGGAGTGTTCAGGTAACCAGAGAGCAGCTCAGCAAGGTTGAGAAAGAGCCAGAAAGGATGACTGTGGCCGGAGCAAGAAGAGCTTCAGATGGCAGGGGGAGGTGAACTGGGGCCAGAGGGAGACAGACAGACAGACAGACAGCCTGTGTCCCAGCAGGCTCAGCCTTCCTCAGGAAGGCATAGCTGAAGATGCCAAAGCAGATGTCAATCAGAGACTAAGAATCCAAATTCTTGGGGAGGCAGGATTTTGATTTGAGCCTTAGAGCCAAGGCTGATTATGGCTTCTTTCAAGTGGAGATAGAACCCTGATCGCAGAGGTCCTGTTTAGGTTCTAGGATGATATAGTTTGAATATTTGTCCCCTCCAAATCTCATGGTGAAATTTGATCCCCACTGTTGGAGGTGGCCTAATGGGGGGAGTTTGGGTCATGATGGCAGATCCTTCATGAATGGCTTGGTGACCTCCCGAGGTAATGAGTGAATTCTTGCTCTATTAGTTCATGCAAGAGCTGGCTGTTTAAAAGCGTGTGGCACCCCTCCCTTCTCTCTTGCTACCTCTCTTGCCATGGCCACACTGGCTCCCCTTGCCTTCCGCTACGAGTAAAAGCTTCCTGACACTGAGCAGATGCGGCTGCCATGCTTATAGAGCCTGCAGAACTGTGAGCTTAGTTCCTTATAAATTACCCATGAGCCTCTTTTCCTTATAAATTACCCATGCTCAGGTATTCCTCTAAGGCAGCATAAAACAGACTGAGACATAGGTAGGTTTAGGCAAAATTGTCACCTGCCACCCACTGAGTTCATCCTACTGGTGTGAGTGACTGTGTCCCTGTCACCACTGGGTTCCATGTTACCATCCCATTCAAGAACCTCGTGTTTGCCTTTGTTTTTGTTTTGTTTTCGGGTTGTCTGGGGCCCCCTCTCCCGAGTGTGCAACTTGGTGGTGCTGAGGTGGAGTGGTGGTAGAAAGGGAAATTTGGAGCCCAGTTCTACTTGTTTCAGCCTTACTAGGCAAAATCATAGGAAAGAACATGGTAGCTGAAGCAAGACAAACCCAGTGTCCAAATTCTGGCTCCCCAACTTACAAACTGTGTGAACTCCGACAGTTTACTTAACCTCTTTGAGATTTAGTTTCCTTATCTGCATATTGACAATGGAAATGGTTTTAACCATACTTCTATGGAGAAGAATACAAAGTGTTACCATTTGGTGGCAGTTATCGCGTGGCAGGAGCTATTCTAAGCTTATATATAAATTACTGGATTTAATGTATTTTGATTTTTTTTTGAGATGGGATCTTGCTCTGTCACCCAGGCTGGAGTTGAGTGGCATGGGTTCAAGAGATTCTCCCACCTCAGCCTCCGGAGTAGCCAGGACCACAGGCGTGCCATCATCCCTAGCTAATTTTTTGTAGAGATGGGGTCTCATTGTGTTGCCCAGGCTGGTTTGGAACCCCCAGGCTAAGCAATCTGCCTGTCTTGGCCTTCCAAAGTACTGGGATTACAGATGTGAGCCACTGCACCTGGCAGATTTAATGTGTTTTGAAGAATGCAGCTCAGTACCCACTCACAGAAGATTTTCTCTATTTTCCACCAACCCATGCTTCCACATCCCAGGACCTCCATTTTCTCCTCTCTAACAGAAGGAGCTTGGACTAACTTTTCTTCAAAGTCCCTCTTCTCACTGAGTTTTTAAGAGTCTTTGATTCTATAAATCATGGCAGATGGTTCTTTGGGAAATTAAAACAAACAGAACAGGAGGAAAAAATGCCCTATAAAGCCATTTTGCCTGAGGCTAAGAACTTGCATCTGAATTTGTAGTTGCAAAGGAATGCTTCTATAAGGAATACTGCAAATTCTCAGGAAACTAGGGGGCTGAGAAGAGGGCTGGGCCTTAATTACAAGTGACGGAAGGTGGAAAACTTTCCTATTTTGCCTTTAGGAAAAAATGCTGAAAATGAATTTATTCATAAGTTTTTCTTCAGTGCTCCTCTGAAGAGCTGGGAATTTTACTCTTCCTTCTTACCATATCAGAAGTAGATATTTCCCTCAAGTTAAAAAATTCCTCTTCACTCATCCATCCCAGAGTTTGGTGTTGTCACAGGGGAGTGATGAAATGTAGGCAACAATAATCTCCTTCCTTCCTTCCTTCTTTCTTTTCTTTTCTTTCTTTCTCTTTCTTTTCTTTTCTTTTTCTCTCTTTCTTTTCCTTTTTATTTTCTTTTTCTTTATTTCTTTTCTTTCTCTCTTTCTTTTCTTTTTCTTTTTTTTTCCTCTGTCTCTTTCTTTCCTTTTTTTGACAGGGTCTCACTGTCACCCAGGCTGGAGTGCAGTGGCATGATCTTGACTCACTGCAACCTCCGCATCCCAGGTTGAAGCAATCCTCCTGCCTCAGCCTCCCAAGTAGTTGGGATTACAGGTGTGCGCCACCACGCCCAGCTAAGTTTTGTATTTTTAGCAGAGACGAGATTTCGCCATGTTGGCCAGGGTGGTCTTGAACTCCTGACCTCAAGTGACCTGCCCACCTTGGCCTCCCAAAGTGTTGGGATTGCAGGCATGAGCCACAGCACCCAGCCAATAATCTCTTTCATGTGTGTGGTTTTGTTCTTTACAAAATGTATTTGAATCCAAGAATGAGGGTTTTGGAATCAGAGCAGAGTTCTAATCCAGCCTTGCCACTTCTTAGTGGGCCAGTTACTTTAGCTCTCTGAACCTCAGAACCTCACTTTTCTCCTTTGTAAATGGGGTCAGTGATCCTACCTCACAAGCATCAAGTGAAGATAGAGTGCAATGATGTACATGATATATCTGTAGCGGACATTTTTTGGTTGCCTTCCCAGCAGTCCATTCTGCCTTCTCTTTCCTTTCTGGAGTATTAGTGTAATTATAGGGAAGTTGAATCCACCTAAGGGGTTGGCATGTGACCTAGGCTAAGCCAATCAGTGCATTCTTTCCCTCTAGCCACCAGTAAGTGCTTCAGGGATTGTCCAGTGACCTAAGCCTATCTCACTGGAATACATCTCAGGACCCTTGAAGAAATTTTTGGGAAAAAAAGAATTTTTTTTTTGTTGTTGTTGCTGGATGGGAATGAAGATGCATGTAGTCTACCTGGATGCTAAGAGGTAAGGTTTAGTGAGAAGTAACAGTATCTTGGTTCTTATTCGTGATTGCACATCTTTTTAAATTTGCTAAAAACTGCTTATATGAAATCTCTTCTTTGCACACCATGGGTTTTCAAACTGTAGGATATGACCCACTATGCAATGAAATCAATTTTGTGAATCATGACCAGCATTTTTATTGAAATGGAACAGACTACATTAGAAAATGAGTGCATCACACTTAAGTATTCTTTTGCAAACCTTTTGTCTTCGTGTTTTATTGCAATGTAAAATCTTTTTCTTATGGTGGGTTCCTAGTCAAAGAAATTTGAGAAAAGCTGCCTTGGACCCTGTGATCTATGAAGGTGGGTATTATACCTCACTCCTCTCTGGATCCTTAATACAGGTTTGGCAAGGAGTAAGTATAAATAATATACTCTTTGCTGGATTTAACTGACTGGAATATAGAACCTAAACTGAAAATGTTAGGTGCCCCTTGATGGTTGGTTGCTTTGTTAAAAGCTGGATTTGGAGGCCAGCATGATTGTAGTGGAAGGTGTTCTAGAGTCAGAGAGCCCTGGATTAGAGTCCTAGCTCTGTGGTCTACATCTGTGTGACTCTGGGCAAACCCTTCATTGCAGCCTTGAATGACATTTGGAGTCTCATCTGCAGAAAGGAGATAATGATGGTGATCTCACAGTTGTTGCAAAGTTTAAAGGAGAGCATATCTGCCAAGTGCCAGATAGCATAGAGAGTTAGTCATGTTAGTGCTATTCTGGAAGGAGACCATATGTATATGGTGGTGTACAAAGGAAAAGGGGGAGGGAGTAATATTTTGGAAAGATGCAATGTTTTTTTTGATAGAAAAGTACATTTCCTATTGCACCATGTTTTTTTTCAGCTACAGTAACCTGCCAAGACATCTCACAGGAAACTCATTGGAGAGTGAGGCAGGGGGTGTGCTTAATGCAGACAGATGTAATGGAAATGTCATCTCAATCTGTCAAGTTTCTCTAGAACTAGCAGCCAAGTTGAGCATGGTGAAGGCTGTGAAACATTGTTAGCATATTCATGTTTATCCATAGGCCCCAAGTCTGTTTTCATCACACCTGTCCACCACCTTGTTCTCCCTTCTTCCCTATGCTTGGGATGCTATTCTCCCCTCTTTCCTATGCTTGGGATGCCTGCTCTCAATGTGTGACAACATGGAACTCTTCTTGAAAAAGGAATTCTTCTACTGCTGTCAGCAGAAACAGGGTCCAGGTGGGGGCTACCAAGTTTGGGAGCTGGGAAGCCACGTCTGTAAGGGGCATTCATGTGAGCTGTCATGTTGCCCCTCTACACTTCTGTATTATATGTGCTGCCTTCCCTCTCTGCAATGCCTTTCTCCCCCATTACCTGGTGAACACCAGCTCAGGAGCTGGCCTCAAATGTCAGCTACTTTGTGAAGACTTCCCAGAATGCTCTGGGCAGAGCAGGTGGCTTTTCCTCTGTGCTTCAATGGGCATCTGTGCAAACCTTTGTCATGGTCCTCCCCTCTTGACAGCAGTTGCCTGTCTCTCCCCTTACAGTGAGAATTCCTGGAATGCAGGGATCATTTTTCTCTCCTCAATGCCTGAAACAGTGGCTGCACAGAAGAAGCACTTGTAGAATGAAGGAAACTGCCATAAAAGAGGGCAGGAGAATTGAATCGCACGACAAAAGAGGGGAGAGACTACTGGCTTTGCAAGGTGGGATGTGCCCAATTTTTGCCTATCACAAACTCTCTTATGTAAAAAGTGTGGGCTTTACCCAAACCCCCACCCACTCTCTGTGGGGTTGAGGGCCTCTGTGGCTAACCTGGGACTGGCTGCTTGCTGGGAGGGCTGTGGCTGCTGGAGACATCCCTGCCTGTGGGACCCTGGGACACTTTATACTCAAGTTGGTTTCATGGTAATGGAAGGCAGAGCTCACTTTTCAAGTTAGGGGGTAAAGGAAAGGGAACCAACACGAGCCAGGCACTGCGCTAAGTACCTCATGAAATGTATTTCACTTCACCCTTGCAACCACCCTACCAGGTAGGTGTTAGTTTCTATTGTTGCATGTGTTCCTTATTCTTTTTTTTCCCTCTTTTCCTGCCCTCTTTGGATTATTTTCTTGTCTTCCATTTTATCTCCACTGTTGACTTATTAGCTAGGACTCTTTTTTTAGTTTTTATCTTTTTAGTGGTTTCTCTAGGGTTTATAATACACATATTTAATTATAGGTAGATGTTCTAACTTCAATTTACGTATCAGGAAACTGGAATTCAGGGCAGTTAAATAATTTTTGTAACATGTCATGGCTTCAAACTGGTGGATCCTTCACTCCATTCTTACATTATCCCAAATTGAGAACTAATTTTTTTTTAAAGCCATACCTTAACCCAATCAAGGACTCATTAGCAGTTTGATTTGTGTGTCAGAAACTCCTAAAGTGCAATCCATGGGATGTATCCCATGAGATATTAGGATTTCATGGTGAAAAAAGGGCTTTTACGGTCAAATAAGTTTGAGAAATAGTGGGCAAATATATTAAATAGTTCACTTTTATAGCACTTCCCAGAGCTTATCATACACTGAAATGTACTATGAAAATGTAATAATGGTGGTGACCCTGACAAATTTATTTGATGCTGGAACCATTTTTCCAGAGTATTTTCTGAACTAGTGTTTCTTCAAACGGACTTTGGAAAATGCTGCTCTAAGAGAAAGTCAGTGTTTCCTGTCACCTTATGCCAGCTTTCTCAAAGAAGACTAAGTATTGTTAGGTAGTAAGAGCACTTTATGGGGTCCTGCCCCTGAGTGAGCCGTGGTCCTTACCTGTCATGAAGCACTTGATGTCCTGGGAGTTGCTGATGGGGTTGTTGTTTTTGAACATATAGAGATTAAAAGGCATGACGTTGCTGCTACTAAGGTGCTTCCACAGCTCGTGGTCTGGGCTAGTCCAGCGTCCGGCCAGCACATCATAATCTCGCCGGCCCATGTGGACAAGCTTGGTGAGTGGATCATAGAGGCCACCATGGTAGCCTATGATGATCTGAAAGTTGGGGTTGGTATCCATGTAGATCTCCCCATAGGCTGTGTACAGGATTTGCTTGATCATCAAACCTGTTCCACTAAAGACAGCAAGAGGGGTCCCGATGTTGTCACAAGCTATGTAAAACTCATCACCACTGCTCAGCTCCATGGCAAAGAGGTGTCCTTGCAAGTCGTAGTAGAGGGAGGTGATCTCAGAGCTGGAGTGGTTGTACAGGTGGGTGACCTTGGTGGGGTTGGTCAGGTCTGCATAGAAGAACTGCAGGTGGTGGCTGTGGCTGCTCTTGCTGGACACGCGCCGCCCCAGGCCATCGTAGCGGTACCTGACACTCCAGCTGCCAGCCCGGTTGTAGGCCTTGATGAGCAGGCCAGCTGAGTTGTACTCAAAGATATCACCGCCCCGCTGCCTCAGGAAGCCATCCTCATCCATCTTGTATTGCACGTCACCCAGCCGAGTGATGCGGTCGCGGATGTCATACCGTAGTGGTGTGAGCCGTGCACTGTTCCCAGGGCTCAGTAAGTGCAGGTTCCCATTGAGGTCGTAGCTGTAGCGCCAGAGTGGCTTGTCATTGATGGAGACTGTCTGCAGCTGGCCGTCAGCATCATACTCATAGGAGTAGCGAGTGGTATTGGCGTAGGGTCCTACCTTCAGCTCCTTCTTCACTACTCGCCCCATGTTATCATACTGGACGGTCATCCAGTACATGAGCGAGCGGAAGATCTCATACTGCACTTCCTTCATCCTGCCATATGCATCAAAATGCTTGGTGTGGGTCATGACAGCTGTGGTGATGATCTGGTTAATGTCATAGTAAATGACACCAAACTTCCCAAACTGCTCTGTCTTGCCTGACACATCATCATAGCGATAGAGATCAATGGGCAGTGGGGTCTCGTTGATCACAGCCTGCATGCTGGTCACCCGGAAGCTGTTGTCATAGTTGTAGTCAAAACGGGCGTTGACCATGCCTTCCTCAGTGAAGCGGAAGATCTGTCGGTCAATCAGGGGCCCAATCTGACGGTAGCGGATGGTGCAGGTGAAGCCCTCATTCTGTAGGTTGATGGTCTTCAGCATGCCTGCCGTCTCGTCATAGGTGAAACTGACCTTGGTGGTGTCATAGAGCGTCTCTGCCAGCTTTGACAGTTTGCCATACTTGTATATCACCCTGCGGCCAGTGCCCAGGTAGAAGGTGTGAAGGAGGTGCCCATCCTCAGTGAAGTCCTGTATGACTGAGGCATTGCCCTCAGGGGGCTGATAGATGTTTCTGTAGTAGCCCACTGAGCGGATGGTCTCTAGTGTCTGCCGCGCCACGTTGGGCATCGTCACAGAAGAGAGGCGGTCATTCTTGTCGAACTCAAAGATATACTGCCTCTGGCTGTGTAGTAGCAGCACCATGGACTGGAGGGAGAGGAAAACCAAGAGATGAGAGGAGGGTGGTGAGGAGAAAGGGTAGGTCTACATACCCGAGACTTAAAGGGACGGAATGAATGTCCAAGGAGAATCCTGAGTTTCCATGGTTCTCTTGAGTTATGCTCCAACCAGAGCTCTCCAACAGGAGTGTCACGGGATACTGCAAATAGGTTACAGATGTGCCAAGATGAGGCTTTCTCTCAGCCTCATCTTAGCACAGCTTTAACCTTAGCACACCTGTAACCTACCTGGGGCCTAGGCCTCCAGGTACTCAGGCCATTTGCTGTCCTATGGTGAGCAGCCTCGTGGGTTTGCCCCTTTGTGCAGGACAGACCTGGTTACTTTTGTGCGTGGTGGGGTGTGAGAACGGCCAAGAAGCTTTGGCCTGAAGTATGTACAGCAGTCTGGCTTCCTTGCCCCAGACTTCTCAAACCAATCTTCCTATTCAGGCAAGAGTGAGCTCCTCCAAACACAGTCTCACAATTTCTTTTACCTGCTAAACAGTTTCCGCTGACTCCCTGTGGCTTACAGCACGAAGACCATATTTGAGAAGGGCATTTAAGGCTTTGCACAATGACAGGTCATAAGCCTACTCTGGGATAGGGCAGACTGTGATGGGAATGGGAGAACCTGGTTTCTAACAATAGTCTCCTTGTGTGGCCCTGGGAAAGTTCTTCCCCTCTCTGGGTTTGGGTTTTCAGTATGTTGGATGACCTCCAAGGTCTCTCTCTCTCTTAGTACTAGCGCAAAATGTCACTTTTGGGGGTACTCACCCAGTGGGTAGAGGAGACCCACCTCAGAGCAAGCACAGCCTATGCCCTGGACAGGTCACCAGGGTCAGGAAACAAAGCAGGGATCTGGATACTTGAAATGGGGCATGCAGTGCACTTGTTCTCAGGAAAAGATCAGCAGATAAAAGGCCTAGAGGCTTTATGCTGCAAAGCTACCATTTTTTCCTATTTGAGACCAACTTTTGATTTTAGGTCATTTCTGATTCTTACCCCTGGGATGACATGAGTTCTGATGCTAGAGCAGAATAGATTTACTAAGGCCATGCCCAGCACTTGAAGCTCAGGAGTAAGTGCCTCCTGCCTATGTACTGATGCCTAGGCTTCTGCCTGGTTCTCCACAACTGGATTGTACCACATGCCCTAGACCTGGGAGCAGACCCTTGGCCTGGGTCTGAACCCCGAGTCCTGCTCTGCAAATCCAGTGAGTATTTGGGCCTCTACTCTATCAGGCAGGTCTTTCATGTTCTCCTGCCCTAGGACCACCACCTGCCATGCTATCTCCCTGATCCATCCTGATGCCTCTTGGGACCCCATGCCCTCTGTGGCAGACTTTCCTGAACATTTCCTTTTGGTGACATGGGTCAGATACAGCCCACTGAGGCCACCAGGCTGGGCTTGGCCGTGAATGATTGGCCTTCTGTATGGCAAGGCCAGTGATGCAGGGAGACAGACACCTGCCTTCTCTAAGTATGTGTAGCTCCATGTCTTCCCATCAGCGAAGATCCTGGATGTGATGCGGCCCGCCTGGTCGTATTCCATTCTTTCAGACATGATGCCCCTCTGGATGCCAGCAATGTAACCCCCAGGGGAGTATGTCACGTTGACACCATTCAGCCTGCTGCTGGGTGACCAGAGGCTGGGCCGCCCCGCCTGGTCGTACAGAATCCGAAGGGTGAACTTGCGGTGGTCATCATAGATCTTCTCTGTGCGTGTTACGCGATCAAAGTCCAGAGATAGGAGATTTCGGTTGTGAACCTGGAGAAAGGGTTGGAAGGAAAGAGAAAATTAATCTGGACCATGAGAACTTTGGTCTGATGGGCCACGTTGCTCTCAGCTCTGCTGGGAAGCTCTTGAGTAGAGGAGGGAGCACAGTCCTGCGCAGCAACAGACATGGGTTTGAATCCTGGCTCTGTCATTTGTCAGCTCTGTGAAGTTTCCTCACCTGTAAAATGGGGACAATAATGCCAATTGCACAGGGTTGTTGTGAGGATGAAGATGATCCCTATGTTGAGAAATCAGTAGCTGTGACCAAAGAGGATCTGCATGTTTTCTAATGTGATTCTTCTAATGAGGACACGTTTTAAAAGGCAGATCCTTCTTGACTCCCTGCTGAAAGGAGACCCACCAAGTGAGCCCAGAAAATAAACTGACCCATCTCTTCCACACCAGACACTGCGGAGACCAAAGCTCAGGGAGGTGAAGGGATTTACCCTGGATCTCGTGGCTGGTGAGTGACGGAGTCTGGACTTGACTCTCACACATACAACGTGCCCCCAAACACTCAGTGGCCCTCTGAGCAATTCGTGGCCTTCTGGGGGCTCTGAACTTCCCAGCCCCTGTCGGGTGTCTCCTGCTTGCCACTACAATCAGGGCTTCTTGATTGCCACAGTCAGTACCCAAGACATATTCTTCCCAGAGGTGCTGGGAGGCAGTGAGTGTTTGTCACTGGGATGGCTTTTCTGCCTGTGGGCCGAATGGGGACACAGTCCTGGCTTTGAGGCACTTTGCTCCTGCCTTCAGGATCGGGAGTGCCTTGTATAAACTCCACCTGGACTGCTAGGCCAGCACACAGTTCAATTTCCTTTCAGAGTCAGAAAGACAGGGCTCCTACAGACGTAGTGGTAGGTTAGGGTTTTTATATTTTAATAAAGAAATATACTTCAGGGGCCTGTTTCTGTATTTGGATCTGCCCTGTAGGCATTGGTGGCCCCTGAAATATTGCCAGGTATTCTGGAACTAAAATACTGGTTTCCGCTAATTGGTGTCTGGCCTTATGGGACATTTGGGCACATTTTCTGTCTCTTCCACTAGTCATTGCTTAAGGTTGACAAGTAATACAGAAGACCCAAGAGGAAAGCAGATAATTAGGTCACGTGATGCAAAATGGCATGTGTGGACCGAGGCAATGAAAGGCCCTCTGGATCCCTGTGTGGTTAAAAAAAAATGGGTGCAGGTCTAGGAATGAAGGCCAGGATTCTAGCTGCAACTTTGTGACCAACTTTTCTATCAACCTTGGGCAAGTGCCTTCCCCTATCCGAGTCTCAGTTTCTTACTCTGTATAACAAGAGTTGTTGTGAAGGTTGAAGAAACTTAGTAAATCAGTGGAGTGCTAGGCACATAGAAGGTACTGAATAGATGGTTGGAATTATTTCCATTAAATGACAGCAAACGATCGTGGTCATATCCCAGGAAGGAGAGATGTGTGTGTTTCCTCCTTCTCCCACACAAATTCTAAGGCCTTGAAAATAACGATTTATAATGACGATGCTGACTTTAGCTGTGAATGACCTGGTTATAATAAGGTTACCTTCTCTGGGGTAATCAAACACAATTGCAGATGCAAAAACAGTGTGGCAGATGATTCCCATGAAAAATCAGAGGCATTGGAGGCTGAAGCTGTGTTATTTGCAGACAGGGCACAGGAAGATACAGGGGCTGTGCCACCAACAATGACAGAGGCCTTTTTAAAGTATCTTTTGGAAGGTCCCGCTGTGACTCCCCTCAGGGTGGTGCCACCCAGCCAGCTGTCCCCCTTTCTCCCTGGAGGATCTCTAGTGAAGGGGAGCTGTACCTTTTTGGCAAAATTAATAAAATTAAACAGCTCACTGGGGAGCCGCCTAATGCGTCCTGTGCTCGGCAGTGGCGGCAATGAGATTATTTCACCTCTTTATTAAAAAAGTTCCCAGTTGTATAAAAAATGAACTCCATTATGGGGAGGCACACCCGGCTAACATTCTAATTCCACCTGCCACCACTGTGGGTGGCCATTTATTTGGGAGGACATGTAGACGTGGCCACCCGTCCCAATCTCAGGTTGGGAGAGGGACCAATTAAAGCCTGGGAAACTTTTGGTCCAGTTCACACAGCAGAGAGGAAATCCTAATCATGCTAATCGCTGCCATTTATTGAGCACCTGGAGTCTACCTGTGCTGGGCTAGGTGCGTTGATTGTATCATCTTGTTTCTGCAGAGGCACCTGAGGCTCAGAGGAGCTGCTCAAGGCTCCACATGGCACAGGCAGGAATCAAACCCAGGTCAAACTTCCCATTGAGGACACTGCCTCAGAGGCGCATGCAGGAGTCTGCGAATTCAGACGGGGGAGCTCAGTGAGGCCACAGAGAACAAAGACAGCTAGGCCTTCCTCGGGGAGCTAGTGCAAGGCTGTTTCCCACAGTAGATAGTCACTAGAGCTCTTGGCTGTTGAGGGAACAAACGAAGCCTGGTTTTCTGGGTTCCAGTTGTGTGATATTGGATAAGTCACTTACTGTTTCTGTAGCTGCTGTGGGCCTATTTTCTAGTTTTTTTTTTTTGAGACAGAGTCTTACTCTGTCGCCCAGGCTGGAGTGCAGCGGCGCGATCTCGGCTCATTGCAACCTCTGCCTCCCAGGTTCAAGCAATTATCCTGCCTCAGCCTCCTGAGTAGCTAGGATTACTGGTGTCCCCCATCATACCCAGCTAATTTTTTGTATTTTTAGTAGAGATGAAGTTTCACCGTGTTGGCCAGGCTGGTCTCGAACTCCTGACCTCAAGCAATCCACCTGCCTCAGCCTCCCAAAGTGCTGGGATTACAGGTATGAGCTGCTGTGCCTGGCCTATTTTCTAGTCTTTACCACCACCTCGCTATGAGACTCTGGAAAAATCGTTTACCCTCTCTGGATCTCGATTGTCTCATGTGTAAAAGAGGGGCTTCAGTGAACTTTCTTTGCTGAAGGGCAGGGGACTTAAGAGAGTCTGAGCTGTGTTGCTATGAGGATGCTTCTGGAATGTTAGGAACATGTAGCTCAGTTCTGTAGTTTGTTTCATCTCAGCAGGTATCTCCTGAGCACCCATGGTGTGCAAGGTGCTGTGCTGAAAGCCATGGCTAGTTCATTAACTTTCCCTCTGTTCATCACCTGCCTTTCTCAAGGTGGAGGAAAAAGAAGCTGGGCACTCAGGCCCTGGCAGAGGCTGTACTCTACAGAAACACAGGATGTGAGGCAGACAAGGAGCTGGCTCAGGGCATCCACATATTCAAAAGCACTCTGAATGTCAGACCATGATGCCAGCCCCAGCAGTGATGGCTCGGGTGAGGTCATTTTGGAGAATGTAGCTTAGGTTCTAAGTAGCTGAGCTGAATTTTGGGACATGCTAGCAATAGTAATAGCAATAATGGTAATAAATCATAACAATAACAATAAGAGTAGCTATTATTGACCACTTGCTATGAGCCAGACTCTAAGATGCTTAATATATTACTTCTAATCCTTGTAGCAACTTGTAAAATTGGCCTTGTCCTTCCCATTTTATAGATGATGAAATTGAGGCTCTAAGATTACTGATCTGTCCAAGCTCACTCAGGGAATAATATAAGCTGGAAATTCAACTCAGACCTGTCTAACACCAAAGCCAGTAGTCTTTCCACAAGTAAAAACTAAAAAGACACACAAGGGTCTCTGATCACACATGGTTCCCTGATTTAGTTCTCCCCTTTTGCAGATGAGTGAACTGAGGTCCCAGGGAATTTCAAGAACAGAGCCCCGTTCTCCCGTTCCCCATTCTTTCCCCCCAGGACGCAGCCACCTCCAGAGGCCTCGCTCACCCGCAGCCGGCGCCCAAAGACAGTGACCTGGCCCCGAGCCTGCTCTTTGCGCTGGCGCCACTCCACCAGGTTGAGGCCGTTGTCGATGGGCAGCGTGACATTCCTCTTGCCCACGGTGGGGTTGACGGTGCCAGCCAGCAAGTGGGGCTCAGTCTGCAGCGCCACCTCCATGCCGTTGGCCAGCAGCAGCCGCAAGGAGCCATCGGCCCCGATGTAGTAGCTGTTCCGGACTTGGTCTGCAGGAGAGGACAAGCACAGACTGCTCAGAAGGAACGAAGGTGGAGGGAGGTGTGAGGACAGCAGAGGCGGTGGAGGGGACTTTAAAGGATGCTTTTCCTAACTATGAAAGCAATACATCATCACTGAAGAAAGCGAGGAAAATACATGGAGAAGACCATCCAGATTCTCCATATCCAAAGAAAACCATTGTAAATATTTTGTATGTTTGTAGATTTTAGGATATTTCCAAATGCCCTTACATTACAGTTTAAAATAGGTAAGAGTTTTAAAACAGTTATACAGTTTTTCACTGATCATTGTATTATATCATGTTACTGAATATTTTTCATAAACATTTTTCTTAATGACCATACAATATTCCACTGTATGAAAATACTTTAAGTTATTTAACCAAGCCTCAAATAGATACTCAGTTTGATTCCAGTTTTTCAGAATTATAAGTACCACTGTATATATTTAGTTTAAACATTATTCTAAGTGAAAAAGAAGTCACATGTAAAAGGCTACATATTGTCTGACTCCACTTATATGAAATGTCCAGAATAGGCAAGAATCTCTAGAGACGGTGGTTGCCAAAGGCTGAGGGGCAGGAGGGAACGTGGAGCAGCTGCGAATGGGTATGGGATTTCTCTTTGCGGTGATAAACATGTTCCAGAATCGGATCATAGTGATGATTGCACAGCTTTATAAATATACTAAAAGCCACACAATTGTATGTTTTTAAAGAGTAAATCTTATGCTATGTGAATTATACCTCAAAAATACTTTTTAGATAAATCAATATCCAATATCTTCATTTTAGATTTTCAAATCAAAATAGATTCCTAAAAGTAGGATTACTAGAGAAAAGGGTTGAACTTTTTTTTTTTTTTTTTGGAGACAGGGTCTTGTTCTGTTGCCCAGGCTGTAGTGCAGTAGTACAATGTGATCATAGCTCACTGTAACCTCATACTCCTCGGCCCAAGCAATCCTCCAACCTCAGCCTCCCAAGTAGCTAGGACTATAGGCATGCATCACCACACCCGGCTAATTTTTGAAATATTTTGTAGAGACCAGGTTTCAATATTTGACCAGGCAGGTCTTGAACTCCTGGGCTCAAGCAATCCTTCCACCTTAGCCTCCAAAAGCAATGGGATTACAAGTGTGAGCCACCATACCTGGCAGGTTGAACATTTTTAAGGCTCTTGATACACTCTAAGGTAACAATGTTTTTTATAACAAGGTGAAAAATAACTTTGACACTTAAACCACTGACAGAATGACAAAAAAAAATACATAAATATAAACATATTTTAAATCATTGTCACAGGCATATGACAATGATTTAAATATACATATGATTTGAAATTTTAAATTTGATTTAAAACATTCTAACTTAGATTCTTTTTTTTTTTATTATACTCTAAGTTTTAGGGTACATGTGCACATTGTGCAGGTTAGTTACATATGTATACATGTGCCATGCTGGTGCGCTGCACCCACTAATGTGTCATCTAGCATTAGGTATATCTCCCAATGCTATCCCTCCCCCCTCCCCCGACCCCACCACAGTCCCCAGAGTGTGATATTCCCCTTCCTGTGTCCATGTGATCTCATTGTTCAATTCCCACCTATGAGTGAGAATATGCGGTGTTTGGTTTTTTGTTCTTGCGATAGTTTACTGAGAATGATGGTTTCCAATTTCATCCATGTCCCTACAAAGGATATGAACTCATCATTTTTTATGGCTGCATAGTATTCCATGGTGTATATGTGCCACATTTTCTTAATCCAGTCTATCATTGTTGGACATTTGGGTTGGTTCCAAGTCTTTGCTATTGTGAATAGTGCTGCAATAAACATACGTGTGCATGTGTCTTTATAGCAGCATGATTTATACTCATTTGGGTATATACCCAGTAATGGGATGGCTGGGTCAAATGGTATTTCTAGTTCTAGATCCCTGAGGAATCGCCACACTGACTTCCACAATGGTTGAACTAGTTTACAGTCCCACCAACAGTGTAAAAGTGTTCCTATTTCTCCGCATCCTCTCCAGCACCTGCTGTTTCCTGACTTTTTAATGATTGCCATTCTAACTGGTGTGAGATGATATCTCATAGTGGTTTTGATTTGCATTTCTCTGATGGCCAGTGATGATGAGCATTTCTTCATGTGTTTTTTGGCTGCATAAATGTCTTCTTTTGAGAAGTGTCTGTTCATGTCCTTCGCCCACTTTTTGATGGGGTTGTTTGTTTTTTTCTTGTAAATTTGTTTGAGTTCATTGTAGATTCTGGATATTAGCCCTTTGTCAGATGAGTAGGTTGCGAAAATTTTCTCCCATGTTGTAGGTTGCCTGTTCACTCTGATGGTAGTTTCTTTTGCTGTGCAGAAGCTCTTTAGTTTAATTAGATCCCATTTGTCAATTTTGTCTTTTGTTGCCATTGCTTTTGGTGTTTTGGACATGAAGTCCTTGCCCACGCCTATGTCCTGAATGGTAATGCCTAGGTTTTCTTCTAGGGTTTTTATGGTTTTAGGTTTAACGTTTAAATCTTTAATCCATCTTGAATTGATTTTTGTATAAGGTGTAAGGAAGGGATCCAGTTTCAGCTTTCTACATATGGCTAGCCAGTTTTCCCAGCACCATTTATTAAATAGGGAATCCTTTCCCCATTGCTTGTTTTTCTCAGGTTTGTCAAAGATCAGATAGTTGTAGATATGCGGCATTATTTCTGAGGGCTCTGTTCTGTTCCATTGATCTATATCTCTGTTTTGGTACCAGTACCATGCTGTTTTGGTTACTGTAGCCTTGTAGTATAGTTTGAAGTCAGGTAGTGTGATGCCTCCAGCTTTGTTCTTTTGGCTTAGGATTGACTTGGCGATGCGGGCTCTTTTTTGGTTCCATATGAACTTTAAAGTAGTTTTTTCCAATTCTGTGAAGAAAGTCATTGGTAGCTTGATGGGGATGGCATTGAATCTGTAAATTACCTTGGGCAGTATGGCCATTTTCACGATATTGATTCTTCCTACCCATGAGCATGGAATGTTCTTCCATTTGTTTGTGTCCTCTTTTATTTCCTTGAGCAGTGGTTTGTAGTTCTCCTTGAAGAGGTCCTTCACATCCCTTGTAAGTTGGATTCCTAGGTATTTTATTCTCTTTGAAGCAATTGTGAATGGGAGTTCACCCATGATTTGGCTCTCTGTTTGTCTGTTGTTGGTGTATAAGAATGCTTGTGATTTTTGTACATTGATTTTGTATCCTGAGACTTTGCTGAAGTTGCTTATCAGCTTAAGGAGATTTTGGGCTGAGACGATGGGGTTTTCTAGATAAACAATCATGTCGTCTGCAAACAGGGACAATTTGACTTCCTCTTTTCCTAATTGAATACCCTTTATTTCCTTCTCCTGCCTGATTGCCCTGGCCAGAACTTCCAACACTATGTTGAATAGGAGCGGTGAGAGAGGGCATCCCTGTCTTGTGCCAGTTTTCAAAGGGAATGCTTCCAGTTTTTGCCCATTCAGTATGATATTGGCTGTGGGTTTGTCATAGATAGCTCTTATTATTTTGAAATACGTCCCATCAATACCTAATTTATTGAGAGTTTTTAGCATGAAGGGTTGTTGAATTTTGTCAAAGGCCTTTTCTACATCTATTGAGATAATCATGTGGTTTTTGTCTTTGGCTCTGTTTATATGCTGGATTACATTTATTGATTTGCGTATATTGAACCAGCCTTGCATCCCAGGGATGAAGCCCACTTGATCATGGTGGATAAGCTTTTTGATGTGCTGCTGGATTCGGTTTGCCAGTATTTTATTGAGGATTTTTGCATCAATGTTCATCAAGGATATTGGTCTAAAATTCTCTTTTTTGGTTGTGTCTCTGCCCGGCTTTGGTATCAGAATGATGCTGGCCTCATAAAATGAGTTAGGGAGGATTCCCTCTTTTTCTATTGATTGGAATAGTTTCAGAAGGAATGGTACCAGTTCCTCCTTGTACCTCTGGTAGAATTCGGCTGTGAATCCATCTGGTCCTGGACTCTTTTTGGTTGGTAAACTATTGATTATTGCCACAATTTCAGAGCCTGTTATTGGTCTATTCAGAGATTCAACTTCTTCCTGGTTTAGTCTTGGGAGAGTGTATGTGTCGAGGAATGTATCCATTTCTTCTAGATTTTCTAGTTTATTTGCGTAGAGGTGTTTGTAGTATTCTCTGATGGTAGTTTGTATTTCTGTGGGATCGGTGGTGATATCCCCTTTATCATTTTTTATTGTGTCTATTTGATTCTTCTCTCTTTTTTTCTTTATTAGTCTTGCTAGCGGTCTATCAATTTTGTTGATCCTTTCGAAAAACCAGCTCCTGGATTCATTGATTTTTTGAAGGGTTTTTTGTGTCTCTATTTCCTTCAGTTCTGCTCTGATTTTAGTTATTTCTTGCCTTCTGCTAGCTTTTGAATGTGTTTGCTCTTGCTTTTCTAGTTCTTTTAATTGTGATGTTAGGGTGTCAATTTTGGATCTTTCCTGCTTTCTCTTGTAGGCATTTAGTGCTATAAATTTCCCTCTACACACTGCTTTGAATGCGTCCCAGAGATTCTGGTATGTGGTGTCTTTGTTCTCGTTGGTTTCAAAGAACATCTTTATTTCTGCCTTCATTTCGTTATGTACCCAGTAGTCATTCAGGAGCAGGTTGTTCAGTTTCCATGTAGTTGAGCGGCTTTGAGTGAGATTCTTAATCCTGAGTTCTAGTTTGATTGCACTGTGGTCTGAGAGATAGTTTGTTATAATTTCTGTTCTTTTACATTTGCTGAGGAGAGCTTTACTTCCAACTATGTGGTCAATTTTGGAATAGGTGTGGTGTGGTGCTGAAAAAAATGTATATTCTGTTGATTTGGGGTGGAGAGTTCTGTAGATGTCTATTAGGTCTGCTTGGTGCAGAGCTGAGTTCAATTCCTGGGTATCCTTGTTGACTTTCTGTCTCGTTGATCTGTCTAATGTTGACAGTGGGGTGTTAAAGTCTCCCATTATTAATGTGTGGGAGTCTAAGTCTCTTTGTAGGTCACTGAGGACTTGCTTTATGAATCTGGGTGCTCCTGTATTGGGTGCATAAATATTTAGGATAGTTAGCTCCTCTTGTTGAATTGATCCCTTTACCATTATGTAATGGCCTTCTTTGTCTCTTTTGATCTTTGTTGGTTTAAAGTCTGTTTTATCAGAGACTAGGATTGCAACCCCTGCCTTTTTTTGTTTTCCATTGGCTTGGTAGATCTTCCTCCATCCTTTTATTTTGAGCCTATGTGTGTCTCTGCACGTGAGATGGATTTCCTGAATACAGCACACTGATGGGTCTTGACTCTTTATCCAACTTGCCAGTCTGTGTCTTTTAATTGCAGAATTTAGTCCATTTATATTTAAAGTTAATATTGTTATGTGTGAATTTGATCCTGTCATTATGATGTTAGCTGGCGATTTTGCTCGTTAGTTGATGCAGTTTCTTCCTAGTCTCGATGGTCTTTACATTTTGGCATGATTTTGCAGCGGCTGGTACCGGTTGTTCCTTTCCATGTTTACCGCTTCCTTCAGGAGCTCTTTTAGGGCAGGCCTGGTGGTGACAAAATCTCTCAGCATTTGCTTGTCTATAAAGTATTTTATTTCTCCTTCACTTATGAAGCTTAGTTTGGCTGGATATGAAATTCTGGGTTGAAAATTCTTTTCTTTAAGAATGTTGAATATTGGCCCCCACTCTCTTCTGGCTTGTAGGGTTTCTGCCGAGAGATCCGCTGTTAGTCTGATGGGCTTTCCTTTGAGGGTAACCCGACCTTTCTCTCTGGCTGCCCTTAACATTTTTTCCTTCATTTCAACTTTGGTGAATCTGACAATTATGTGTCTTGGAGTTGCTCTTCTCGAGGAGTATCTTTGTGGCGTTCTCTGTATTTCCTGAATCTGAACGTTGGCCTGCCTTGCTAGATTGGGGAAGTTCTCCTGGATAATATCCTGCAGAGTGTTTTCCAACTTGGTTCCATTCTCCACATCACTTTCAGGTACACCAATCAGACGTAGATTTGGTCTTTTCACATAGTCCCATATTTCTTGGAGGCTTTGCTCATTTCTTTTTATTCTTTTTTCTCTAAACTTCCCTTCTCGCTTCATTTCATTCATTTCATCTTCCATTGCTGATACCCTTTCTTCCAGTTGATCGCATCGGCTCCTGAGGCTTCTGCATTCTTCACGTAGTTCTCGAGCCTTGGTTTTCAGCTCCATCAGCTCCTTTAAGCACTTCTCTGTATTGGTTATTCTAGTTATACATTCTTCTAAATTTTTTTCAAAGTTTTCAACTTCTTTGCCTTTGGTTTGAATGTCCTCCCGTAGCTCAGAGTAATTTGATCGTCTGAAGCCTTCTTCTCTCAGCTCGTCAAAATCATTCTCCATCCAGCTTTGTTCTGTTGCTGGTGAGGAACTGCGTTCCTTTGGAGGAGGAGAGGCGCTCTGCGTTTTAGAGTTTCCAGTTTTTCTGTTCTGTTTTTTCCCCATCTTTGTGGTTTTATCTACTTTTGGTCTTTGATGATGGTGATGTACAGATGGGTTTTCGGTGTAGACGTCCTTTCTGGTTGTTAGTTTTCCTTCTAACAGACAGGACCCTCAGCTGCAGGTCTGTTGGAATACCCTGCCGTGTGAGGTGTCAGTGTGCCCCTGCTGGGGGGTGCCTCCCAGTTAGGCTGCTCGGGGGTCAGGGGTCAGGGACCCACTTGAGGAGGCAGTCTGCCCGTTCTCAGATCTCCAGCTGCGTGCTGGGAGAACCACTGCTCTCTTCAAAGCTGTCAGACAGGGACACTTAAGTCTGCAGAGGTTACTGCTGTCTTTTTGTTTGTCTGTGCCCTGCCCCCAGAGGTGGAGCCTACAGAGGCAGGCAGGCCTCCTTGAGCTGTGGTGGGCTCCACCCAGTTCGAGCTTCGCGGCTGCTTTGTTTACCTAAGCGAGCCTGGGCTATGGCGGGCGCCCCTCCCCCAGCCTCGTTGCCGCCTTGCAGTTTGATCTCAGACTGCTGTGCTAGCAATCAGCGAGATTCCGTGGGCGTAGGACCCTCTGAGCCAGGTGTGGGATATAGTCTCGTGGTGCGCCGTTTCTTAAGCCGGTCTGAAAAGCGCAATATTCGGGTGGGAGTGACCCGATTTTCCAGGTGCGTCCGTCACCCCTTTCTTTGACTCGGAAAGGGAACTCCCTGACCCCTTGCGCTTCCCAGGTGAGGCAATGCCTCGCCCTGCTTCGGCTCGCGCACGGTGCGCGCACACACTGGCCTGCGCCCACTGTCTGGCACTCCCTAGTGAGATGAACCCGGTACCTCAGATGGAAATGCAGAAATCACCCATCTTCTGCGTCGCTCACGCTGGGAGCTGTAGACCGGAGCTGTTCCTATTCGGCCATCTTGGCTCCTCCCTAGATTCTTAACTAAATGAAACTTACGGTGAAAAAAGCAAATTTCAGCTGTAAAATACACATAGAGTTTCTTTCTATAGATGAAAATACTATCTCTGGATTTGTGCTGCACTCTCCTGTCTCTGGCCCTTCCTTGGCTGTTTCCTCTGCACTGCCCCCGTCTTCAGTAAGTGCTGGCTTAAGACTCCCTCCAGGCTCTGCTAAAATGTCATCTCTTTCCAGAAGCTTCCCCTGTTCCACTGGCCAGAATGTATGACTCCCTGTCCTGTACACCCCTCAGCCTTTCTATGGGCCTCCTCAGTGGTCTTGCAGCTGAGGGGTGTGGGAGTCACTGCTCCGTTAATGAACAAATTCTCCAATATTTGAGTGCGTGCTGTGAGAGGCACTATGGCACAGAGATTAGGAGCTTGGCTTTGCAGCCAGGCTACTTCAGCTCAGGTTCCAGCTCTGTGGCTGCCTTGCTGTAAGACCTTGGCCAAATTCTTAACCTTCCATGCCTCTGGTACTTCATCAGTACACTAGGACAATAATTGTACCCTGCTTTGCAGGATGCTCTGAGGATTGAGTGAGATCATGAATATGAAGAGCTGAGAACTGTACTTGGCATATAGTGTTATGTAAATGTTAGCTGTCACTGGTTTTATGTGCCTGGCACTGTGCTAGTCACTGTCATGTGTGTCTCTTGTCTCTCCTCTATCTCCACCATCCCATTTCTCTCTCTCTCACAAACACACATACACACAGACACACACACACACATCATGGTGAACTTCTCTAGTGCTGACCATGGTCCTGGAATAGGGCCCCTTGTCTTTAGATTGGCAGTTAAGAGAATAGGTTCTATAGAGCCTGTTTGCCTGGGTCCAAACACCCAATTAGGTGTGTGACTGGGGCAAGCTACCTAACCTCCGAGTGCTTCTCACTGCCTTCATGCAGAAAACAGAGACAATAATACTTACCTCCTAGGCATATGCGGTACTATATGAGGTACCTTATGAGGTACTGCTTAATGTAAAATGCTGAAAATATGCTTTGCAGTTAATAAGTGCTCCAAAAATGTTAGCTATCATCATCGTTAGGATTATATGTGCTCAGTAAATTTTTGCTGGATGAAACTAGTTATGTTCCAGGCTATGTCAAGAACTAAAGATAGTTATTAAGCAATAGTTTTCATGGGAAACCCTCACTGAATATTTTCTGCTAGAATGGCTTCAAACAGGCCCCCCCCACTCCCTCCTCTCTCCATCTTTCTCTCTCACACATGCAAAAATTCTAAAATCTGCCTCAAACTTGCTATGCATTATTCACTGACAATCTATATTTTTCTGCCTTTGAACAGTGAAAAAGCCTGTGTCAATTTATCCTTTAAAGCTGCTCCTTGCTGAATCCACATATGTCCATTAATGGTGACTTGGAGGGAACAGCATCTGTAGAGGCCCATCTCAGATGATCCCATTTAATGTGGGCTGTGACTTCCCAAGGCCGCTGCTCATTAGCAGCTACTTCTTATTACTTTCCACAGTTTAAACAGAAGATGAAACCGAAAGAGCTTTTCACAGAGACTCTAGTGAGGCAGCTGCAAAACTGAGCATCTGAGCCTGGTACTCAAGAAGGAAAGAGCTTGGCAGAGCTACCAAAGAGGAAAAACAGGTACCATGTTTCCTGGATTCCAAGAAGTGATTTTTCTTTTCATATTTTAATGTTTTTTTGAAATTGGAATGTGTCCACGTATGCCTTTTGAGCAGTATGACTTTTTTCCCTCTGCCTAAAAAGTTATTAAATTGATGAATACATTTAAAAACTGAGGAATGTGGCACTTTCAAATTTTAAAAAGTTGCCCAAATATAAGAAAGCCCACATGAACCTTTGAGAAAAATACTCACAGCCAGTTTAGCAGTATGGAATGGATGGATAATTCTTAATCACAGGGAACAAGACAGGCCTGAAGGACAAGATGTCTGAGTAATTGGTGGTCCTGCAGTCCTTGGTCAGGCAAGATCTTGGCTGCCTCAGAAATTGTACCTTCTCTTGGCAATAATCCAGTCAGAGCATAAATCCCTGGGGTCTGTCCCAACCCACTTGTGATATTATGATTATATATCCACAGTTCCCAGCTCATAACTCCTATACCCCTTCTCATAGTCTTTGGTTCTAATGTTGAGGCACTTCAGGACTCAGAAGCAGGCCTTAGGAAACAATCTCTCTGCCTCTCTCTCTGACCTTCTCCTGCCCTCCTCTCCAAGGCAGGACTCTAATCTGACTGTGGGTCATAAGACGTACTTTCAGAGGGGATCCTGCTCCATACCCTGGAGGAAGGAATGAGTGCTGCACAGAGAGGCCAAGAAGAATCTGAAGAGACAGGCCTTGCTGGGTCCGATCACATTTCTACATGGTTGTCAATCATGCCTATCCAATGAAGGCTTCCTAAAAGGCCCAAGAAGACAGAGTTTGGGGAGCTGAACATACGGAGGTCCATGGAGGGGTGAAGGTGATGTGCCTGGGGAGGGTGTGAAAGCCCCACGCCCCTTACCCTATATCTTGTCATATACATCTCTTCGTCTATACCCTTGGTAATGTCCTTTATGATCAACTGGTAAATGTAAGTATTTCTCTAGTCCTGTGAGCTGTTCCAGTAAATTAACTGAACCCAAAGAAGCAGTCATGAAAATCTCAACTAGAAGCCAGTCAGATAGAAGTTCCAGAGGCCCAGACTTGTGACTGGTGTCTGAAGTATGATAGATGGGGTGGGGTTGGGGGGGCAGTTTTGGGGACTGAGCCCTCAACCGGTGGGATTTGAGGCCATCTCCAGGTAGATAGTGTTGGAATTGAGTTGAAGGACACCCAGCTGGTGTCCACTGCAGAGTTGATTGCTTGCTTCATGGTGGGGAGAACCCCACCTCTGCCTATATTTGGTCACAGAAGTCTTCTGTTGATGACTATTGTGTGAGAACAGACGAAACACTGAGTTTTCCTCAAAAACCACGGTTAAAGGTGCTTGGTGAAGAAGGAATTCCAGCGTGTGGTTTCTCTTTCTTTGAGAACCTTTATTGTTCTTGGAGCTCTTTGAAAGGCAAAGGACTAAATTTGGGAGTAAAAGTGGTTGTAAGAATATACAGACATTTATTTTCTCATGGTAAGTTAAACTGCTTGCTAATTAATTAATTACTTAAGGAATCCAATAGTATTGCTTATTGAGCAATAGTATGTGCTTGGCTCATGCTAGTCACTACACTGTCTAAAGAGATCGACTGAGCAGCCCTGTGGGGCAGGTGTTAAAATTCAGCCCCCTTTCCCAGACCCAGAGACCAAGGCTCAGAGAAGAAGAGTGACCCCAGCCAGTTCACACAGGTGGGAACTGGCATGATGGGCACAGGGCCCCAAATCGCCCACCCAGAACCCCTGCTCTTCTCACTGCTCCACCCCATTCCACACAGCTTCAGCTTGCTTTCTTTTCCTGGAGAAGAAACCAAGGGTCACGGTGGGTGATGTGGTGGCAGAGTCAGAACTAGAACTTGGGCTTCTGACTCTTACCCTGAGGCTCCTTTCACTGCTTCGTGTGAAAGCCTTTGGAGGTACAAAGAGCCATCCAGCGGGCAGGAAAGAATCAGGCAGAGCTTTCCCTGGTGATGGCTTCTTTCTTTTCAAGTTTACTAAATCCCACAAAGCTGCAAGCCCACCTGGGTCACCACATCCCATGAGAACAATTGAGGCAGATAATTAACAGCAAGATTTCATCATTGTGAAATCTTTTTACTTGAAGCTAAAAGACCAACCCGTAACAGGATGATTTGACAAATGCAAAGAAGGGTCTCTTTTCTATGAAATCCTAGAAGAGGCACAAACCTTCTCACCTGGGCTTCAGGAAGGACTTCTCCATAATCAAATCCCTTTCATAATTATGCGTAATTATTTTTGTCCTTTGTCCTCACCTACACCAGTGTGAGTGTGTCTGTTAATCTGGGAGTCATTAGGATGGCAGAATAGCGAGGTCACCTGGATTAGCAGCTAATGAATTCCCTACCCTTTGTTCTGATAACAGGATAGGACAATAAAATATTATTCTTAAGCTTCTGAGAGGGAATTTACTTGACTCAGGCTGGTATATTTTGCAAATTAGGTGATAATACAGAGAGTTGCAATGCTTTCCTGTTCTTGGGCAGCTCCAGCAGCAGCCTATTTCTTGTGCCATCCTCCTCCAAAGGGGTCTTCCCACCCCTCTGCCTCAAAGTCCCCTGGCCCCCACCTGACTTACCTTGCAGCAGTGTGTAGAAGGCGCCTGAGGCAGACAGGTTGGTGGTTATGGTGACATCATCCTTGCTGGAGGTCTCTACCTGGACATGCACTGAACTGTCTGTATCACTTCGGAAACTGCTCACCTGGCCAGTAGGGAAGGTCACATTTGTCAGGCGGCCAAAGCTGTCGTACCTGGAAACCAAGGGGTGGCACTGAGTAGTAGAAATATAATGGTGCTCTAGCTGGAACTTGGTGCATTCTACCTCATGCCATGGTTTTGCTGTGCTCTGCTTTTCTTTCTGGCTGGATACATTCCCATGTCTCCCACATATCTTGCACAGGACCTGGTACATAGATTTCAGGATGTGACTCCACCTGCTGATATCCAGCTGCAGGAAAATAACTGACCTCTCTGAGTCTCCCTTCCCTAACCCAGTGGGGATGATAACACTGACCTGCCTACTGCCCAGGAGTACAGCTATAAACTAGAATTCAATTGTGAGGGGGAGAGATGATGGTGGCCATAATGAGACAGCTGACCCAGAATCTTAGAACTGGGAGACTCCCCAGAAATGATGTAGTCAAGCTTGATGCCTGAATACCCTCTGCAAAACCCGCAAGAACTGGTTATACAGGTTTTTCCTGAAAAACACTAGAAATGGGAGCTATTACCCAGGGGTTTCCTAGGTTTCTACACATCCTGGGAAAAGGGGATTCTGAATTCAAACCAGGACTTAGCTAGATAAATGGTGTCTTGCCTCTTGCAACCCCTTCCATCTAGATTTTACATCTGGCACTAAGCATTTTTGTAACTGCAACTCTTAGAACCCCCACAGCTTTGCTCAGGTATGGTCTTTCTAAAGCATCATAATTGAATCTTAATTCTCTTTACTATTCTCCTGATAATAATAAAAGAAATACCTACCATCATTGAACACCTCCAATATACGAGGCATGGTGCTAGTTGCTTTTCATGCATTTTCATGTAATCCTCATTTAATACATTTTTCATGTAATCCTCATTTAATCCTTGTCTAAAAGGTATGTATTATCTCTTTTTTGGAGAATCAGAAATTGAGGCTTGGAAGAGTGAAGTCACCTGCTCAAGGTCACACAGCTAATTAAGTGTGGGTAGAATCAAAATTCAAACTCAGATCTATTTGCTTCCAAACTGCCACCTGCCTCTCTGTCTTCAATGAACATTTCTGTACCGTCCATTTGCAAGTATTCAACACATGCGCTCCTCCCTGGCAGGAGTGGGCTATTAACATTTTAATTATTGTTTTTAATTAGGGGAGGATGAAGTGTAAAAAGGCAGGCTTAAATAGCCTTTTTGCACTTGTGTGTGAATGGGGACACAGTTCTTCCTCTACATGGCAATATTCCTGACTGACTTGCTGGACACGGTTGCCCCTGTGTACTTCAGGTCTCCCTACTGGCTTTTTTTTTTTAAACTGTTTTGTTTTTACCTCTGGGGTAAAGCTGGCCCCTGGGTTCCTGTGAGGGTTTTCACAATGGGGCAATGAAAGGTCAGAGAGTTCAGCTCTGTCCAGGCTCTTCCTTCAGCTGGGCCTGGCTTCTTGCTGGGATTCCTGGGTCTGCAGCTCCTATGGTATCAGGGGAGACTTGGTGGGTGAGATTAGGCAGGTCTTTGCTCAGGAATTCTCTGCCCAAGGTCAGACTTGGGTGCTGCACTACAGACTCTGCCATTTGCCAACTGTTTCCGTGCCTGAGCCTGGCACAGATCACAGCACTCTACACTGAATCTAACAGTCCCTGGCACACTCTGCCACAGAGGAGGCATTGGTAGAGGTCTTCTGAATATATCACCCCTGTTTTTGTCCTAAGATCAATTCTGGGGGAGGGGCCGGTGGCCTTTGGGGAAGTTGGATGCCTCTGCGGCTGGGGCCTTTTCAGGATGGCAGGCAGTGCTGTGGCCTCGAATACACTCCCTGGGCAGGGCTGCAGGCAAGGCTGTGGCTCTATCAGAGGCTCTCCTGTGGGTGGTTGGGGGCTTCAAAAACCCATGTCCTGCCATGATTTCTCCTTTCTCTTTCTTAGTACGGAGTCAGGTTCTGCCAGGAAAAGGTCAGTCTGGCCTAGGGGAGGCTGAAACCTGGAATGGGTGGTCAAAGGGGTGGACTGCCTCGCAGAGCTAAGTGAGCAGTAGTTCTGAGAGACGGCGGCTAGGAAGGAGGGTGTCTTGGAGTAAAGATCTGAGATGCATGTCCAGAGACTTCTCTCACATGGAGACCCTCTCAGAGCTCTGCTCCCTTCAACTCTGAGAGAGGCTGGGATTCTTTTTAACCATTTGTGGCCACTGGAAATTTGAATAGGAAGGAAACATACAAAAATATTGACAGTGGTTATCTCTGGGAGGTAGAATTACAGGTGATTTGAATTGCTTATTTATGTATATTTCCATGCTTTAAAAATAATAAACATGGATTATTTTCATAATCAGAAAAGTGTTGTGACAAGCAAGGTAAAACCACACGTGAGAGCTCATGAGCATGGCCATCTGGGGAGGCAGATGCCTTAAATTCCAGGCTGTGCATAGGAGTCTCACTTATAGGGCAAGTTGAAGATAACAATTTCCAGGCATTTTCAGCAAAATATTACTAGGGTACTCCAAGTTTTTGAGCTAAAAATCAAGACCCCCAAAACTGGTTTTGCCCTGGTCATCTTAACTGTATCTGTGATTCATGATTAAGCTGGGTCCGGTCAGATCCTGAGTCATCTTTTAAATCAACAGGAAGATCCATTTCAGTCCAGCAGTTTAATGGGATGGGGATGCTGTTCTAGGCTGACTCTTTGAACACCTGTAATCCCTGTACATACTCTTTATTAAAATAAGACTATTCACTTGGACTGTCTATTTTCCTGACCTAACCACATGAAAAAGATTTTATTATACCATGCAAGACACTGCAAAGCCATTTGTGGAGTTTTACAGATAAGAATTGATAGATTGTTAATTAGGAGTCAGATGTCACTTTGACACCACTCCTACCATGGCCTTGCTCAAATGCCACCTCCTAAAGCCCTCCCTGGTTTTTCCTGTCCCTTCTCCCAGTGATATCCTGTGCACAGCTCTGTCCTAGAATGCCTCCCCTGCACTGCAGTGTTGATGTACAAGTCGTCCCCCTCTTTGGACTGTGAGTGCTTGAGGTCAGAACAGGTCTGTGGAGTCTGTGGATTGACACCACCTGGGTTCTGCCACCTGCCAGCAGCGTGACCCTGGAGGACTGGCTCTCAGTTCATCTCTGCTTCACCAGCATTGGAACTGGCATAGAGAGGACCGGCAGGGAATGTTGGCTGAACAAATAAATGAATGCAGGATTGGATGTGCAAGTCCTCTTTCCTGCTTTGTGGGAGAGGAGACACCATGATTCATTCACACATTCCCTCCTACAGGACTTGGCACAAGCTGGACACACAGTAGGTACATGATAAACACTTGCTGAATGCCAAAATATGGAAAAAACAACTCTTACTAAATAACACTTTGGCAATCTCCCTAGGTATCTCACTAGAGTTTTAGTCTTGAAGACAGAAAGAGGCTTTGTATAAAGGCAGACAATTGCAATTATTATTGAAGGTAGCTTGTAAGGCATAATTACATTGATCCTAAAGAAGATACAATGAAAAGGCCCCATACCTTCAAGATCTGGTTTTCATTTTATATGAGAGGGTCAAAAAAACAGTAATTTCCACTCTTCACATTTTCCATTAGAAGGACTGAATGTCTTAATGAAATGAACATCATATAGAGCAACCAATTTATAAAATTTTCTTGTCTCCTATTCATTCATTGTAGTACCTTCCAGAGCTTGGGAAATGACCTGGATCTCTTTGCTGCTTGATTGATACCTGTAATTATCCCACCAGAACTGCTCCTTCTGACTGTGGATGGGAAGAAGTAGGGTTGCCAGTCCTCTGGGCCCCGCACACCTTTGCCCTGTGAGCCACCTCTACAGAACCCTTTCTTCTCCACCACAGAGCTGCCACAACAAAGAGCAGGGACCTGGAAGGGGCAGTTCTCTGAACTCCCTGGGCTCCAAGTGGCTGCCTCAAGTCCCGGCCCCATGATTAGGTGGCATCTGGACAATGGCTTAGTTACATTTGTGACAGTTTTCATTATGGGAACCCACAAAGTACTGGCAAATTTTCTTTCTTTCTAACCAAGAGGAATGAAATGAATAGTTTTTTAAAAAGGTCTCTGGAGCCAGATAGTCTAGGCTTTGCATCCTGGCTCTACACTTGCCAGTAATGTGATCTAGAGGACGGGCACTTGGCTCTGTGTTCCTCCTAACTATCAAGTCTCCACCACAAATGATACAATTTCAGGCAGGCTATATCATATAACCTCGGTGAGCCTCTGTTTTCTCTTCTATAAATGGGGATAATAATCCTGTTTCATAGAGACACATGAAGACCAAAAGAGGTAACCTACTTAAAATGAAAGGGAAACTTCTTCCCAGGGCCCCCAGGACCCCAGGAGATTGCCCTCAGTGGAATGTCAACTCCCTGAGGGCAGGGACTTCATTTGGACCCTGCTGTATCCCTGTAGCTTAGAGTGTGTGGCATATAGCATGTGCTTCCTCGTGTCAATGAATGTTGGCTGAATGTTGGCTCCTTCCTGCCTTTCTTTCTGACTTCACCTGGAACGTCACTCTCAGCACGTCCTTCTTCTCCCTGTATCTGCTTCTGGTCCCCAAACATGCCAAAGTCAGTGCATGCTGGGGTGCTCATGCTTCCCGTTCCCTCTGCGGGAATGCTCTTCCCTCCAGTGTTGGCATGGCTTGTTCCTGTCATCAATCATGTTTCAGATCAAATGTTATCACTTCAGTGAGGTCTTCCCTGACCACCGCTTCTAAGACAGATAAGTCCCCCCAACCTTTGTATCATATTTTCTTATTGACCTCACTATACTTATTATTTATTTGTTCTTTGTTTTCTGTCTCCTCCTAATATAAGCTCCATGAGGACAGAGACCTTGTCTGTATTCTTAGTGCCCAGAGGAGTACCCAGCAGGTAGACAGTACTCAGTACATGTTTACTTAATGAATAAATATATAAGTAAATAATAGATATTATTGTTGATTCAAGACATGGGCTGAGAGCAACGAAGAAATTCATTTGTTTTGCCTTTCCTTGTCCAAATGAGGTGGAGAAAGGTCACTAATATTCATGTGGTACCTTTTAGGTACCAAGCATCATGCTCATCATCATCTTCTGATGTAGGCATTATTATTATCATCATTTCACAAATGGTGAAGAGGAGGCTCAGAGAGGATAAGCAACTTGCCTAAGATCACACAGCTCGTAGAGGAATATAAATTCAAAGTCAGGTCTGTCTAATCTTAAATAATGTGTTTTATTCATCAAGCTTCCCATAAAAATGATGCTGTTTCAAATAAAAATCTTTGGGTTCATCACTGCAGTATATAGAAAACACTGTTTTCCCAAGTCTCAGGTGGGTCAAGAAGACTGGCAGTTGTTTTATTTTCAGGACGCTTTGCTTGCTACCACTGCAATTGACTTTGCAGCGATGCCAAGCCCCCAGTTGGGGGTATGATAGGGATGACCAGATGACTGGCTTTTCATTATTTCCTCCCACTGATTTTTCTTCATTCCATTTATCCAAAGCATCTTTGGAGCACAGTGAAAGAAAACACATAAAACATTCATATAGGCCAGGCGCAGTGACTCACGCCTGTAATCCCAGCACTTTGGGAGGCCAAGGGGGGTGGATCACTTGAGGTCAGGAGTTCGAGACCAGCCTGGCCAACATGGTGAAACTGTGTCTCTACTAGAAATATAAAAATTAGCTACGCACGGTGGCTGGGTGCCTGTAATCCCAGCTACTCGGGAGGCTGAGGCAGGAGATTTGATTGAACCCGGGAGACAGAGGTTGCCGTGAGCCGAGATCGCACCATCGCACTCCAGCCTGGGCGACAGAGTGAGACTCCATCTCAAAAAAAATGATTCATATAGTTGCTGTGAACTTGGCTCTCAGAAGAGGATTGTCAAAGGACATCTTCACACACACTGCAAGGCTTTCTTTTTCACACTCAATACTTCATCTCGAGCCACTTACTATGCATGGCTGGCAAGGAAAACGCCGAATTGCCCTCTGATACTAAACTTTTGCTGATCTTAACTTTTCGGTTAAAAAATAAGATTTGATTTGTATGACTTTCATTTCTGATTGTTTCAAACAACACCATCACCATGTCAGGGAACTGGGCACTGTATTGTCTGTGGATAATTATGGTTCCTGGCCCAGGCACACCAATAGTTCCCCTGGCCCATGTCACTGTAATAGATGTCATCACGACATCATTAGCTACTCCAAAACTGGATCAGAGCCAGAGCACTTTGTGGCTTCTGCATTAAAACCTTGTACTTGCTGTCCATTTCCTACAAAATTAAGTACCCAAAATGAATTCTAGCCCTCAGGATTCCCAAGATCTGGCCCACTCTGCCATACTGTATTTGAGGTGGTGCCTCTGGTGGGAACTGCTTAGGGTTCAGGCAGATCTGGGGCTGAACCCTGGCTTGGCGACTCATGGCTAACATGTCACACAGCCAGTCAGTCTCTGTGCTGGTTATTCTCTGTTCCCCCTACCTCCCAGATCCATTCTCTGTCCTCTCTCTGCCCAGAGCAGCTGACCCCTGCAGACTGTGTCACTGGGGCACTCTGGCTGGCTCACTTCTGGTTAAGCTAAGTCCGTGGTAGGCACGGGCAAGAGACTGGAATTCAGAAGGTTTTCCTCACTCCTCACTCCTTCTTTCCTCCAGTGCCGAATCTCTAACAGTGGCTGCGTGGATCCATGATTTCAGCTTCAACTAGGGGGCTTCTCCTTCATCATTACAGCTCCCACTGGACTTCAGTCATGATATCCTTCAACTTTCCCACCTTGCTCTGCAGCCTGGGGGTTGGTAATGGCTATTCACTGTTTTTAGTGCCTGGGTGCCTCAGCGTCCTTTATTTTTATTTTTAATTAATTAATTAATTTGCTTAGGGACAGGATCTCACTCTGTTGCCCAGGCTGGAGTGCAGTGGTGTGATTATCGATCACTGCACCCTTGAACTCCTGGGCTGAAAAGTGCTCTTCCTGCCTCAACCTCCTGAGTAGCTAGGACTGCAGGTGTGTGCCACTACATCCAGCTAATTAAATTTTTTTTTGGTAGAGATGGGTATTTCTATGTTGCCCAGGCTATTAGCATCCTTTCTAGGTTCCCTTACCCCTCCCTATACCTCTATAACATGTCTTCATTTGAAAGATATTTTTATTGAGTATAATATCTGAGTGGACAATTTTTTTTGTTTGTTTTTGTGAGACAGAGTTTCACTCTTGCTGCCCAGGCTGGAGTGCAATGGCACATCTCAGCTCATTGCAACCTCCGCCTCCTGGATTTAAGTGATTCTCCTGCCTCAGCCTCCCGAGTAGCTGGGACTACAGGTGCGCACCACCATGCCCAGCTAATTTTGTATTTTTAGTAGAGGTGGGGTTTCACCATGTTGGCCAGGCTGGTCTCGAACTCCTGACCTCAGGTGATCCACCTGCCTCGGCCTCCCAAAGTGCTGGGATTACAGGTGTGAGCCACTGCACCTGGCTGTGGACAGTTTTTCTTTTTTTTTTTCTTTCAGCACTTCTGTCTTCTGGCTTGCACAGTTTCTGATGAGAAGTCTGCTGTAATTCTTACCTTTGTTCCTCTTATAAAATGCTTTTTTTTTTTTTCCTGGCTGCTTTTAAGGTTTTCTGTCTCTCCTTTTTAATTCAGCCATTTGAATATATGGCTAGAAATGTGTGTGTGTGTGTGTGTATGTACTTATTCTGCTTGGTGTTTTCTGAGCTTTTTGGATCTGTGGTTTGGTGTCCATTATTAATTATGGGTAATTCTCTGCCATTATTTCCTCAAATATTTCTTCTGCCCTATTTTTTCCCTCTTCTCCTGGAATTCCAATTACATGTATATCAGACTATTGGATGTTGTCCCACAGATCTTGAATGCCATGTTCTGCATTTTCCACTCTTTTTTTTCCTCTCTGTATTTTAGTTTGGGTAATTTCTATTAACCATCTTCTTTCCTCAGCTGTGTCATGCTGTGTCCTCCAGAGAGAGCAGCCCATCAAAGGCATTTCTCATCCTTATAACCGTGGTTTTCATTTCTAACAATTCCATTTGATTCTTTCTTATCGTTTCTGTCTCTCTGCTAAAATTATCCATCTGATCTTGCACATTGTTCGCCTTTTCCATTAGAGCCTTTAAAATAATTATAGTTATTTTAAATTCTCTGACAGATAGTTTCAACACCTGTGTCATACCTGAACGTGATTCTGATGATTTCTTTGCCTCTCGGGAATGTGTTGCCTTTTCTTGCCCTTTTGTACGTTCAGTTGAAAGCGTGACATCTTGTGTAGCATGGTAGAGCCTGAGTGAGTGATAGGTTTATGCCTGGAAATGGGTGTGAGTTTCCTTGTGCTAGGACTTTTGTGAGGGGGTTTGGGTTAACCTAGGATTTGAAGTCTGTTTATGGTTAGCCTCTAGGTATCATAGGTTTTAAATTCCCTTAGCAATTCCCTGTGTTTAGGATGTGAAACTGGTTTGCCAGAGGGTTTTTTTCCCTCAAGGTCCACAGTTCAGCCCTTGGGTCCTCCCTTTGTGCTGACTCAGAGAGGGTCTCTTTCCATGTTCCTGCCGTTCTCTAACTCCCTCCCAGCAGTCTTCTGCCCTTCACTGATGCTTTTAGCCTTCCAGCTAACTATGGTGGTGGCAAAGCCTTTGCTAGGGTTCTGACTCTCAGGTATGTGGGATTTTTTTTTTTCCATTTCTTTTCTTCCCTCATTCAGCTGAAAGGATTTTCCCCAGTGCCTAGGCAGGACAGTGTTCGCTGCCCTTCTCTTCACAGATGAAGGGTGTTGTTCCTGATGGAAGATGAGGTGAGCAGGGTCTGGGTAGAGTGGTCAGGGGTGTATGCTCCTCCCTCAGCAGCTGCTGTGACCTTCCCCCAGGTCGACCACAAAGGACACTTTCTTCTTAAATCTTTCCTCACTCTTTTCTGTGGGAAAACTCCTGGTGGGATTTGTAGAGAAAAAAGTCCCTAAGAAGACATGGACCTGCCCAATTGCTACAGCCTCCAAGGGCTTCAGACTCTCTTGCCAGTACACACTTAGCCTTTGTAAATTCACCAGCCATCCCAGCTGAACTCTTTCTCCCCGGAGCTGGTGCATCTGCCCACAAGCAGCAAGATGTGGTGCAGGGCCCACATCTTGTCTCTTTCTGCAAGACTCTGTCTCTCCTTGGATTTGACCTCAGAGAAGGAGTTCAAGGAAACGCACGAATTTACCTTTTGTCTGGCTTATTTTCATGATAAGGTTGGGCATGATGCACTTTCCAGCTTTCCTATCCCCAAGTAAAAACCAGAGGCCAAATCTCTTCATTTGACCCATTTCAGTTGAGTTCTATGTCCCGTTGGGAGCACTGGCAGTGCTGGTGCTCAGACGTGAATCTAGCATTCTTCTCACTACAGCATATCTTTTCTTCCTGTCTCTATTTCCCTTCCATTCTGAATTTACGTGTCATTATAAAATATTGACTATCTGTCAGCCGACTAGTTGGCAAACCCTAAGCTTGACGCAAAGACAAATTTGTAAGGGTCTCACAGTAGTTAAGGTGAGCATAATTATAATAGGAGTTGTCACAGGGCACTGTGGGAGGCCAGAGCCCCTTCCCCTATGAAATTCAGGGAAGGGGGTTGCTCATATCCATCCAGCAAGTCAATTCTGGAACCTGCCTCATACTTATGAGGCCATTTTCTCAGCCACCAAATGCCATCTGACCAGGAGCTAAGTCTGAGAGTAACGATGCCACACATGGGAGGTGGGGACTGCATTTCAGACTCCTTTGAGCTTCCTACCAGCAGACCTGTGGGCTGAGGGGAGGAAAGTAACCTTGATTCTCCAAAACTGTGAACTCTGTAAATCAAGGTGCTCTGAAGTGTGTGATGTTTATGTTAGGTGTACTATTTAATCTTTTAAGAGAATTGGCAAAGCTGACTTAAAACTTGTTTCAGGCCGGGTGCGGTGGCTCATGCCTGTAATCCCAGCACTTTGGGAGGCCTAGGTGGGCGGATCACTTGAGGTCAGGAGTTTGAGACCAGCCTGGCCAATATAGTGAAACCCCATCTTTACTAAAAATACAAAAATTAGCCGGGCGTCGTGGCAGATGCCTGTAATCCCAGCTATTCAGGAGGCTGAGGCAGGAGAACTGTGGAGGTTGCAGTGAGCCGAGATCGCACCATTGCACTCCAGCCTGGGCAACAGAGCGAGACTCCATTTCAAAAACCAAACCGAACCAAACCAACCAACCAACCAACCAAACAAACAAACAAATAAACAAACAGCTTGTTTCAATAATAGCCTATGTCACAGGCAAGCCTGGGCAATTTTTTTTTTTAGAAAAATAGAACATTTCGGTTATAATCTACTAAACTGCCTCATGAAGCTAAAGGTAGAAAATTCACTAGATTAATGGTTCATTGGCAAAATCTGTCCAAATCCTTGTTAAGAAACACCATAATGAAATATCTGTACACCTCTAATTCTAGACAGCCTCATAGTTTGCAAAGTTTTTTTACTTTCAGTATTTATTTAGTTTTTTAGTCCTCATAATAGCCCAGAAATGGGGTAGGGCAGGGGATTATTTCTGTCTGGTTGAGACTTGGGTCTGGAGGCCAGCTAGCCTGTCCCTGAGTCACATGGCTCGCAGCCAGTGAAAATAGGTGTCTGGCACCCTTGCTTCATTCTCAGCCTGAGCTGGACCATTTTGCCTTGGGTGGCTCTGCGTGTTATTTTCCAGCCGACTTTGGATATTCTCAGGGATCTGACTTCTTTCTTAGTTCATTTCTTGATCTCTCATATTTGATTCTGCTCTTCTCACCTGACCTCTGATTCCTACCTACCTCAATTAAAACTTTTGTCTACTCTTTTGATTAGTTTACTTGCAGTTGCTCCTGGGAAATACCTTTCACACCCAAACAACACTTCTGCAATTACTGGTACTGCCACTAATATTGCTTGCATTAACAACAACAACAACAACAACAACAACTGCAGCAGCTATCATTTGAGTACTTATAATCAATCAGACACTGAGCTTTCCATATTTTATCTCACTGAAATTTTGAACCTCATACTATTCCTATGAAATACATAACTATTGTCATCCCTATCGTACAGATAAGTCACAAAGAATGTAGGTGACCCTAGCCAGTGCAGTTGAAAGAACAGGGACTTGTGTTCTGGTTCTGCTACATACTCACTGTGTGGTTTCAGGCTTGTTATCTAATCTCTCTGTACTTCATATGTAAAAAATGTGGATGATAATTCCTGCCATCTGAGGTTGCTGTGAAGATTAAATGGGAAAGAGCCTGGCACATAGTAGGATCTCAGAAAACAAAAACAAAAACAAAAACAAACTAGTTTCCCTTTCTATTTTAGGACTTTTATCTACCACTTCTGGTTTGTGTTAACAAGGATAACCACTCTTGGGTACCGCTATGAAGTGCAGTCTTTGGAATTCCAGACGCCATTTTATAAAAAAGCAATTGTAAAAACTTTTCCTTCTTCACTAAACATCAACTATAGCTGTATATTTCATCAAGGAAAGAAAGGGAGGGATCTTTCCTGGTAGAAGTGTAGGAAACCGTTTTAGATTTCAGGGGTGGTGGAGCGTAATGGATGCAGTGATGTGTGAGCATTCGGTTTGGGATCTGAGGGAGTGACTTTGGGAACTAATTGAGTGCACAGACTTGCTCTGACAAAGAAACCCCTGTATTGGCTAAATAATGTATAAGAGATTTCCATCGGGCAATGGGCAAAATGGAATTATTTAGCGTATTTCCATTCCAATGAGTTAATCAAGATAATTGCTGTTTTCCTGGATCTTTGTCTTTTCTTTGTAATTAACAAGGTCCTTGTTTGGAGAAAGGAATTTAGCCAGTGAACTTTGTACAAATCGCTGTGACATGTCTGTTCAAATTATATTTAAAAATCAACTACAGATCCTTTTCCTTTGGATTCTCCTAGGACTGTTAGAAACTGATGCTTGATCAAGCTTGAGAAAAACTTTAAAGAGTCAGGTTCATTTGGAATTAACAAACTCAGTGTGGCACTGGTGCGGGGGTAGGATGCAGGGAGGGCAGCAGGGCAGCACTGAGAAAGCCCAAGCTCTGGCATCAGACTTGGACTGCGATCCCTGTTCTGCCATGTCTCACTATCAAACAGTGGGCAAAGGAGCCTTCAGAGCCTCAGTTTCTATGTCTGTAAAATGGATAATATCACCCATCCTCAGAGCTGTTGTGCAGATTAAATGCAGTGGTGTAGCTCCTAGCCCACAGCTAATACTCAACAAGGCTAGTTCCTTCCCCACCTCTCACATGCTTATCTAATGGTGACATATTCAGCAATCTCAGTCGTGTGAACCATGGCTAAGACCTCAAAAAGCAGCTTAAAAAAATCTAAGTAGAAAGAGCGATGTTAGTCCATTCATTAAATATCTCTTAGAGGAACACCCCAGATATATATATTTAATTGTTGCTAGGATTATAATAAGCTGAACTTCTGGTTCTCTGATCACACCTCTTAAGAAGTCCTCCACTGGATGAAGAATAAAGAAATGAGCTACTTGAGGTGGGCACTAGGACTGAAATAAATAGTGACACCACAGCACAACCCTGAGGGAGGAGGCAGAGAAACCTACCCTTTAGATACAGGGCCTAATAAAGTAATGGTTTAAAATCACTTCAGGCAGGGGCAAAGGGCTCTATATCCTCATTTCCCTACTTCCTGAAAGCTCTCTTCATATTACAGCGTAATATGCAATTGTTGTTCCTTATTAATGACCCTGAATCAGAAAAAGAAAGGTTTCATTATGTCTGTGTAGTGTGTTTGAGAAGGGAGGTATGCAATACACTTCATAAGAAAAGTCCCATGCAAAATGGTTAAAATGAAAAGGGTTTTTTTTTGGAATTTGAAGACAAGAGCTTCAATTATGTGGAAAATTCATCCACATGTGCCTGTTCCTTCTCCCCTTGCCACATTTGTGGACAGTGGTCATATGAAGATGCTAGCACTTCATCAGGTAAGTACTTTTCATCTACACCATCTCCCTGTGGTATGCTGGGCAGGTATCCACTGTATCCATTCTACAGATGTGGAAACTGAGGCCAATAGGGATTAAGTCCATGGTAGAGTGGGAACTGATGCCCAGCTCCTCTGACTCCAAAGCTTATGCCTTCTCCACTAGACCATTTCCTTCCTAGGAGAAATCATGTGGAATATGAACATGTAGAATGTATTATAAGTAATAGTTTTTATCCCAAATCCTGAATTAAAATAAAATACTCGATCAATTTACCTCCAATCCTACAATGAATTAATGAAACAAAATCATCAAATGGCCTTGTTTTAGTACTTACTCATAAAATGTTGTCCATCCGTTTTCATTGCTTTTGGTTGCCAGAAGGCCGGAATTGCCATGGTATGTCATCATGGCCAACTCGTGTCCTTGTGTGGTCACACTCTTGAGTGCACTGTTGGTGCCCATGGTCACCCAGTACACCTGGCCATCTGGGACCACCAGCCAGAGGGGCATCCCAGTAGAGTCTCGGCGGACATTTACCATGTTGCCATTGTTGTCTGTGATGAGTGTGATGTCGCCGTCCCCAGTGTAGGTGAAGTTGTACAGGTAGTCTCCTGTGGGCAGGCTTTGGGTGTACAGGTGCTTGCCGGTGGTATCAAACAGATAGAGCTCCTGGTCAATTGGTGAAGACAGCTCATACATGTTCTGGGTGTTGAGGAAAGGCTTGTTCTTCCGGATAAACCGAATTCGGATGTTCCCAAGGTCGGCCACGTAGAGCTCCCCATCAGCACACACAGCCAAGGAAGATGGGGTATTTAACTTTGCATCCTTGGCATAACCATCGTCTCCAGAAAAACAATCACAGTTGGCATCATTTTTACAGTCACAGCCACTGGGGGCCCCAGCAACGAGTGAGATCTCTCCACTAGTGGTGACCTGCCTGATGCGGTTGATCTTTTTCTCATCAGTCTCAGCAATATACAGGACCCCATTGTGTGAAACAGCCAAAGCGGTGGCTGACTCCAGGGTTGCGTGGATGGCCACCTTGCTTAGCAGGAAGTGGTCAATGCCAGGGACCTGGCAGTGCATGGGCCTCCCGGCGACAATGCGCACCTGGTGGTTTTCAGAGATTTGCAGGACCACATTGTTGTCGAGGACATAAAGTGAGTTGTCCATTGGGTTGATGGCTAAGTCTGTGGGCCACTCCAGGTGAACCTGACAATGAAGACACCGATACTCAAATGACTGGCAAGATGCCCACCACTAATCCATCCCATAGCCCATGTAGCCCATAACAGTGTCCAAAGTGGCTTCATATACAGTCTTGCTTGATCCTCATGCAGCCTATCATCAACAATGAAGCGTCAGCCCCCTGATCACCGGGAAACCATGAAAGAGCTGCCACTGAGACATGTGATGGTCTCATTAGACTGACAAAACATGAAGAAGGAGTTAACAACAACAAAATAGTAGGCAAAAGGGTAGACTTTGGAGTCAAATAGGCCTGAGTTCAGAGCATAGTCCACTACTTATGACTGTGGGCAAGTTACTTTGCCTCTCTGAGCTTCAATAGTCACATATGGGAAATGGGAATGACAAGAGCACAGAGTCCCTGACCCACCATAACCCACCAAATAATGGCAGCTGATGTTCTAAGATGGGAGGGAAAGGCAGATGGAGTCTGGAGGCTGAAGTAGGAGTTGTTCAGAGGCTTAAGAAAGATTCTTCATACATGGTTGATATGATACATGTATGATTTCTCAATTCTTTGAGTTCATGGATTAACAGCTGGCTAGCTGCTAGAGACATAAAGACAAGCTAACCATGGCCTCTGTCTGTCATAGTTCTAGACCAGTGATTCTCAAATCTGGCCTCACATTCAAATTATCTGTGGCGATTTTAGAAAATAATGGTGGGAAAACCCCACCCTTGGTGGGTGAAATCAGATCCCTGGGCTTGGAGCTTGGGCATCGGCATTATTTTGAAAAGCTTCCTGAGTGATCCTGATGTGGGCTTGAGAATCATGACTGGATCCTTGCTCCTTATGTGTGGTCATCAGCATCAGCTCACCTAGGAGCTGAGCATAAACGCAGAATGACAGGCCTCCTCCAAACCTACTGAATCAGTATCTGCACTTAAGCAAAATCCCCAGGCGATTTCTGTGCACACTAAGGTTTATGAAGCCCTGCTCCAGACAGTGGTTCTAGTACCTCAGAGAACAGGTCCACCTGGAAAGGATTACTGAAGCTGGTTGTAGGAACTAGGAGTTCAGAAGTGCTGGGCCCCATGTGGAACCTCCTCTGAGCCAGGCTGGGAAACTGGCATAGGTCATGGTGAGTCTTCAAGTGGGCACCCAGGGGATTGTAGCTGGCATGGTCTGAGGGGAGGAGTGTTTTCTTCAGTGGACTTGAAGGCTGGATTGTTGGATCTATCACACTAGGAGGTATTGGCACTAAGGGGAACCCTTTGCCACCTGTGTCTCTAGGAGGTCCAGCCATGTTTTGTGTGGGCTGGAAGTGCCGACAGGTGCACCCTACTGCTGATTTTTCCACCCCACCTAAAAATTCACTGCCTTAGACTTCCTGAGCCCCCTACAAACCCTTGATATTTGGTCCAATCTGGGGTGCGCTTAAGCAAGTGTATACCTTTATTTTAATTTACTTATGTATGTATGTATGTGTATGACTGGGTCTCACTCTGTCACCCGGGCTGGAGTGAAGTGGTACAATCTTGACTCACTGCAGCCTCCACCTTCCAGGCTAAAGCGATCCTCCCACCTCAGCCTCCTGAGTAGCTGGTACTACAGGCATGTGCCACCACACACACACACACACACATATATATATACACACACACACACACACACACACACACACATATATATATAAATATATACATACATATACATATGTATGTGTGTGTGTCTATATATATATATACACGTGTATGTCTATGTGTATGTATGTGTGTCTATATATATATATATATATATATATATATATATATTTGTAGAGACAGGGCTTTGCTATATTACCCAGGCTGGTATCAAACTCCTGGGCTCAAGCAATTTGCCTACCGTGGCCTTCCGAAGTACAGGGATTACAGGTGTAAGCCACTGTGTTTGGCCTAAGTGTATGCTTTTAGATAAGAAGTTTTTCTTCCAGGAATTTACTTTTGTATACCATCGTCTATAAGAGTGTTTTTAATAATGATGAAGCCATTTTTAATAATGACAAAGACCGAGAACCAACTCAAATGCCCAACAACTGAGAACTGGCTAAATAATAGTACATTTAGTTTGCTCATAAATTGGAATACTGTGTGTAGTTGTTAAAAGTGATGTTATAGATGGATATTTAATGACATGGAGAAATGTTTGCTATGTATTAAGTAGAAAGAACAGGTTACAGAACTGTAAGCACAGTGGGATACCAATTGGGGAAAAATATAAGAAGTTTAGCTAGATTATAGATAAAGAGGAGATTAAGTGCTTGAGGGATGGCATATATATCAAAATGTTAACCATAGTAAGATTAAAGGTGATTTTAATTTCCTTCTTTGTGATTTCTAACTTCTTATATTTTCTACAATGTACATGTGGTAGTTTACCAATGTAAAAAGAAACCCCAATACATTATATACACACGAGTGAGGCCACCTCCATCTGTCCCTGCAGCTCAGGGACATTCTCAGGAGGGGGCAGGCCCTTTCTCAGTTCTTTAGAGCATGATCTTCCGGTCCTGCTTTCTAAAGTCTTCTTGTCCCCTTACTCCCAGCTCCCTCTGTCCCTGCAGAGCCAGGGAGCCTGCAAACTCGCCAGGGCCGCTGCCGGCCAGTGCTGCTGCTTCACACTCCCCTCGCTCTCTGGGCAGTGTCGTGGCAGCTTTTGGCTGCATCAGGAACACAGTTTGCTCTAAAGTGACAGGGGAATTTTCAATTTCTTAAAACCCACTTCTTGTCAACTCTGGCCGCTAAATATTTTATGCCTTCTGGTCCTGTGGCACCTTGGGGACCTGCTTGTGGAGACCTTTCTGCCTGTCGTTATGATGAAAAGATCGTTCCTTGATGGGAAGACTAGGGGGAGACAGAGTCAGTGGAGGGAGAGAGGAGAGGAAAGAGAGGAAGGAATGTAGAGCAAGTGCTTTCCTACACTTTCCCCTTATGCCATGTGCACAGAGGTGCCTGGGAAAGGAGAAGGGGCATTGCTCTTGGAGTCAGTCCTCACTCTGTCACACTGCCCGTGTGATGATCCTGCACCAGACCAACTACCTCAGCCTCTCTGGTTTCACCACCCTATTAGCGATGATCGTGCTGAGACTTGATTTCCCATCCCCAAAATGAATGGACTAGACTTGATAATTTCAGAGGTCTTGCAGCTCCCACGTTCTATGGTTCCAGTGTGGAATGGGACCCTCTTCCCTGTCCACCGGAACATTCTGTGCCTTTATTAAAGCACTTGGAGCTGGCTGCCTTGTTGCAGAGTGATTTTCTTGCAAAAATGGATTGTCAAATGAATGAACGAAGGAAGGAAGGACCAGCAAATGGCATAGAGGGAGTGAGAGATTGGGGTCAGGACACCTCACTTCCTATTCCAGTTCCACAATTGCTACATGTGTCACCTACCTCAAGTTTCTTAAACACTGAACATCTTTCTCTATATCTAAAAGGGGATAACACATATTACATAGGGTAGTTGTAAAGCTTAAATGAGACAATGTACAAGGAAGTTTTTTGTGGATTTTAAAGGGAACTAGTATTCACATCCTATTACTAGCTGCTGGGCACTGTACTAGACAATTTGTGTACATAATTTCATTAAAAAATTCATTTCCATATCTCTGATGGAACCTGGTACAGGGCTCTACATTTATAAATGCATTTGCATTCATCACACCTCAGTATTCTTATCTATAAAATGGGGGTAGATCAGCTCTACCCTATGAGACTATTGTGATAGCTAAGTAAGAAAAGAGAAGTTGTACTTATTCTGTACCCCCATTTCTAACAGAGCGCCTGGCCCATACTAAGTTCTTATTTTGGATCCTAAGCATAGAGTTATTCTCTGTCGGTGGTGGCCATCTCCACTTCTTAACAGGTTGCAACAACTTCCTTCTGTTCCTTCTCTGCTCTGTGCCTCTCTCTTTAGTTTCTTTTTGGGCCTGGGTTTGTCTCCTCCCAAAGGAGCTGGTCCAAGTTCCTTGGCTCTCGCCTTCTCACTCATGCCTCTGAGCTGTGTGCTCTCCCTTGCTTACCTCCCTGCTCCCCATGGGGCAGCGGAGTAGAGAGGAAGCTCTGAGAATGAAAGCCAGTGACACCTGCGCAAATGTGTCTGTAAAATAGATGCCAGTATTGGAGAGTTTGGTTAAAGAAAATCCCATGCTGACATTCAGACAAAGGTAGTGAGGGCCTTTAGAGATTTCAGTCCAGGATTTCTGAATCTAAGTGTGGGTTTTAGCATTTTTTTCCCCCTCCGCCATATGCCAGTTGTCTTCCAAGCCTTTGATCCGGCTGCTTGGCAGTACCTCTATCTAAAGTTAAACAATTTTCCGATGTGTGGACTGAAAATTTTCGGCACCCTGTGCTGGCTGGTTGAGGGCCCATTTTGAGAATTGAAAATACTTGTATGCACATCCTTAGGCCATGGCTTCCTGACGGGTAATTCAAGCTTGCTCACAGACTGGAGAGGGAAACTCACTAGCCAGCAAGGGTAAGCCTGCCAAAACTGCAAAGACGAGTGGCAGAGAACAGCATCCACTCTGGAGTGTAATAATCACATTAGCTGGTGCAGAGGGAAACCATCCCAGCATGCGATGGGGAGGTGACATGAGTGCTGGGACCTCCAGCAGCATCCACAAGGCTCTGTGGAAGGACTTAGCGATACATGTCAGTAACAGAGGTAGGCATGACCAGAAAGGCTGGAAGCAGGTGACACAGTCAGTGGAAAAGGGCCTGTGTGTGCAGGCTCCCCTAAAAATGAAGGGGTTTAAAAAGCTAAATGTTGCTGGAGCTGAAATCAATTTGCAATTTGATGTAACTCAATGCTCCTGATTTCCCAGGTTTTGGTAATGTTGGCAAGATTCAGCACAGGCCACTGATTCAGCATGGGCCTGGCCCAGCCAAAGGATCCAGCAACAAAGGACATACCCTTGCCAAGTCATCACAGGATGTACTAAGGACATGCTGGATAGCCAGTCACTTGTGTCTCTTTTTGACCTATAATGGGTTCCTGGTATCCACCTGCAAATGTGCAAACTCTTTGGCATGGTACAACAGGGTCCGTCCCTTCCTGGACCCAAACCATGCTTCTTGTTTTAACTGCGGCCACCTGCTTCCAAGCACCCTATGCTATGGTTTTCAATTTTCCACTATTCTTTGAGTGTACCAGCCTCATTAACATCTTTGTGCCTTTGCACATGCTGTTTCCTTTGTGTGAAATGTCTCCTTTTCTTTCTTGCCACTCAGCAAACCCCTATTCTATTCAACCTGTAAAACTTGCATAAATGTCACCTCTTGTGTGAAAGCAGGCACTCTAACTTTTGTTCATTCATCACCTCTGAAGGGCCAAGCAATGCTAGGAGTCGTGGATGCATTGTTTCATGTATCTTCAGGGTAATCCTACTGGGCCGATGTGAATTATTTCCATTTCACAGATATAAAAAGTGAGGCTCAAAAGAAAGTTACTGAGTGAGTGAGTGGCAAAAGCTAGGATTCAATCAATCGATTAATCAATCAGCAAGTATAGACTGTGCCCAAATTTGGGTAGCCAGGCACCCTGGTTACTGACAGCATTTCTGTCCTCACATAGCTTAGAAAGAGAACAGGCAATGTACAAATACCCATCAGTGTTACCAAAGAGGAAGTTCAGGTGGCAATGGATTTAATGTCACGTGGTGTAAAGCTCTGTCTATCCTACTCTGCTGCTGCTGAGGTTTCCTTAGGGAGATTTCTTCACTGTCCCCTGGGCTTCCACTTGTTACTCCTGATGGTGAACTCCCAGGACATGGCTGTATCTTACTTGTCTTTGTGTCCTTGGTGCTCATCACAGCCTGGCACCAAGTAGGTGCTCTTTAAAGGCTTATCAGTGCAAAGATGAATGGCCAGCAGGCTGGCTGGGTGGCAGATGAGAGGATGAGTGGGCAGTCCCAGGGCTTTGGTAGATGAAGCCATCTTACCTGGGAAATATCCATGACAGAATCACAGCTGAGTGGCCGGGCTGATGTGAGATCATTAGAGCCGAGCAGGGTGGAGATGATCCCATTCTGATCGATGCGTCTGATCATGGTGCCATCCACGAAGTAGATCAGCCCAAACTTGTCCACTGTAATGCCTGGGGGCAGAGAAGCCAAAACAGGAACTCAGCATCAGAGATGACAATGACCCGCACATTCCTGGAGCCTTGCTAACTGACAGAGCACCTCCTCTACATGATTGGGTTTGAGCCTCCCACAACCTTCATTCCTCTCTCAAAGAGGAGGAGTCTCAGGCTCAGAGGCCTTGAGTGACTTGTTCAAAGCAGGGATTAGAACTTTTTCAGATCTTCCAGGGCTCTGGTCCTCCCACCTTGCTGCCTCCTGAGATTTTAATCTATCCCCTTAGCCATCCACTAAACCTGGATTCATAACTTCTGGGGGTTTTTAAGCACTAGAGATACAGTGGTAAGGAGGATCTTTTTCAATATTAACACTGTGAATTATTTAAATTCACCTATTTCTGAAGCTCTGTAATTATAATAATTAGTTCCCCTTTTTGGTAACCATTTTTCTTTTCTTTCTTTTTCTTTCTTTTTTTTTTTTTTTAAAAAAAGAGTCTCGTTCTGTCACCCAGGCTGTAGTGCAGTGGCGCGATCTCGGCTCACTGCAACCTCTGCCTCCCAGGTTCAAGCAATTCTTCTGCCTTAGCCTCCCAGTTAGCTGGGACCACAGGCATGCGCCACCATGCCTGGCTAATTTTTTTTTTTTTTTTTTTAGTAGAGATGAGATTTCACCATGTTGGTCTTGAACTACTGACCTCAGGTGATCCACCCGCCTTGGCCTCCCAAAGTGCTAGGATTACAGGCGTGAGCCACCATGCCCGGCCCGTCCTTCATGCTTTTCTATTCTTATTATTTTAGTCTCACTGATCATTACAAAACTACGGAATCTGAATAGAATCCTATGGATTTGTGTAGAGAATATTGTTGAATTGAATTTCTAAAGGCAGCACACTGAGGAGAGGAGTCAGAATCATTACTCAACATCACCTGCTCCATTCACTAGACTGTCTCACCCTGTTAACTTTCTCCCTGACCCAACTTGTGTGACCTCGGGCAAGTCACTGAGCATCTCTGTGTTTGTCTTCCCAGCTGTCAAACAATGAGATTGCTCCAAATCTGTATTTCTCACTCTTGGATGTGTATGGGAATCCCCTGGGGAGTTTGCTAAACTGCACCCCCCAGGTAGCTGCTTCAAAATATCTCAAGTGGAGTCTGAGCTACTATCTGCATTTTTGACAAGCACCTTGGGTGATAATGACACAAACCAGAGTCTGAGAACCACTCCACTGTATCAGTACCTCTCAGCCTGTGATGTGCATCACAGGCACCTGAAGAGGTTTTTCAATATACACCTGCTGGCCTAACTCCTGGAAATACGAATTCAGCGGGTGGCTAGGACCAGGAACAGGGTGCTTTAATAGTGTACATGGGTGATAGTAATTTCCATCCCAGGTTCAGAATCGCAAGAATCAGACATAACCATGAACTGTCGTGGGATACAGATGAGACATGGCCCTGGGCAGCACCCAGTTTAGATGGAAAGGCACAGGAATGAATCAGTACCATGTGAGCAGCACAAGAAAGGACAGACTCAAGAGGGTCATGGTAAAATACAGGAGATTCTGGTCACTTTTGTTTCACTATGTTTTCTCTGGGGAAGGCAGTGGAAGAAGGGTCAGGAAGCCTTCACCAAGGTGGAGAGACTTGAATTATAAAATTTTCTGGTCGTATTAACTTGGGCATATTACTTCACTTTGAAGTCTTCATTTCCTCATTGATAAAACAGGGATTCTAACATCTGACTTGTAGTAACTAGCCCTCAATAATTATTAATGACCATTGTAAAAATGAGAAAGTGGCTGGCACTTTGTGAGTTTCAAGGCCTTTGCTCCGGGGACCCACGTGTCTCTCACTGGCCAGCAGGGTGCTTTAAGATGCCCAGGGGCCTCTGAGTGCTGAGAACCTGCTGGAGCACCAACTGTTCCTTCTTAGGCTGGTCAGGCTGGAGAGTGATTTCACACAGAGGACCAGGCAGCCTCAAGGCTGGGAAGCCTTTCTCATGGTCCTGTCGTGAATGTACATTAATTTCATTCTGTAAGTGCCAAGACAGGCGTTTTCTTGTCTGCCTAGCTATGCCCCATCTTTCTCTTCCATCTGTTTGGACTGATGAGTGCTCCATGAATAGTTGGGTTTCTTGTTTACAGAGTTGGCTGCACAGGCTAATAGAAGTGATCTGTCCCCTGATTAATTACCTAATTTTTCTCCTTTTGTTGTGTTAAATAGACGGACATCTTTTCTCCTCCCTGCTGCAAAGTGCCTGCATATCGTGGCACCCTTGTCATTTCTATGTGGGTTAATCATAGGCTTTTGGGTAAATGCACTGCCGCTTCATCTGTGTGAGGGTGGGGGGCCACGAGGGCGGGGAAGAGAACACACATGTGTGGAGAACAACTGAAAAGCCCTGGAGGGAATAAAAATTCTTAGAAAAAACTGTTTTAAACCTAAGAGAGTAGAATGTTGTGGCTGCAAAGGGTCTTGGGGATTATTTAGCCCAACCTGTTCATTAATTGACCAATGGGGAAACTGAGGCCCAGAGGAGGAGGTCCCAGGGCCAGCCAGTAGCAGAGGAAAACCATATAGGACTTCTAAGTGCAAGCCTAGTGTTCTTTCCACTCCTGGCTACTCTCTCAGTATTTGAAAATCATAATTAGGCGGGATTAGCCTTTGTTGATACAATATTTACCCCACACAACTACCACCTGACACTCCAGGTATGTGGTAGAGACAATGTGACTTGATATGATGTGATGTGATATAATAGAACAACAATAATAGGAATCATCGTTTATGGGATGTTTACCATGTGCGGGGTACTACTGCGCTAAGCATTTACATTCCTAATATTCAATCTGTACCACAACTGTGCAGCATATCCCTATTACACAGATAAGGAAAATGAGGCTCAGAGAACTTCAATGATTTGCCCAAAGTCACTCAGCTGTAGATGACAAAGTCTGAATTTGAATGCCTGATTTCACTAGAATCTCCTGCTTTGATTTGAAACTAGGCCCTGAAATCTGGGATTATTTAATAATACAATCACTTAGAATGTTTCTACAGGTTATTATTAAACATATTAATTTTGACCATCAGAATAAACCTAGGAGGTAGACACGGATGGCATTATTACCCCCATTCTATCAGTGAGGATCCTGGGGCTGAGACACTGTAAATCACTGGCTATAGGGTTGCAACACAGTGAACACTCCACTGAGTGTGGATAATGATGGCTTCTCCAAAAAGCTTTCCCAGTCTCCAAGGCACAGGGGTCTCTCTTGGCTCTAAACCCCCATGAACAGCTCTTTCTTCTTGCCTCTCAGAGAGCACCTCTTCCTCTCACCCATGTCACAGTGATTCACACTCAAGTCTTATTTATTCTGCTGCAACAAACTTATCTATGCAACCACTCTATGTACTTGAATATTTGCTGAATAAGCGAATAACAAATTGTGATTGTGGGCATTTAGAGGTTCAACTTTTTGAGGGACTCAGAATTGAGACCTACAGTTAACCCACCCGATAGCATATGAACATATGAAAACACGATACACTAAAATGTTTTTGTGTAACAATAACATGAGAGACAGCATATATGTCCAATAGTAGAGGACTGGGACATCCATTTGCTGGAAAACTATATAGTCATTAAAAATGAGTACACAGAAACAATTTAATGACATGGAGAAATGTTAATGATCTAGCATTTAGGGAAAAAAAGCAGTTTGCTTAATGTGATCTCATTTTGTTTGTTTTTAGTAAACACTACATACACACAAACACTTTGAAAAAAGACTAGGAGAGAAGACAGGAAATGTTAACTGGGAGTATTTCTGGCAGGTGGAATTATCACAGTTTTTACCATCCTCCATATATTTCTTGGTATTTTCCAAAAATTTTTGCAATATTAATCATGCATGTTTTTCTGAAAAGGAAAATACCCCAATAAATGTTATTGACAATGTCTCTAAGGCAAGGCCTTACCCCTGGGATTGGTGAGTGTGGCTTCTGTGGCCTTCCCACCATCCCCGCAGCGAGTGTCATCAAAGGGGAGGCACTGGTCACCTGTCCCCGCAACCACCTCAGAGTTCTTGACAAGGTCCTTCACCACCACAGTGGACTTGATTTTAAAGACCCGCCGGCTGTTGCTGTCAGAAAGGAAGACGGCCCCACTCATGGGGTCTGTGGCCAGGTAGTATTTGTGTGCTGGACTGTGACTAGAAAACAAAGACATGGCCAACTGGTGAGCATTTTCTTCTTCCTATGAGTAGCTGGAGATGTACAGATGAACCCCTGGCCCTTTAGAATCCAAGCAAAAATATCTTATGGGGATGATGCCCCTATTTTGGGTGATGGTTCCCCAATTTTTCTGACCTCAGTCATTGGCTTAACTATCCTTCCCACCCACTATTCTTGCAAAAACCCCTTGCAATTCTTGCAAGAACCCCTTGCACTATTCTTGCAAAAACCCCTTCAAGATGAAATGATTAAGATGACCAGCTCAGTGCCATGTTTGTATCAGGTGCTAAATACACGTTTTCTTAAGAAGATGATCACTGAGGCCTACCACTGGTGTCCCGTTCATTCAAGCTAGAAGGATGGATGCTCTTGACTTTAAAAAAACACTTCAAGAGTTCAAAAACACAAGCCCTTTTCCACAGGATCTTTACAGCAGTCCCTCATCTCCATCTTGGGACTGATGGATGAAACCCTGGCTGGCTCTGACTCCCGGTCAGCAGCATCAACACCGTCTTCAGTGGATACTCATGTTACACTTATCAGGAGCCCAGGAGTCTCCCTCTGGCAGTCAGATATAAGTGAACTGCAGGATTAGTTTGTAATTTGCAGTGAAACCCAAGGAAAAAAAATAAGCAACACAGAAGAGCAGTGCTAATGATGGTTCTGTTTCTGGAAAACAGTTATAAAGATCAGGCTGTGCCAACAGAGAGAGAAGCTTGACTGCAGAGATGCCTTGGGGAGACAAAGCACTGCCTCTAGCCACAGGGTGAGGAAACGGCACAGGATTTGCAATCAGAACAGTCTGGGTTCCAAGTCTAGCTCCGTAATTTCCTGGTTCTGAAACTTGGGCAAGTTACCCGACCTCCTGAGCCTCGAATAGTCCTTATGTGCAAAATAGGGGTGTTAACAGCTACCTTGCTAGTATATTGGGGAAACCAGAGATAAAATAAAAAATGCAAAGTAGCATAGTGTAGTAGATGCTCAATAATAATTATTATTTTAATTACCAATGATTGTGTCTCTTCTTGCACTTGGAGATGACTACGTAGTAGATATCTCTTATTAAGACTGAATTTTTTTACCCCCTGGTACTGACATACAATTTCTTTCAAGTCTAGGGCACATCGGAGTTGAACTTGGTGCTTCTGAGAAGCTAATTTTAAGTTCCTGTGCATGGTCTGAACATTTGCCGGGCCCTAAAACTGCATCTCAATATTGGCAGCCCCTTCCAAGTCTCCGGAAGGTATTTTGATTCAAAGGAAGCTCTGTTTGGACCGGATGGTCTGGTGCTGGCCATTTTCATTGCACAGTGAGGCATAAACTGTGCTAAGAGACTCGGGACAGACTGAGCAGTGATGAGAGCACCAGCAGGGCCAGAGCACTGCAGACCCCCTTCAAGATGAAAGCAAGAGAATTTGAAAAGTCTAGAAAGAAGCTATTTTGCATTTATCAGGTATGTAAGTTTGGGGTCCTTTTGAAAAGCAAAATTTTATTTTACAGATTTGTGTTTTTTGAATTCCCTATGAAGGCTGGGGCACCATAATCTTTTCAGTATGTAAGTCACTGAAGGTCTTAATCTGGCCCTGGCAGGTTTGTCATTATAAATGTCTCTTGCCTTGGACAGTGTCCTTGGGGACTGGCTACCTCGAAAGGGGCCAGGCATCCAGATCCAATGCTTTCCTTCTTTGGTTTTCTCTCCCTGAATTCAACTAACCTGATATGATTTTCTCCAACTGTCCTTCCTCTTTAATCCTTCTCGAACCAAGGGGAGGTCTCTCCGCCTGTAGCCTGGGTCCTCTTCAAGCCATTCTTGATCTAACCCAAATACCAACCTGCCATTTCAATGCTTTCCCTTCAAGGATTCCTTAATTCTTACAGAGAAGGTATGAGCTCCCTGCCCCTGCACAAATCCCAGCTTTCTGCTGTGCTGCTCCACCCTCCCATCCTCCCTCCCCTCCCATCCTCCCTACACCTGGCCACAGACCTGTCCCTGCAGCATGCCTCAAGTCTGCCTGCACCTGCTGCTCCTGCTCTGCAGTGTGCCCCGCCCCTCCCTTTCCTACTCACCCTTCACCTGTCAGTTCAAATGCTCCCTCCTCTGCAAACCTTCCCCAGCCTTCTCCCCGTGCATGGAGATTTGCATCCATTCATTGCTGGACGATAGGACATAATGCTGTGACTGTTCATTTATGTGTGTGCCTCCAAAACCCAATCGTCAATACTTGAAGGGAAGAGACTGGATTTTGTTCGTTTTTGTTTTTCCAATGTTCTGCTTCGTGCCTTCTAGCCCATGGCAGCCACTTGTTTTAAGTAGATGGCATGTCTATTTTTAGATTACTTAGGTAGTGTTTGCATTCGCATTATTTAGCTCTTCTTTTACTTCTCTTCTGGGGTTAGCAGTAAACAGGACAGGTATCCTGTCTATTTTGAAATGTCCCCTGAGACTTACCCTATAATGTAGCACAGATTTAAGCTTCCCAGATGACATCAATTCTGGCTACATAAAAGGCGGTGACCTTAGATCCTACTGTGTAATCCTGGGGCAGCCTTGATCTTTCTGCTTTTCTGATGACAGCTCTGAGGCGGGGTGATTTTTTTCATTTCTTTGCACATCACTCATGATAAACTGGTGCTATTTACCTCGGCAGAAAAGGGTCCCTGAGGGGGTATGGTGAGGGGGCCCTGTCCACTTAGATTAGCCCCCTGAGTTTCCAGCTCCTGTCTCCCTGCACTGCTCCAGAGAAGTGTCACTCATGTGGAGTTTCTCAGATCAGTCAATTCCAGGACAGGGTGGCATTGGCAGGATTATCCCAGAGTCCGTAAGAGCTGTGGCTGCATCTTTCAGCCCAAGGACAAATCTGAGGTCTGCTGGTAAGTTAAGCATAGGGAAAACAACAACTAGCTTTGAGCTTAGAAGGTGTAGGCTCTCATTTAGGTGAGTCACCTAAATAGTTCAAATCGTAGGTCCCTTAGCTGTCGAATGACTAAGTCCCTGCTCGGCTAGGCTCACAGGCTTGTCGTTGGGATCAAATGAAATTATACATCTCAACAGCCCTTTCTAGTTTGCAGAGCTCTCTGAACATTCAGCTCATTTCGTCCTCCTGCCACCTGGCCCTGGGAGCTGCAGCTGCATCTATGATGCCCATCTAGACTCCACCAGGCTGCAGCGCCACCTGTCTGCAGAACAGAGCTGCAGAGATGACTACCACTGATAAGAATGCATCTGTGACCACCTAGGGATGCCCATTCTGTCCCAGACACTGCGCTAGCACTTGATGCACACATGACCTCATTTTCTTCACAACTACCATATAAGGTAGGTACTTTCCTCCCTTATATTTCAGAAAACTGAGACTGGAAGAGGTGAAGTGACTTGACTGGGACCACAGATTCCTAAGTGGCAGGATGAAATTCCAACCGAGTTCTGCTTGACTCCAAAGTCTGTGTTCTTTCTACTTCCCCACCCTGCTGCCCAGGATCTAAAAGGTTCCTCTGCCCATATTCACCTGGGAGTACCTGCTCATCTTCTGAGGTTCAGCTTATCTGTAATCCCATTCCTGAACCCCCTCTTCTTCCCCACTGGTAGAACTGGCCTCTTCCTTCATTGTGTCTCCACTAGAGCTTACAAAGTTTATACTTTTAGTATCTGTAGCACCAATTAAACTTTTCTGTTTAATTGTCTGTCTTTTGGATGAAACCTTGAACTCCTCAAGAGGAGGGACTGATTACCAGTCTCTGCGGCTTTGAACTGGGCTGATGCAGAATAAGTACTCCAGAAAGTTCTGCTGAATCAGCCTCCCTGGCTGGAGTATACATAGGAAACGCTCACTGCTAACAATCTTAGAGTGATGGTTCTCAAACATGGCTACACATCAGAATGGCCTGGAGAGATTTAAAAATAGCCCTACCCATAATGATTGAAGGGTGTGGGCATCTATACCTTTGAGATCTCTCCAAGTGACTTGGAGGCACAGCCAGATTTGGGAACCATGGCCTTCGAGCAGTTCTTTTTCAACTTTAATGTGCCACCTGGAGCCCTTGCTAAAATGCACATTTCAATTCTGTAGCTCTGGGGCGGGGAACTTGAGAGTCCACATTTCTAACAATCCCCAGAGCAGGCCAGTGTTGCTTGTCTGTATTTTGAGCAGCAAGGCCTTAGAATACTCTACAAATCATAAATGTCTCAGAGCATGAGACGGAAGACGGCCTTCAGTGGAGGCCTCAGGCCTGGCTGTGTGGACAGGGAGCATTTCCTGGAAACGGACCATGTCTGATTCTGATTCAATTCTGATGCCCAGTATCCTGAGCAGGGCTGGACACAGAGTAAGATCACAGCTTCATTTTCAGTTTGCTGTAGAAGTCTCTAAGGACCCACATTCTCTTCCAGTTCCTCAAACATAACCTTAGTTTCTCTGGAAGTGATGTAAAATCAAGAGGCCTTCAGGGTACCATTCCTGAAGTTAATGAGCTGAAGCCAAGCTTCACTCTGCCCTCATTCTGGATGGTGTTTGGAATTTCCCAGTAGGAGCTGGGAACCTAGGAGTCTGTAGGGACATACAGGCTCACTTCCTTGTGAGTGAGAATTCTCTTTGTCTCTAAGTAAGGTCTGCCTCATGCAAAGGAGTGTCCTTCAATGACAGCAGTTGGCAGCCCTGGCAGAATTTGATTCCCTGGTTCTCAGAACCAGTGGGAAGAGGTTGAGTGTTGGAGCCACACAGTCAAGGGTTCAAATACCAGTTCTACCATCCACTTGGCTAAGTGACCCTGGTCACATCACTTCTATAGCCTCAGTTTTCTGAAGCTGAGAAATGGGGATAGTCACACCTATTTCAAAGGATTATTTTGAGGACAAAATTGCATGAAGAATATAAACCTCTGAGCATAGTGCCTGTTCCACTAAAAAATAAAATACCCAATAAATGGCAGCTTTTAAGCAAAGCTGGTTCCTTTAGAAACTACTAGAAGATTTGGTGCACAGTGGAAACACTAAGTATGTCAGACTTTATTTTGTCCTGCTCAACCTATTTCCCGGGACAATTAAGGGCTCTGAGTTAATATAATATGTGTATCTGGGTTTGATGGACACTGGAGTTCAAATGTACTTCTGAAGAAAAGGCTTCAAACATCTTCCATGACCCTGGGGAAGAGCTCTGGGACGAGGCAAAGATGCTTATTTCCTGAAGGAGTCTGTAGAGGAAGATGCCCCATGGATTATGGGTTTCTGTACTGAGCATGCCCGACACAGCAGGCTGGCACTGAGGCTGGAAAAGCAAAAGGCAGACATGAGTCTGCTCCGGGGAAGCACACACACAGCCTACAGTTGCCAGTCATGGGGCCAGACATATTACTGGGAGTGGCTGGGACAGTTAATGGAGGAAGAGATACAACTCTATAATTTTTAAAATCCATCTCCAACATTTACTGATGGGGACACTGAAGCCCAGAGAGAGGAAGAGATTTGCCAATATCCAGGTGGCAGTTAATATCAGAGCTGAACCCAGGCTCTCTGTCTTCTGGTTGTCTTTAGAAAACTGCAAGGCAGAAAGTGATTCATTTTTTCCTTTCTACTTTGGTTCATCTTAGAAAGTTTTTAGTACCGAAGAAAACAATTAATTGACGAAGGGTTTAAAGTCATACCATGAATATATAAAAAGATCACTGAACATCAGAAACAAAATGTTCCCAAACCACAAACTCTTTCAGTTTATACATGAGACTGGAAACCAGAAACGCCAGGTAACCAGCCCAAGGCCATATGGTGAATGTGCAGCAGGGCTGGACAGCACCTGGCCTTCTGACTCTTCCCAGCTATGTCCCCCTGGGTCATGGCTGTGTCCTTTGCAGCCGCCACCACTAACTGAATGTTTCAACATTAAATGCTAGGCTTTAATCCAAGACCTGCATGTGAAATGTACTTCTGTGTTTTCTGTACAACTGAAGTTGAAGGCATGGGTCATTACATAGTTCAGTATCATCCATACAAATCTCATTGAAAATCTCAGATTTCAGTGTCAGGAAAAAAATGTTCTCTTCTGAGAAATGGGCATGTTTTCAATTTCTGATGCCATAAAGTATGAAAATAATTATGTTTTCTTATTTACACTGGCTGCCAGGAAGCTCAGAGCTTAATCAATAAATAATCACATATATGTTTCCTCCTTTTTTGTTACCAATTTCTCTTTGATTTACTTTAATACATGTGCCTTTGGGTGTAAGAGGATTTAATTCCTTTTTGGGGAAGATGGAGACATCATAATTATCATATAATAATAATTGTTATGATAATAAATTATAATACTGTTAACTCTATAGGATGTTATCATTATTATTACTACTACTACTATTTCTGGAGCTCCTCCCTGTGCCTAAAAGTACTGAATAGTTTACAAATATCTTCTGTGATCATTACAACAAGACTCCAAGGGAGATTTTATTAACCTTATGTTAGAAACTAAAGCTTAGAGAGATGAAGGAATTTTTTCAAGGCCACATAATTGGGGAGCTTCAGTTTTCTCATCTGTCTACTGATGTAATCATGGATATCTGCTTCACAGAGTGGTTTGGCGATAGAACGCTATAGTCCATGTAAAGGACATAACCCTCTATCTGCTACATAGTAAATGTTCTATACATGTGAATTATTAAATAATTATATTTACTACTTATAAATATATTATCTTAAAATAACACATACAATTATTACATGAATAATGAAGCTACTTCAATTGAAAGAGATAGAATCATTACTGGATTCTGGGTCTGTCTGACTCTTTCCACCACCCCTAAGACTTTCTTTCATCCCAACTTAGCACCACCCTCATGCCACTTTGATCTGAGCTGCAGGTGGATAACTGAGAGCCACTTCTGTGGCCATGCAAGCTGCAGCTCTATCTGCCCATGGTTACTTTCCAAGTCACCACAATGTGTGTGAGGTCAGGGGACTCTGAGGTGACTGCTATCCAGGAGTCAGGTGAATGCCATAGTGACAGGTGATGCTGACAGGCAGACACTTCTCTTGGTGTGCCTGACTAGACCCATTTCTGTTTACTGCATGTCGCTGTGAGTCTACATGACAAACCTACTCTGGGACAAAGTTCCTATTTGGGGATTGATCTCTGCAGTTGGTTCCTGGAGCCTGCTTTCTCACTGATGGCAAGCCTTTTGGGTGGGGTTGCCTGGCATCCCCAAGCTGAGGCACCTTGAATGCCCACAGAAGTGTAAATGTGAAATCTGTCTTCTTCCAGATTGTTCACCTGATCAAGATGTTCTCAGGACTTCCTATCATGACTATCAAAGTCGTTCAATGCAGTTAGGATGACATCCTCATTTATTCTAAGGATAAGCAGGCTGTAGCATTCAAATTACTATTCCAAGGTTCAAATTCTTTCCCATATTACTTTCAGACTATCAAAGTAACTGCCTCACTTTGCAACAGATCCAAGGAGTTCAGGCTCCTGCCACCCATTCTTGCCATTATTAATGACTTCCTCCCATTGCAACTGATTACCCCAATCAGTTCCAATCACACAGGATTCTTTTGCCATACAGCCATTTGAAATTGACATGTGCAGCTTACCATACAGCATGCAACAAGGCAGGGGTGAGGCAGGAAATTCTCCACTGGTTGGCTTACCTATGTCTGAAATCTTTATTTCTGACAGAAGACAGGAGAGCAGGGAATAGAAGAAAGAATGAGGTGTTAGCAGCAGGGTTAGAAGCATTATTAGCAGCCTGAAAACTTGACAGCAATGGTACTATACAATACTGTAATAAATAAAGACTTAGCAGCTGTGACACTGATGTATTTTATATTGGATATTACTTGTCAGTAAGTTCACTTACAAGCAGCTACATATCACAGAAGAGGCATGGTTTCACCTGCACCACTACTGCTGACTTTGGGGGAAGAGGACTAGGTTGACACATTCTGCTGCTTTAACAAGGGCTAAGACAGAGATTGGAATAGTGGATTCTCTCCTCTGTACAGACACATACCCAGAGATACACATGCTTACTGCCCTGTGTCTCCACATGCACACTTCCCTACAAAGAGTTACCCAAATTTGGGTCACTTCCCAGGAGCCTCCTCACAATAGAATACAGAATTGGAGATAGACTATAATTAGAAGGGAGGGTATGACACAGAAACAGGCCTAGGAAAAAAAGACTGGAAGAAAAAATATATCAAAATGATAATATACTTCTAAATTTATTTTTTTCAAATTTCACTTATATCTCCCTTCTTCACCCACTGTCATGATCTCCCCAACAACTGTGGGAGGGAGGCAGGGAAAATGGGGTCTCTTATTGGAAAGAGGTGAAAACGGAGGTCCAGGGAGGTTCAGTGATTAGTCCAAAGTTGCACAGCTTCTCTGCCGAGGCGAGCTGATTTCCTCGTCCATGGTGCTTTCTGTTGTGGTCCATATATGCAGTTGACTGACACAAATACGCTCAAAGAATCCTTCTTCCTTGACAGATGTCTGTGCCAGTCAGACTCATAATAGACAGCAGAAGGGCAGAGAATATTCCCCTGGTGGTCCTCTTCTCATTCAGCCGATATCTGATTTCCTATGAACCTACCGCGTGTGTGCTTGTCTGGCCCTGTGTGTGGGGCCAATACTAACTCTTCTCTTTAGGGCTTATGGCTGTTGGCCCTGCCTTCCTTTCACGCGTGCGCCTTAGAGTGAGATTCTTGCAGTAGGATCTTACCTCCAGGGAGGAACTTAACAAGGCATTAAGTCGAAGTGGCTCTCATTGGGCCAGGTGACAAGGCTTTGGCGAGGCAGAGGTGTGTAATGATCTCTGGATTCGGGTCCACCATTCTAGAAGCTGGACCTCAGGCAGGTTCTTTAAATTCCCTAAGCCTCCATCTTTTCATTTACCAAAGGGGAATAATAATAAACACCTTACGGAATTGTTATGCTTGGCAAATAGTAGGAACCCAGCAAAAGTGAGTTTTCTTTTCCCCTGCCCACTGTGGAGGAAGGCTTTCCAGCTCTAGGGCCTGTCCTGCTCACATGCACCCTGGCCCAGAAGACAGGCAGATTCCATTCCCTAAAGGAGTTGGGAGGGAGCTTGGCGCAATTCCTCTTGAAAGGGAGTGTGAGGCTCCCTTATCTCTAAAGCACAGCTCTTCCATGACCCCTAAGCCCACCCTATGACAGTGCCCTGGTTCTAAAATGATCTAGGTTAGGGAGGCATAGAGAAAAATCCAACATATCAGGTCCTTCCCGGAGCTCTAAGCGTGGCTGTGCTCCATCACTCAGGGTCAGGATGGGGAAAGAGGCTGACTCAGCTGCTTCTGCAGCACCTGAGGAGCAGAGAGGTCAGTTTTCTCGATATTGGTCAGTTGAAGGGAACTGCCCTTGGGCTCAAGGGATCCTCCTGCCTGAACCTCCTGAGTAGCTAGGACTACAGGCAGGTGCCACCACACCCAGCTAATTTTTTAAATTATTTTTTTGCAGATGGGGGTCTCATCAGGTTGCACAAGCTGATCTCAAACGCCTGGCCTCAAGTGATCCTTCTGCTTTGGTCTTCCAAGGTGCTAGGATTACAGGTATGAGCAATGGCACCCAGCCCCTTGTTTTTATAAAAAAGGTTCATGTGACTCATTCTAATCAGTTTACTTCCAGGAAACAGAAAGAAGATTCAGTGGCTTCCAAGGAGTCTAATTTTTGGCTGCTAGCAGCCTTCTATGTCACAGATGTACTCTGGATGCCAGGGACATCTCCCTGTCCTGGGTAGCTTGTCTTCACTGTAGTGCACTGGGGAAGCAGCACCTGCTTGAGCTGGGAGGTGAAAAGTCTCAGAGCCTGACGGGCAAGGCTCTGTCCTATCCCACTTCCCTGGGCTCAGCAGGTAATGTGGCGGGGCCCAAAGGATGGCAAAGGCATATTATTAGGAACTATGAAGAAAGCATCACCTTACATACCTCAGCTCTAGGATGTTGGTGACATTTCCAGAGGGGAAGATCCTTCTAATGTAGTTGAAATCACCCACATAGAGGCTCCCGTCAGAGCCACAGGTGAGGGCCACTGGGGCCAGGAGCTTGTTGCCGTCAGCAAGGCCGTTGCAGCTGGGGCAGGAGATGCTTCTCCGGCGCCCATTGCCCATGATGCTCCCAATGACAGGAGGCTGCTGAGACACAAACTGGTTCTCCCCATTCCCTTTGTGCAGGATGCCTGGGACAAGGAAAGAACAGAATTGCCTGTGGAGCAGGAAATGGGTATCTTTTCCTGTGGTTGACCACAGAGTCACCTGATTTTGCAAGGCATGCAAGATCTCCATCAACCATTTCCAGGATCATAGCCCAAGGCTTTGCCTCACCCCCCCAATGGAACCCAGATTGTCCTAAACAAGTCATACAGATTTAATTCACTCCATAGCTCTGTAAGATAGACACTATTATTATCCCTACTGTAACAGGGGACTGTCCAGGTAACTTAACCGACCTTACCCAAAGTCACACAGAAGATAAGTGGAAGAGCTCCAGAGTCTGGGCGCTTAGCCATTCACCTACACTGCCTCTCAGGTAGGTTGTCCATATCTCATGTACCCAGTCCATAGCTCTATGACAGCATGAATTATTTATCATACTTACTTGTTTTTCTCTTTCAATTGATACCATTTCAAGTGTGGAGACTATGTCTTTTTCCTTTCTGTATCCCCAGTGCTTAGCGCAGAGCTTGACACAGAGTAGATACCAGTGAATGTTTATAGAAATGAATGAGTGAAACTCACAGTCTCTTCTCATCAAAGGAGAGTCAAGAAGCGACAGGCTTTTACCTGGCTTTGTTATTAATGGGCTGATCCCAGCTCCTGTATAGATCTCTTTACTGCTTTAACTGCCCTTGGGCCTGTTTCCCCACCAACAAAATGAGGGGATTGACCTCAATGACGCAAAAGCTTCTTCCCATATCCATCCTGTTTCTTTTTAGTCTGGATCTTCCTTTTTCCTCATGCACACTTCACAGCCTCCAAACTGGATCCTCTGCCCGCTGCCTCACCTCTTCCATACTGAAGCCCAAGTGAGCTGTGCTCTTACAGATCATCAGGATCTTCTCCCAAACTGTTACCTGTTAGCTTTGTCAAAGCTGTCCTTTGTTCAATGGATAGCTTTAATTTTTACGTACTCTAATCAATCATTTTTCTACCTTAAAGTTTGTACTTTGTTAGGTTTTAGGAAATCCTTTCCTGAGATTTTTACAAGTACTCCACTAATTAATTAATTAACTACTTTCTTTCTTTTCTTTTTCTTTCTTTCTTTCTTTCTTGCCTACCCTCCCTCCTTCCCTCCCTTCCTTTCTCCTCTCCTCTCCTTTCCTCTCTCTCCTTTTCTTTTTTCTTTTCTTTCTTCTTTTTAATTGAGACAGGGTCTCACTCTGTTGCCCAGGCTAGAGTATAGTGGCATGTTCTTGACTTAACTGTAGCCTTGAACTCCTGAGCTCAAGTGATCCTCCCACCTCAGCCTCCTGAGTAGCTGGGACCACAAGCATGTGCAACCACACCCAGCTAATTTTTTAAAAACAATTATTTTAGTAGAGATGGGGTCTCACTATGTTGCCAGGCTAGTCTCAAACTCCTGGCCTCAAGCGATCCTCTCGCCTTAGCTTCCCAAAGTGCTGGGATTATAGGCATGAGCCACGGTGCCTGGCCTTTTAAATATTTTCTTCCATCAATTTTAAAGTGTTATCTTTCTCATTTAGATGTTTAAGAAAACATCTGAATTTACTTTATATATAGTGTGAAGTGAGGACTTAATTTATCTCTATATATTGAGCCAATTTTCCCAATACTAAGTTCTAAAACACCCATCCATTCTCCACTGATATATGATGCTATCTCTGTCATGTTCCAAGTTCTTATATACACATGGTATGTGGCAGAAACTTCTCCTTCCTATCCACCCTTTCCTTCTTTTGCAGTTACAGAATCCCTGCTATTTAGCTGGGCACGTGACTGCCTGGAACAGACCACGATCCCTGGCTCCAAGGCAGCTACATCCACGACTAAGTTCTTGCAATGGCATGTAAGTAAAAGTGATATGGGCAGCTTCTGGGAGGTGTCCTTACAATGCAAGGGACTTGCTCTTCATCCTTGACCTCCTTCCTGATGGCTGGAAAGTGGATGTGAAGGCTGGACCTGAAGTGGTCCCCTTGGATCATGACTTTGGAGATGAAAGCCTGAGTGGAGCACAGAGAGAGAGGAGCCTGGGTCTCAGACCCTGCAGCCCTGGATTATCTACCTCCAGACTTGCAGAGTGAGAAGTGAGGTGAGTGAGAAGCAAACTTTATTTCCAATTCAGTTATTTTGGCTTTTCTGAAACTTGGGGCCAAAGCTTAGTTTAATTACTCTTCCCAGGTCAGTTTCTGAATGCGTTCTATTCCACGGAATCAATTTATCTGTTCCTGTGCCAGCACCACACAGTTTTAGATAATATGGTTTTTCTAGGATAGCTTAATATCTGGTGAGTCCCTCTTCTTTGTTCTTAAAGGCTGCGTTAGCTATTTACAAGTCTGTATTCTATCGTAAATTTTAGAATTAGTTTGTCAATTCCCCCTGAAAACATGCTGTGGTTTTGATGGGCACTCACTGCCTTTTTAGATCAGGCAGGTGATATCTGACATCATTACCATATTTAGCTGTCCCATCCCGGCTCATGGTCAGAGTGAGTTATCTATAATACAGATCTGATGGTGCCACTCGCATGCGTTAGTCCCTGCAGAGGCTTGACATTTGCCTTGGATGAAGTTGAAAGTCCTAATCTTCTTACCCTGGGTTCCAGCTGCTCACACCCAAGTTTTGTCTTTTGCTGTTCCCTTCATGTCATCCTCTGCTTAAATCACAATGAACCTTCTCTCCAGTAACTTTCTTTTAGGCTTCAGCACTTTGGCACATACTGTACCTTCTGCCTAAAATGTTCTCCCTACTTGATACACAGGGCTAATCCTATAGACCCTCTGAGACTCATTTCAGGAGTTCTTGCCAAAGAGACACATTGATGAACCAAGACGCTGGGTGAGGTGCTCTTCTTCTAGCCTTCATAGTGCCCTGTGCCTCCCTCTGTGATGTCAGGGTGCATATGGCACAACATTGAAACTGCCTGGTGAGTATTTGTGTCTCACAGGCATAAAGCCTTGAGGCCATTCATTTCTACATCCCCAGTGCCTAGCACAGTGACAGGCTCAGAGGAGGTCTTCAAGCAATATCTGTTGACTGAGCTCTCTGACCACATAGGAGCCTATGGGATTCAAAATGTGAATTTTTTGTTTGGCAGGGCACAAGGGATATGAGACAAGGTTCCACCCCAGCCTGGTTCAAGTAATTCTATTAATCCACTTACCACTTTGAATGTTGAGGGCATGATGTTTGTCTAGGCTCCATCCTCCAAGCTTGGACGCGTCAATTTCATAGCCCTGCAGCACTGTTGTTCTTTTTTCCCACAGGATTAGATCTGGGCAGGATTCATATTCATAACCCACGGAAACTGTAGGTGACAGAATGAGGCAAAATGCATAAGTGAGCAAAGCCCACTCTTTGGCCTTTAGACCTGTAGGCAAGGCCCCTGGCTTATCTTTTGTAGAAGAGGAAAAAAGGGTCATATTTCTAAGTGGCAACCAGAACGATGTGAAACACTAACACAAGGTTGCTGAGCCTTAATCATTTTTTCTTTTTTTTGGAAGATCAATTTTACATTTGGGGAAAAGTTAAAATAAATGTACCAATTACTTTAAAAGGATCTAAGTGAATCCCTTCCAAGGAAATAATCTTTAGTATGTGATGGGGTTTGTTTCTGTGTTCCCAACCCAAATCTCACGTTTAATTGTAATCCCCAGTGTTGGAGGTGGGGCCTGGTGGGAGGTGATTGGATCATGGGGTGGATTCTCATGAACGGCTTGGCACCATCCTCTTGGTGCTGTTCTCATCATGGTGAGCGAGTTCTCCTGAGATCCAGATGTTTAAAAGTGTGTAGCACCTCCTCCCACCACCCCAGGTCCTGCTCCTGCCATGTAAGATGGCTGCTCCCGCTTTGCCTCTGTCATGAGTCAAAGCTCCCTGAGGCTTCCCCAGAAGCAGATGCTGCCAGGCTTCCTGTACAGCCTGCAGAATCATGAGCCAATTAAACCTCTTTTCTTATAAATTGCCCAGTCTCAGGTATTTATAACAACACGAGAACGGACTAATATAGTATGGAAAATATTTTGTGCACAAGTCTTCACCACATTATTTAATATTGGAAACTTAGATGTAATCTAAAGGTTCAAGAGGGGTGAGAGGGTGAGCAAACCCAAGTGCATCCACTGTAGGAATACTATGACGCCACTGGAAATCACAGTGAAGAAGAATGTGGTGACCTGGGAAATGCTTATGGAGCAATGCTCAGTTGAAAAGACTGGTTATATATGGTAATTTGCATTAAAAGAAATTACGGGTTGGGCGCGGTGGCTCACGCCTGTAATCCCAGCACTTTGGGAGGCCGAGGCGGGCGGATCACGAGGTCAGGAGATGGAGACCATCCTGGCTAACATGGTGAAACCTCGTCTCTACTAAAAATACAAAAATTAGCCGGGTGTGGTGGTGGGCGCCTGTAGTCCCAGCTACTCGGGAGGCTGAGGCAGGAGAATAGCTTGAACCCAGGAGGCAGAGGTTGCAGTGAGCCACTGCATTCCATCCTGACGACAGAGCGAGACTCCGCCTCAAAAAAAAAAAAAAGAAATTATGTATGAAAAAAGAAAACTAGTTGTATTTGTTTACAGAATCACATATGACTTTTTTCTATTTTTGTCCATTTTTCAAATTTTTATTAACGACTATGGTGTTTTTTAAATTAGGAAAAATGTTTAAAGTCATTTACAGTGAATATATAGAAAAGGAACTTAGTTGGATTACTTTTAAAAAGCTGGAAGTTACTTTGAGGTTTCAAAGCTTTTGTTTCATAAATCCAGGACCCCTTAGAAGGTCACTGGGATGAAGGCTAAACATGACAGCCTCCCTGCCCCTGGGTGTGTAAAAAGTCCTGTAACTGGACTATGGAAAGGAACCAGCAGAGACAGGAATGCTATTTCTTCCAAGCGTCTTTCTGGGCAGCCACTATTTTCCAGTGGACAATATTCTACTACATGTTCAAGACAGGAATTAACAACTGAGCAGCTCCTTAAAGTTTCTTGTAGATGCCATAAAAGACTGCCGACCATTTATGGCAACGGGGGAATGGGCTGGAAGACGTCCCTGTGACCCCTTCCCCCATGGCCTTGAGTTCCTTAAGCAGCCACTGTGGTCACTTGTGATCTTAGGAAAGTGACTGCAGCCCAGTCACTTCCCTTTTTAACTGACTGGCGGGCACTAGAAGTGCTCATTTTTTCTCAAGAGGTTATAAGGCCTCATTTTAAAAAAGACGACAGAAGTGGCTTGATCTACAGAAGGGATCATGAACAGTGAGAGATGGCACCTTTGCTCCCACTGTGCCCTTCTTTGGTAGGATTGTATGCGAACCCATAGGAAAGATCTGGAATAAATCCAGCTCTGTTCCTTTCTAGCTGTGCATCTCACTGGGAAGTCATCTCAATTCTCTGGGCCTCAGCTTCTTAATGCAGAATTTGGGGGTGACAATTTTTGACTCACAGAGTATAAGGATTAATGGAGTGACTAATGTACAGGGGCACACATTGCCCACAGTAGGTGCTCAAGCAACATTCTTTTATTTCCTTCCCACCTCTCTCCTCCTCTTCTTCCCCCCTCTTCCTCCCTCCCTTCCTTGCTTCTGCTCCCTCCCTCCCTTCCCTCTTCCCGCCTCCTTCCCTCCCTCTCTTCCTCTTCCTCCTTCCCTCCCTTCCTTCCCCACTTCCTTCCTTTCTAAAAACATTACTTCTCTGCTTCCTCATTCTGCCTTTGCTGAATCTCTACCTTTGCTGAACCTAAGGGAATGAAATTGGAGTGGGGTTCAAGACGAGAAGGGATTTGCTGGATGGTTACTCTTAAGTGCTTGGTGGATCAACTCCGCAGGGTTAGGCCTGCTGAGAGTCTAGCTCTGAGCCCTTCCTAGGACCTCCTCTAATCTGGAAGCAGAAATGCATACAGCCAGCCCCTGGAAGCCCAAGGGCCAAGAGAGGCTAGGACTCCAGGTGAGGCTACAGCCAACTTCTGTTTCATCTTACAAAGAGACAGCAATAACAAAAACAAAGAGATGACCTCTCTGACTGGGTAAAGAGGCCAAAAAGCATTTTTGATGGAGGAAGAATCTTAGTTACTGCACCTCAAAAAAAAAAATGAAAGAAACCATTTTTTAGCTCTCCTATTTTAATGGGTAAGTTCCCACAGGATGGCTGTGGGGTGGCCAGGCAATGTCCACCTGGCCCTGCCTTTGTGGCACATGACCTCTTTTAGCCCCTCACAAGCCAGCACAGCACTTTTCAGGGCCCTTTGGTTCTGTAGCCTCATTGTAATGGTCGGGTTTTCTACATTCAGGTCTTTCAGTTCACATTCTTTTAGGTCCTGGCCAGTCACGGACAGGTCTTAAAGGTCAATTAAGCCTTAGGTATTTTTGATCTGAGAAGAGGAAGGAAGGAAGAAGGAACTAGGGAGGTAGAAAGAGTCCTCCCTGCAAGAGCTATTCTCTGAGTCCTGCAGCCGGGAGGCTTACCAAAGGCTTCTGAAAGCCCAAACACCTTCTGGTTGTAGACGTCTGTCTTGTCCCAAATGAAATAATAGGACAGGTCTGGGGCTGCAGCGAACCACTTCCTGAAGAGGCGGCCCTCCACCGCTACCATGAGGTGCACCTTCATGAGGTTGAAGGGGATGGTCGGGTGGGTGAGGCTGATCCTCAGGACAGATTTGTAGCCAGGGGTCCGGCTGCTCAGGTAGCTCAGCCTCATCTTGCAGCCAGAGATAGAGATTTCCTCCTGCAAAGCCTAGAAAGCAGAGGCAGATCACAGCAAGGGACGGTCGTCGACTCACCGAGTGGAGGGAAGATGGCGTGGCCCCATGGACTCTGGGTGTTCAGGAGGTAGAGGGAAAGGCAGAAGGAGAGAGGAGGGGAAAAAAAGAGGAGACAGTGGAAAGAAGAGGGGAAGCAGAGGGTGAAGAGAAGCAGGAGGAGGAGGAGGAAGGGAAAAGCATAAATGAGATGGGAGAAAGATTGGGGAGGAGTAAAACATGTCAGAGGACCTGGTATCTGGGGCCAGTTTTCATGTGGTGACCCTGCAGGAGTCACCTCACCTCGCCAAGCCTCAGCCTCCTGCTCTGTACAACAGGGATGACAGCACTCATTTCACTGCAGTTTTGAGAGGAATACATAGGATATGCATATAAAATACTTAGATCACATTGCCACTGGTTCTCAAGCTGTGTTATCCTAGAAAGCTCACGGAACCTCTGAATCTCAGTCTCCTCACTGGCTTTGTGTGAGGACTGAGAAAGGTCACATAGGTAAAGTGCCTAGCACAGAAACGCTGTCAGGTGGCATGCAGTGCTGCTGCTGCTGGTGGTGGTGCTGGCAGGAGGGATGCCATGAAGAGAGACTACTGCGGCCAGCTGCCTAAGCAGGAAGGATGGTTTCTCTCTCAAAACTTTCCTCAAATGAGATCTGTTCCAAATGACTTTCCTTTTCGGGAAATTAAACAGACACTACGAGATGTTGACCAAACAAATAATTATGCAGAGTTCAGACCACAGCCTGGCAGGACCTGTGGTTCACAGCCCCAGCTCATCCACAGAGAGAGGTTGGACTGGCTGCACGGAGCTTCTGGCCACTCTGGGCCCCAGCTCCAGTGCCAGATGGACAGAGTGGGGAAGGCTATGACCCGGGGAACGCTCAGGTCACTTAGCTACTGGGTGCAATGAGCCTAGTTCTAAGTTGGAAAGTTTAAATGAATGCCAGCATGCCCAAGCAGACAGCAAAAGCAGATAACTTTATCAGCTTGATGCGCTGGGCTCTGTTTCAAGAAAGGAACATTAAATCAATTGAGGCTATTGTATCTATTCAAGGGACAATGGCTATTCTACCCTACGTTTACAGTGGATCTGGGCCTTTTTCATCCTGTCCATTTCATAGACAAGTGTGAACGTTTACCCTCACCCCATTCTCCTGAACACAGGAAATTTTAGGGATTGGGCTTAAACTAAGGCAATCTTCCTAAACTACAGCTTATAAGTTTGAGGCAAAGCAGGACTTATACCCTGGTGAGCCCCTGGCATGACTGAAGTGCCATCCTGATGCTCTCAAAAATATTTACCTTCTTTAACATACCCTTTAAAATTCATATCTCCCAGCACTTGCAAAGGTTAACCTGTGAGAGGACTGGGAAAATCCAAGAGTTTGTTTATGTGTATTTCATGAATCTGATAATAAGCAAGATTTTTGCCCTAACTGAACGTGCAGGCACCCAGCTCAGGGAGCACTGTAAAGAGGGTGTGACCTTTAACCCCTTTTGTTCCAGAGTCCCTGCTCCTGGGAAAAATGTCTAGCTGGAGCTGAGCCAGGGTTGAGTAACAAATTACTTCTCTCCAGCAAGCTCTGTCTCCACTGACAACCATTTCATAAGAAAGGTCAGCCTGGTAGTTGAGACAGGAGACAGGCGCTGAATCTCTGAAAAGGAGGTTTCAACCTGTGAGTGCAATGAGAATTTCAAAATGATTGTATGTCCTTCTTGTTGGCTGGCATCGGAAGCCACTCAACAGGGTACGCACGGAAAGGTGTTTGCTCAGCCAGGCATGAAATATACACAAAAAAATATATAAAATCCCTGCTCCACCAGCGCCCGCAATCCATTAATAGGCACATTGCCTGAGTTCTCATTAGGCAGGTGAGACAACCGGGACTTCTCCTGGGCTTCTACACTGACATCTCTCCACTTCCTCAGGCCTTCACTGCTGCCATTAGAAACTGGGCTGGGGACAGCGAAGGAAATTCAACTGGCAGAGCTTTGTTAGGTGAAAATATCTATCTTGATTTCCATCAGATTAAAATGCATCTTTCCCAATTACTTTCTTTTAATGATAGTTAAGTAAAGCAGTTGTATGTACAGATTTGAGCCAAGGCAATCCTTAATTGGCATGAAGGCAGCGTGTGTTAAATAATCTTAATAATAATAGCTAAAATTTATTGAGTACTTATTAGGTGACAGACATTGTGCTAAGCATCTCATATACATTTTTCTCATTTAATCTTTATTATAATGCTCACTCTTCGGGATCCTTTGGCACATTCCTCTTGGTAGAACCATTTATTTTAAGTAGTTTTAACAGAAATAATGACAGAGGGACACAGGAGGCTGGGGAAAAGGAAAGTAGGCAGAAGTGAACTAACCAGGAGAGTGGAAAGACAGAGAGAATTTAGTATAAACCAGAGTGTGCCAGGCAGTTCCAGGCACTCATGTGTTTTCCATGTGTAAGAGGGGTGCCCCTCATGCCCTTACACCATGCCTGCTGTGGGGTTTGGTGGCTGGATTTTGCATAACAGGCTGATGGGACCTGACCCAAGCCCTACAGAGGTGTTTTTTCTCTTTCCACTGTCTCTGAGATCCTCCTCCACCCCCAAAATGAAATAAAAGCATGGTGGAATGCAATTAGGAAAGCTGGGTACCTGAATTTCCGGCACAATGGGGCCTTTCTCTGCACAGGAGCTGGCGAAGGACGTCAGTGGGGATGGAGAGACGACTGGGTTGGGGCGGGCAAAATTGCTCAGGTCACAGCTGGGAATCTCATTCTCCTCATGTCTCATGATGATGGTTTCCATGACAAAGAAGCGATCCCATGGCAGCCACAGGGTGTGCTCCTGTGTGATGAAAGGTGCCCGCTCGAACCGCAGGATGATGGAGATGCCGCCATTTGTCACCAAGTCAAAGCTGTTTGGGAGGGGAAGGTTGAGAAGGGGCGGGGAGCAGGAAGAGCAGGAACCAGGATGAGAAAGAGAGAGACAAAGAAAGGGGAGAAAATTACACCAAAGGGTCTCAGCATTTCTTGAGGGAGGCTCTAATGCCTAAATATTTGACTGCAGCTCCAAACAATGGCAGTGATTTTAGAAAGCAGTTTTTTTTTACCCCATAAAATGATTCACATAGAGAATTTGCTGAAATGAACCACTGCTGTGGAGAGCCATTTTTCAGGATACACAAGAGCTGACAGTGGTGCTGCTGGTACTTAGGGCCTTTCAACCATGTCAGAGCTGAAAGCCCAGTGAAAAGTCAGTGAATAAAGTAGGGCAAGCCTTGATCTGGGTGTTAGAACCCCAAGCCTGGTCCTGGCTCTGTCTTCAACTATTATGTGATCTTGGGTAAGTCACTTAGCCTCTTTGATCCTCATTTTTTTCATCTGTAAAATGCAAAGGCTCAAATGGATTATTCTTAAGTCTCTAAGATTCTATGACTCCACAGCAATCTTAGCTCTAATTGTGATAGATTACTCAACAAAGGCCTTTGCAATTACAAAATAGCTAAGCAGTTTAAAGATGGCTCAATTAGAAACACAGTATCTTACAAGTGAAAGGAGAACCAGAAGACTGAGTGCCAGCCTCCTAGTTGAGATGAGATCACTGTGACAGCATCTGGAGAGCTGGCAGCCCAGCCTCTGTTCATCAGCCTCTGAGGATGCTGGGGAGGTCTGAGGAGAAACCTGCCCTCCTAGTCCTAGTTCTGTCTTCAATGTGACACCAAATGGGTTTGCTCTATGATGGTCTCCAGGCCTTCCCTGATCCTAGATGACCCCCTGCTAAGTCCCTCTTGTTTCAGGCTTGTGGGGATTGTACAGGCAGAGTCTTCCTTGCCTCACCCCAGAATATCTTGTGCCCAAACAGGACCCAGCCAGAAACATACTGGCAGCTCTGTTTGGTGCTGGCATCTTAACTCCAATCACCTGCAGACAAACCTAGCAAGGCACGTTCCCATCCAAGCCTTGGCATGCACTTTTACTTTTTGAACATTGAAGAAAACTGAGTTCCTCCCTATTTGTACACCCAATGTTTCTGACACTGCCCAGCCCCACATGGAACCTGATTTGAGGGTTCTGCAGCCACATGTTTAGAAGCCAGATGGACTCAGATTATAGATAATGGGAAAAGAGGGCCACATGTGAACCAAGGTACATCACTAATCCGGCAGGCTGGGTCTGCTGAATTAAGAAGAGGGCATAGCATGGCTGCTACTTAAAGCCCTATCATGCAATAAGACATAAGACTAGGCCAGGCATGGTGGCTCACATCTGTAATCCCAGCACTTTGGGAGGCCGAGGAGGGCGGATCACCTGAGATCAGGAGTTCGAGACCAGCCTGGTCAACATGCTAAAACCCCGTTTCTACTAAAAATACAAAAGTGATGTGAACTAAGTGATGGTGGGTGCCTGTCATCCCAGCTACTTGGGAGGCTGAGGCAGGAGAATGGCTTGAACCTGGGAGGCAGAGGTTGCAGTGAGTTGAGATTGCACCACTGCACTCCAGCTTGGGTGACAGAGTGAAACCTGTCTCAAAAAAATAAAAAATAAAAAATAAAAAATAAAAAGATGTAAGACTAGAATTTTGTGTCCTTTCTCTTCTTAAAACAGAAAGTTGAAATCAAGTAATAGGTGAACCACTGGAGAGGAACTTAATGGTCATCTGACCTAGCCCCCCTCCCATCTGATGCATCAGTTCCTTCTATAGAACCACCATCAAGGGCTCATTCAGTTCCTACTTATGCAATTCCAGAGATGAGGAGATTGCTATATCCACAGGAGGACTGTTCTGTTTTAGGTTAGTTCTGACTGTTAGAACTTTTTTTTTTTTTTTTTAAATTGAGTGTGGGTCCCTCTCTTTCCAGCTTCTTATTCACTGGGCCTGATGTCTGTCTCCTGGGTGACTTCAAACTAGTCCATTCCTTCTGTCACACCCTGGCTGTAGTAGGCATTTTCAAAGCCTGTCTTAATTGGCTTTGTTGGATGGAGAACTCCTAACTATCAAACTGTATAGCTCAAACTTCACCTCCCCCACACAGCCTTACCCAGTCAGAATTCCAGCTTCCTCCCTGGGTTCCACTGCCCCACACGCATGGCATTGCACTGTCATTGCTTGTTGAGCTCTCTGGCCCAGGGACATTGAGTCCTCTGTCTTTTCAGAAACTAGCCCAGTGCTTGATGCTTAAAAGTTGATGGAATAAATGCATGAGTGACAGCATCAGCTGCTCCTGAACTGACATCTACTAAACACCCTACGTCCCTTCTTACTTTGGCTGTTACTGCAGTTAAATCTAAGGTTCATCTGGGCAGTTGGTGTGAGAGACCTCAATGCAGGATCTGATCTTGACTCTGATAAATCCACCATGTGGGAATGGGCCCATTGCTGCAGCTTGCTCTTCTCTCCTCCAGAGACTGAAAGGATTCCGCATGGAACCATCCTTTCCTAGTGTCAAGTTCTGCTCTTGGTAGATGGCATCCCCAGATTTGGGGCTCCAAGCTCCAAAGCCTGACTCTTCCACCCTTTGCAGGAGCTATCACCCGTTTGCCTGTTCCTCATTCACTTAGATGAAGTTGAGTACCACCATCATTCAATGACAGAGAAACACCTGAGGTGGGGTTTATTTTGAATCAATAATTCAGGTTTTGGCTCTCCAGGAGAATACCCATGGTTTTGGGGAAATACTCAAAGAACAATTTTTCTGTCACAGAACTGAATAGCATCTGTGCCTTGATAGAACATTTTTAACTGTCAAACAGAATTTTAGCCAGACTTATAAGCTCCCTTCATGAGAGGCTGTATGTGAGGAGGGAGGAAAGACAAACATGAAAAGACATATTCCCAAGGCAGTGAGCAAGCAGGGGGCAGCTGGCCTTGCCAAGAGCAAGTAATGAGCTGGGGCTAGGCCCGCTCCTCTGGAGGGGAAACCCTGCTTTGGACATGAATGTGAATGTGACCCCAAAGGGAAGGCCTGGTTATCATATGAAGCCCAAACAGCGCAGGGCCATTCTGAACACTACTACTTGCTCCATGGGTGAATTATATCACCTTTCCAAGCCTCAGTTTTCTCATTTGTAAAATGAAGCTGATGATCATAATCATTTGGCAGGGTTATTGATTATACAGATGGGATAATAGATGGGAAAAGCACAGGGCCTCACACATTCCCTTGTCTTGGCTCCCACCCCTCCCCTCCCCTCCTCTCCTCTCCTTTCTTTTCTTCCTTTCCCCCTTTCTCCCTTTCCTTTCCCCTTTTCTCCCTTTCTCTCTTTTCTCTTTCTTTCTTTCTCTCTCTCTTTTTTCTTTTGAGACAGGGTTTCACTCTGTCACCCAGGCTGGAGTGCAGGAGTACAGTGGGGCAATCATGGCTCACTGAAGCCTTGACCTCCCTGGGCTCAAGCAATCCTCCCACCTCTGCCTCCTGGGTTGCTGGGACTACAGGTGCATGCCACCACACCCAGCTAATTTTTGTATGTTTTTTTGATAGAGACATGGTTTTGCCATGCTGCCTAGGCTGGTCTTGAACGCCCAGGCTGGTCTTGAACTCCTGTGCTCAAGTGATCCTTACGCCGTGGCCTCCCAAAGTGCTGGGATTACAGATGTGAGCCACTGCATCTGGCCCCCAATTTTTAATTCAATGAGCCTAATCTACATCTCTTGCCTGCTGTTCTTTTAGTTTTTCTTCATGGCCTCTATTTTCCATTTTTTAAATGATCTCTTTGGCTAACTTCTCTGCTACTGTTTTCTGTTTGTAAGCTCCTGTTAAGGTGTGAAGTCTGGGATTTCAGCAAGTGTGTGTGTGTGTGTGTGTGTGTGTGTGTGTGTGCGCGCGCGTGCATGTGAGTAGGGGTGGGGGAGCTGGATGAGGGCAAGTATCATGGTGCCTTCCTGGAAAGCGAAGAATACATGTCCCTGGACTTTCAGTCCACTTGTGCACACTGTTATTTCCAGACTATATCTCTTAGTCTTATGGTTTTTCGTAAGGTACGGGAGGTAAGAAAGAAGGTGAGTTAAGGAAGGGTGGGAGGGCAGTGATACCTGTTCACATGTAACAAACAGAGATTTTTGGATACTAAGAGAACAATTGATAACTTTCCCATACATTATGCAGTGGCTGAGTTGGGAAGAAAATTTGAGCCCCAAAATGCATTGGTAAGAATTGATCTGAAATTCAAGCTCTGTTGCAGCAATTCTGGCTACGTGATGTAATTTAGGAGGATGATGCAGGAAACAGGGCTGATATTTAGCTCCATGCTCTCAGTGGGCAGTAGAAATTGTAGAGGAAGCACAAACAGGAGGAATCAGGAAGTGTCAGAGACTGAGCTTTCCCCAAAGGCCACTGAACTTATGCCAGACTCGGTGTGTTTTATGAATCTACTCTAACCAACCACAACAGGGCATAAGGACTGACGATTTGCCATCTCACAGGAGTGACTGGCAAGTTTCATGGCAAAAGTCAGTCCTGAAAGACTCCTTTTGGATGAATGTTTCACAGCAGGTAATAATGTGGTCAGAATACCTGTTGCCTAGGAGGCTCACATCTGCCACTTTCATACAGCAGGCAGCATCCTTCATGCTGTAGTGGGAGTCTTCATGAGGGCCTTCCTGGGTGGGAAGGTGTATAGGGTAGGGAACAGTGGCCTGGCCTGGCCAGTTTATCCCTGAAGACTGGCCACTAATGTCTTCCAGCTGGGCCTCTTCCTATTCACATGGAGTGAGAGGTGGGGAGGGGGCACCCCATGCCAAGCTTGCCAACCCCATCTAAGAGGCACACATGTCTACAAACAGATGAGCCTCTACTTCATTATCACCTCGGCCGGGACATGTTCACATCTGATATTGGATTAAAGAGGTGCTAAAATCAATCAAGCTGGAGCATAATTTCCAACACAGAGTGAAAATCAACCTTATGGGCCCACGCTTAGCCAGATGGACTGCCACCACCTGGTTTTATTAAAAATAGAGGACTTGTCACCACTGACAGCCTAAATATTCCACTTTCCTCCTTTTTTCCTTTTCTCCAAAATATTCTCATTGCCTGTCCTGTCACCATCACTTACTCATTCAATAATCTGTAATTTTAACAAATAGCTAATATTTATTGTATACTTACTATGTGCCAGACACTGGAAATACAGCAATGAATCAAAGTGGGGTGGGGAACTAAGATTTGTTAACCACGTACTATGCGCCAGGTGCTTCCCCATTCACCATATCTTCTAACCCTCAAAACCAATCTGTGAGATAAACAGCATTAGGACCATTTAACAGATGAAGCCAAGACACAGAGAGGTAAGGAGAATTATCCTAGGACACACAGCAGGTGGGAGAGCTAGGGCCATTAAGGAAGTTTTATTTCATTCTGCTGATGGTTCTTGGAGGAATTCAAAGGTCAGAATTCTGTCATCACCCAAATGGCTTACATAGATCTAAGCAGCTGCAGGATGGAAACCACATAACAGGAATGGCTGAGATTTCTCAAGCTGTCTGTTCTGCAGAAAGTGGTTCGCATGACTGTTTTATATCATAAGTCATGGAGCAGGATATGTATAAGGTACCCTCTCCTTACTCTGAGAACCAAATGAGAAGAAACTGCTAAATCTAGAGTCAAAGGGACATAGGCCAGAGTTAGGTACAAGGTCATACAATTAGTAAGTTGCAGAGCTGGGCATTTGAATTCAGGCCCTCTGAATCCAAGACCCATCCTCTTTCCACATTATCAGTCCAGCAGCAGCTATATGGCAAGACCACAAGAGCGGGACCTTCACTGTTTCTGGCTCATAGAAGGTCTCCTACCTGCCATCTTGCCTGCTGATTGTATATCCAAAGAGAGGGTTATTGACAAAACTGATGTTCACACCAACCAGGGGGGTTCCATCTGATGTCATCACTTGGCCACGAATAACACAAGCATGCCTGTGGGAAGAGAAGAGAGAATAAACATGATACACCTTTCATGGTCAGAGCCCTGGCTGGCAGGGAACCCCGAGAGGCCAGAAGCCAGAAAATCAGTCACTCAGACACATCTTGTACCCAGGGGTTCATGGTGTTCACTCAAGATGCATAATAATCTTTAAAAAATATCACCTCAGTTTAGGGCATCAAAGTGTCCTTGAGAGAATTACTATTGGCAGGTGATTCAATGATCTCACTCGGAGGTTATTTTCTAAGGATACTGTATTATGCTGTAAGGAGATAAAGCTGATCACAGAGGGCAATATCGCCTAGTTCTGTGTGTGGATGTGTAGTTCAATGATCTGGGGTCTAATCTTGGCTCTGCCACTTCCTAGCTCTCTGAACTTCAGTAGGCATGTGCCAGTTCTTTGAGGCTTTTTTTTTTCATCCTGGTATAGGGTAAGCTCCACAAATGACAATGGCTATTACTGTTATTAACAGTCTCATTGGAAGTGAACATACAAAAAAGTGAGCAGGAGAGAAGGTACTTCCTTTCATCTGACATTCGAGACAGGAGAAGGACAGATGCTAGCATGCTCTCAGAGTGAGTTTTGGAACCTGACACCTCTCCCAATATCCCTCCTCCCACTCTTACTCTATATTTTGGACAAGAAATTACCTGCTTTTCCCAAACTTGCCAGGCAAATGTTGCTTAGTGCCTCTGTCTGTGCAATGTTCTTCCATCTGCCTAAAATGTCATTCCTGCACTCCTCTCCCAACTATTTCACCCTTGAAGAGCCAACTATTAATGACACCTCTTCCTTGAAGCCTTTCTTGATGTCCCTAATCAGAACTAGTTCCTCTCTCCCACAAAACCTGATGCAGACACCTTGATACTCTACCAAACCATACACACTCCTCCCTTCCACTAGATCCTGAGCTCTTTGAGGGTAGGTCAAGATTTCTTTCTTTCTCCTCACAGTGCCTGAACTATGTCTAACAAATGCTAGGTTGCCACTGAAAACATGGTGGTTGAGCAAATAAATGGGACAACTAGAGATCATCTAGAATGGTGGCTTTTTAAACATTCAGAAACAGAAACGTTAGGGTAGATGACATTTTATAAGGACTCCAAAGTGGAAAACGAATGAAAAGATCTACGCTGGATGAAGTCGGGATGGAGGCCTCCTCTCCCTTGGGGTGATTTTGAAGGCAACTCTGTGGAGTTTCCGTGTCTGCAGAAGTCAGTTGGAAGATCCCTAAGTTAGTGGAACTTTCTCATTGTATGGAAGAGGAAACTGGTTTCCAGAGAGGTTATATTATGTGCCCGAAGCTCCATAGAAAGCAGGTGATAGAGGCAGGACTTGAACCTGGGCCTCACCACTCCAGGTCCCACTCTAACCAGTCACTTGCCACTGGCCGTGGGTGGAAATGAAGGCACTGGCTGGTGCAATGTCCTCAAGGATCCGCACATTGGGGAGAAAGCCCTCGCTGAAAGACAGCTGAGTCAAAAACGCAGGTGCTGCGCACCACATAACCTTCTCTATTCACCTCAGGTGAGAAGGCTTTTTCTTCTGGCCTAGGGAAGAGCTACTGACGAGGCCCATGGGCATTCATTAAAAAAAGATCTCAAATTCAGTAACTGCCGTATGAAGTACCCACACCTCTACCTTCCTAGAGTGATAAACTTTTCTCTGTTGGACGAGAAAAGCAATTAACACCAGGCTTGTGAAGCAGCTGGTCTCACTAGTGTCAGCTTGTCCTTTCTGAAGGCAAGAACAACTACCCACAATGCACCAGACTCCCCACCCCACCCCACCCTCCTCACCTCACTCCACACAATCTGGTTAATGCTAATTCAGTCAGTGGTTTCCTTCCGAGGCCCTTGGTCTAAATGCAATTACACGGCAAACAAGTTAAGCGGGTGAGGCTCAGCAAAGACTTTCAATTCTGCTCTGAAGGTCTTCCAATGTATTTATGTGAAATTATCTCTCCGCTAATGGGGAAGATTTATTCCACCGATTGTATTCAGCTGGTGCTGAGAGATGTTTTCTTTAATGGAGGACAATTGAATTTCGTATTGCTGGAACTCTGTCCTTCCAGAGAATTACTGACAGATCTCATCTCCTGACGCTGGCCACCAGCCAGCCTTCTCCAGACATATGTGCCTCTGGATTCTGCCTGGACAGAAACCAGTCCTGGGGGGATGGCTTCCTTTCTGGGGCTGTCCTGGCTGCTGCCCCTAATACACATGCAGGCCAGCCTCCTCTGATTGATCTCTCTTTGGGGATTTCCTGATAATTGGGAAACATTGAATCGGCACCATTTGGCTACCATGTAGCCTCCAACTTGGCAAGCCAGAGCAGATGCAAGTTTAGCCTGGGCTCCCGTGGATTGCTTTTGGATTCTGGGGAAGATTAGGTTGACTCCCTGGACGCCGATAGGCCATAGAGGCCTCTTGCCAACACAGGCATTTGGCTCAGGAATTAAATCCTGGAGAAAAACACTTCCATCCCTGTTCTGTTTTCATGATTTTCACTTGTCTGGAAAGCCCAGATTAACATAAAGCCTTCCCTGGAACAAAGGAGATGGGAAGTCAGCTTGGTGGGGGCCTCTGAATTGTGTCTTGTGCCACATGCATTTGTCCTGGGAGGTTTGAAAAGATGTGAGTGCTGGGCTTCCCAATGCTTGCTTTCTGCATCCATTTATTTAATGGATACTATCAGTGGGGTGCTGGCAAATGTTTAATGACCGACTTTTGAAAAAAAAAAGAAACAAAAAGAAAACCAGCTTCAGTTGCAGCGTTTGCTCATTTCTGTGGTGTAAATACTCTCATCATGGCTGTTTTCAAGCTACCAATGAGATGCCACTGAACACAGAGGTGGGAAGAGACACACAGGAGGATGCCATTATGCGGTACTGCCACCGTGGAGACGCGATGGTCCTGAGTAACCTCAAGAGCAAACGTAACATCAAACATGGCAAAATAATTAGAAAGTAGTAAGTTTTGAGTATTTATTACCTTTGTTTTTAATGTACCTTATTTAATTTTATATAATTTAATTTTTAATAATGGCTGTGTTTAACAACCAGCTTGCAGAATTTCTGAACATTTAATAATCAGTTCTTGCGAACTGGTTCAAGCTGGCTTCTGCATGCCACTGGAACACTGACCCTACACTGAGGGTTGGGCACTCGCTCAGGGCTGGAGATGTGGCTAAGAAATAGTTGCTGCTTTGAACGTAGAACTCCGCAGTGGAAGACTGCCTTAACTGCCTTAGTGAAAAACCATTAACGTGGGAGCAAATCACTGTCACCGACTTGGCTTCCCAGCTAGCTCATATGATCCTCTATTACCAGTCCTCTATTTGACATGATTTGCTTCCTCATGGTCACTGTCTTGGTGTAATGGAGTTTTGGACTGTTATTTTCTACTCGTCCTTAGAGTCTCATCTAAGCTGTCACCACCTCAGTAAGGTTGTCATCAACTTTTCCTGACACAATGAATCACCCCCTCCTTTGGGCTTTTATACACCTTATAAGTATCTCTCTAGTATTTGATGGTCGTATGTTTATATCATTTGCATTATATAGCCATCTCACATGTTTACGTGTGAGCCAGAGGAGGGCTGGACCACATCTCCAGAGAGGATAAGCACGGGATGCTGCTCTCAGAGTGTTTGTTAAGTGAAAAACAATCAAGTAACTGAAAGAGAGAAAAAGACTTGCTCGAGGTCACCCAGAAATGAATTCACTTGGCTGAGCTGACACTAAAGCTAGGTCTTCTTACTTCTGAGGCCTTAATCTTACTACTGTGTTATGTACCTGCAGTCACTAAAATTCCTTTAATTTCACAAAAAATCAGGCGCCTACTATGAGCCAGGCTCTGTGTTAGGTGCTGAGTTCCAGAAATGTATGAATTACGATCTCCACTTACTTGCTAGAGCTCACTAAAGCCAACGTGAAATGCCCCCGTGTAGTTTTCTCTGACACCAGTGAGTCAACACTTGGGTTTGGCATATGTCAGGCAGCTGGGATATAAAACAAGCAGTTAGGCTAGGTGAACTCTGCCAGGAGGGAGCGCTTGTGCCAAGCCAAGGGTGGTGTCAAACATACTGGCATGAGTCCAACCACACACTCAGGGCCTGACTGAGGTGCCCTTGCCGACGCCAACAAGGGAAAAGATCTGCCTGACTGCTTCCTGAAGAGAGTGACAAGGTTTGGGATCAACAGAAGAATCTGCTGGAGAGACAAAACCACTCCAAAACAAAATCAAGCAAATAAAAAGCCAACCTCAACTGTTGCTCAGGGAAAAGTTGTAGGGCTGTGGTGGCAAGAGCACTAGGCTGGGAGTCATAGTTCCCAGTTCTGACTCTGGGAACTAACTGTATGATTTTGGAGTCATCTGACCTCTCTGAACCTCCATTCTCTCATCTGTCAAATGCAGGCTGAAGTTTTTCCCAACCTGGTATAAAATAGAATTCAACATATGTTTAAGAATTTATAACTGTTTTAATCTCATACTACCCAATCCAGCTAAAGCAGCCCTACTGCACGTGGCTTCAGAATCTTAATGGAGCTCATGCAATACTTATACTTATCACTAAATTGTTCCCTCTATCTGGAAACTTCCACCTCTCCTAGGGCATTCACCAAGCAGTATACACCACTCCTGCTCCTTCTGGGCTACTCCTCATGAACTCTGAGTGCTGTTGCTCTGCCAGGACAATCTTTTCCCCAGCAGAACATGAGCTCCATGAAGACAGGGACCAACCACATGTCCCTTACTGCTATATTCCCAGCATTGATCACGGTTGATGGTCATTTCTGAGTGGGGAAAAGAAAACCTCCTCCAAAACAGGTGTTTGCTCTGGAATTCGAATGCAGGGCACAGAGTAAGTTCTTGATAAATTATTTATGCAATGAATAAAGAGCTTATGTGCTTCTGTAACTTAAGGTGAGGGCGATGTTAGAGAACTTTGAGCTACTTGACCTTGACAGGGATATGGTTAGAGAACCTAGGGCTGGAAGGGTTGTGCCCTTTCAAGAGGCCAGCCCGCACTCTCCCTCAAGGCTTGGGTACCTTCCCCTGGAAGACTCACTTGCCTCAGCCTAGCCCTGACCCTTTGATTCTATACCCTCCTCATCTGTACCACCTGTGATCTGAAAAACTTTGAAAAAGAATGCCAGAAACAAAGTTAGATTGATTATTCAATGTATATTATACAAGCAGATAAAGGAAGGCAAAGGGAGAAAAACTGCAGCTTTTATTATTTTGTGTGTGTGTTATTTTGTTATTAAGTGAAAGCAGCTACTTTGGTATTCAGGAGACGGGAATATCATTTGGGATCTAGGTGGCAAATGATAAATCTAGCCTTTCTCTCCTTTAAAGTATTTGCTAGTCTATGCCATTATTGATTATGTAAATCACTCCTTTGCATTGTGTATTTTAAACAGGTTTTTTTGCCTGACTTGTGTAAATCCTTAAACTGTTTTCTGCTAACTTCTGCTGATTGAATGGGGATCTTTCCAGCATCTACTACAATTTACCTGAAGTCTTGTAAGAACATTACCTGGGCCCAAATGAGAAGCCTCACTTCAGAGCCTGTTAAATTACTGCCACTGAAGGTGTTTCCAGTCACAGCCTGACATTGTCCTCTCTGCAGCTCCCAAGACCATCTTTCAAGCCCAGCCACCAGGCTGATCTGTAGCTCTCTCTTCCTAGTTTTCCATCTGACGCTCTACCTCAGTTTCTTGAACCAGCTTTTCCAGCCCAACATCTTCTGCCTATATACGTATTCTTGGGAAACCCCTGATTATGAAACATTCGAGTCAGAAGAACCCTTCCTGATCACCTCTTTCAAACTTCTTTTGGTAAAGGTGAGAAAATAAAGTTCAGACAGGGAATGGACTTGCCCATTCTTGCAGACTTGTGGGGAGCCAGGACTGAATCAAATGCAGGATTCGCCATGAGAACTTGGGAGAGTCACTCCACCTCTTAAGATACTTGCAGTCTGACCGACACGTACTGAAATAATTGAGAATCCCAATTTGTCTTGGCTTCACAATTCAGGGTTCACATAATTAGAGCCGGGTTCTGGAACCATTTTTGATTGCACGCCCTTTCTGTAAACATTTTTGAGCAGGCTCCTTCAATGTACTTGCATTCATTTATAAATCGCACACATGTGCTACCATCGCTGGTTCACCTTGGGAAGGGTAACATACATTTGGTGCAAGGTTTGATGAGTATTCATATTTCAAATAGCCTGCTTGATAATTTTGACTCTTTAAGTGAACTCTGCTAAGATTGTTGATCATTTTGAATCTCTTAGTTAACTTTTTGTTCAGTCTTATGAAAATAATCATTTCTAACCTCATAGCGAGGTTGAGGAAAGTATTTAATATTAGGAGTAGAAGAAGTATCAGCTCTGCCATTTTGTTTGCTTGTACTCGCACTATTAGTATTATCTTCCATTTGTATTTACCTTGCAAGAAACCTTTAAAGCCACTTTACCATTTTATGAGTAAGTTTGGTTAACACTAGATTTTATACAGATACACAGACAGACACGCATACAAACAATTATGATGTAATATACTATTACATCATAATACACAATAATACACAACAAACCAGTGTGGGTCCACTGTCCCTCTTTCTTTTTTTTCTTTTTCTTTTTTTTTTTTTTTTTGAGACAAAGTCTGACTCTGTTGTCCAGGCTGGAGTACAGTGGCGTGATCTCGGCTCACTGGAACCTCCACCTACTGGGTTCAAGCGATTCTTGTGCCTCAGCCTCCTGAGTAGCTGGGATTAAAGGTGTGCACCACCATGGCCCAGCTAATTTTTTGTATTTTTAGTAGAGACAGGGTTTTGCCATGTTGGCCAGGCTGGTCTTGAAACTCCTGGCCTCAAGTGACCCACCTGCCTTGGCCTCTCAAAGTGGTAGGATTACAGGCATGAGCCACTGTGCCCGTCCACTGTCCCTCTTTCTGTGGAGTAGATCTTGATCTCCCTCAGAATGCCTCATGTGCTGGTCCAGACATGTAACCAAGTAACACAGAGACCAAAGGAACAAATCGGTGAGAATCCAACATTCTATAGAAATAAACCAGTCTTGCTTTCTTATTTCTTAAGATAAAAGAAACACTGTATAGATAGAGCCCCTAAAATTTTCTTCCTGTTCTCATGGCCCACCTTCGGTATCTACCTTGGGACTATGATAGTGTGTATGTGACTTTTTTGTATACAAAATAAACTTGAATATGCTATTTATTATTATACCCCAAAGCCAACTTCTCATTGTGCTTCAATCTTTATAACTTATTTCAAAGCTCATCCTATATTTACCATGTATATTTTCCAATAGCCTTATGCCCAAACCAGTAAAACTTGATCTAGTCCCTTTTTTTATTTTTTTGAGACAGGGTCTTGCTCTGTCGCCCCAGCTGGAGTGCAGTGGCATGATCTTGGCTCACTGCAACCTCTACCTCCAGGGTTCAAGAGATTTTTCTGCCTCAGCCTCCCCAGTAGCTGGGGTTACAGGCTCCATAGTCTCCTTCAGATTGACAGGAGGGAGGAGTTTACCTTTTAAGTTACAGGGGTCTTCTGAGTGACTGAGTCCACGTTCCTCATGTACAGGTGAGGTCAGTGATATCTGAAGGTGGGGCATCCCTTCCATCACTCCTTGAGGAGGGGGTACCACCAGCTCCGCCATGGTGCCGTGACACCACCTGGGGCCATCTAACAGCAAGATGGCCCAGCACTTACTAGTGTCTTCAGGGACCTGAGGCTGTGCTTCCCGCAGAGCCCAGAAACCACTGTTCTGTGGCCTCCTAGCTAAGCATGGCTGTTGAGCTCCTTCAGACACCAAGGGAGCGTGAGCTCCCAGGCTGCAGAATCAATCTGTCAAGGCTGTGGGCAGCCTGGCTGCTCAATGCTGATGCTTCAGGCTGAGTCCTCTCCCATAGGAATCTTCTGGAATATTTTCTGCTGGCTGATAAAAGTGTACACAAGACCAGAGCCCTTGACTTGTCCACCATACTATGCTTCCAGGGAACTGAGCCCATCGACTATGGTGAGGGAGAAGCAGGACTGAGACAGTCTGGCCAGCAGGGAGCAAGGCCCTTGTCCCAGCTAAGTGGGTTGGTCATGTCTGGGGACATGGCTCAGAAATACCGTCGTTGTGCCTGGGGACATGGGATATGTGGTGCATGTTCAGATAGGCTGTTTTCTATGCTGTGTGGCCAGAAGCTTGTTTCAAAGAAGACTTTTCAGGTGATGGTTTGTGCTGTTAGAAAAATACAAGGCAGCTCTGCTAAAATGTGACTCTAGCCACAGTCTCTCAGCAGACAAGTTCATTTCATGACCATGTGTCTCGCCTTCTGTCAGGGACAGGGCAGGTCCTGCTTCACCAGGAAAGGGGAAACCAGAATGAACCATGATCAGACCCACTTCATGGGGAAGGGGCTGATGCCAGGCAGAAACGCAGCTAAGGGAGTCTGCACAAAGTTCAGCTCAATAGGCTGGAGCTGAGGTGCACAGCAATACACAGCTGGCCTGTAATGGAAATAATAATTCAAAGGATGAGGGAGGAGGGGCTGACAGGAAGACAGCCATGGTGAAGGGGCTCCCAGAGGCATCTGGATGTGGACGTCCCGTGTGTCACTAGGTTATCATGCCCAGGTACAGCAGGGATGGAGCTCCAGACCCAGATGTGGCAGGGATGGGAGCCTGTCAAAAGAGGGCAAGGTTTGAGTCCTTTGGTGCCAGGGCACTAGGCTGCTGAAGTCAGACACAGAAAGTGGGGCCAGGATTCAGGGACAAGGCAGAAAGCCATTTGGCACAGCTGGCAAGTCATGGGTCAGACAGACAACAGTAGGAAGGATGTGAGGTTGAGCAGCTGGGGCTGCTCTAAGTCCTTCTTCTCAGATTGGGATTGGTCCTAGAGGCCTGCAGCGTTAGACCCACAGGGTGGACTCACATGGCCCCCACTGTGGTGGGAGGAGGAGATCCAGGCAGGGGAGGCACGAGGGGCTGGATCTCTCCCCTCTAGCAAAATGCCACACAGAGGCCGCATCCCTCCCTGTCAAGCCCCTCACTGTGGGATTTGCTTGGAGCAAACTCTTAATGCCTCTGAGATCTAATTGGAGGGCCAGTTAGACTACATGCAGAGGTGTCTGCAAGGCCTGATCCTATATTCTCTATTGAGGGCAATATTAGTAATGTGAAACATGGCTCTCTAAATATTTTAACTTCTTATTGCTTAAAATTTCTCAGTGTTGGATAAAAATGCAGAAAGTCTTTGATTTACAAACAGCAGAATTACAGTTTATAGTTTGAGATATACGAACCTTCACTTGGGACTCCAGGTTCTCTGGGACTCAGGCCTGGCTACTAACTTGCTGAGCCAGGGGCTCTCTCTGGCCTTGGAGATTCCTCTTCCAGCACAGAGGGCTGATGGTCTGGAAGGTCCATTCACCCCTGCCATCCTAAGGTGCTAGGACATTTGCCCCAATTACACAACTACACCGATGCTTCAGGTTAAGATTCTCATTTTTCTCCCAGTTCTCAGTAGTGACGCTAAAACCTGTATGTATACTAATGCTATAGCTAATGCTAATATTAACATTACTGCTATTTAGTGACAGTGGCCACTATCACTTAAATGAATGCTTACTGCCCTAATACCTAAGTGTTTTACATGTGCTAACTTAATCCCCACAAAATCCCCATGAGATATGGATTATTATTTTCATAGTGTAGAGGAGGGAAGTGAGGCACAGAAAGATTAAGAGACTTGTCTAAGGTCACACAGCTAGCAAACAGTGAGGCTGAGAGTCCAACCTCTGAGGTCAGTGCTCTTCAGCATGAAGCCTTACTGCACATGGGTTTTTTATGATGTAGTAGAATATTGGAGAGAAAGTCAGGGCCAGGTGGGGTGCTAGGGTTGTAGTGGCACCACACTGTATGGATTTCTGAACTGAAGATGCTGAGCAGGGAACATAAAGGACTCAGCGGAGAAGAAGACAGGCTCAGTACATGGGCTCTAGAGCCAACTGGGCGTGGCTTCCAATGTTGGCTCTGCTATTACAAGCCCTATGACCATGGCCCAGATTACTTAAATTCTCAGTAGCTCAGTTTTCATTGCTTAAAACAAGGGTGATAAAGTCCCTATATCATAGGGTCTGCCAGAGATTTAAAGGTGTTACTACCTATAAAACATTCCAAATAGAATATCCTTGGTAAATGTTAGGTGTTAGTACTGAACGCATGCTATGAGCCAGACATCGGGCTTCTGGGTATTTTATCTCATTTAATCTTCCAAACAACCTGGCAGGGTGGAATTAGTGACCCCACATCAGAGGGGAGGAAGTTGAGTCTCACCAGCCCAAGGTCCCATGTTCTCACTTTCCCAAGGACTTGAATCCAGGCTCTCTCCCTCTAACCCAAGCTGTTCCCGCTGCACCACAGCATCCTCTGCTAATGCTTTCTGTGATGGACAACTAGGAACAAGCTCAAGCTACAAAGCAAACAGAGATCGTAATTCATTTTTGAAATCAATAAAGGGATGATCAAGTGGCAGAGGAGGAGTTGTTAGCTGCTCATCAGGATGATGTGAGAAGTCGTTGCCTGCATCCTGAATTGAATCACCTAGTTGCTTTATCATCATAAACATTCATTTCAACGCGGGGAGGGATTTTTAAAAAACCAACATGAATAATATATAATGGCTGACATTTTGGAGGAAGCAGGATCTTTGCCTTCTTCTATCTTCCATCAGGTAATTTATCATTGTCTTTCTTTCCTTTTTTTTTTTTTTTAAACTGATGGGGTACCCTGTCAGCTCAGCTTGTTCTGAAAATGCAGGAGTATAATTCAATAATAAATTTGCTCAGAGGCCAGCTGTCAGGAAGTTGGTGTTTATTTGAAGTCCATTAGATGATCTCTGCTGCTCGCCCTCTTGAGGGCTTCCTGAAGGCTGTCTAAAGCCTGGGTGGAGGTGTGGGGTGGGGAGCAAATGCTCTTCTGAAACTGCTATGCCACTGACGCTTGCATATGGCTTTAGGTTCACAGTGGGCTGATAAAAAATCACATTGCATACATGGTCATTTCTCTTTTCCATCATTTTTCACTCTTGAAAACTCTTGCTTTTAAAATTCCTGGAAGCTTTGTGCCTTTCTATAGGGTGTGAATGGAATTCTAAGACTTAGGTGGAATCAAGGTTATTTCACTCCTGTTTAGAGCCAGTTTTAGGTCCTGATTGAGATGAAATGCTGGAACTTGGTTAGTGAACGGGTGAGGGTCAGATCTTTCTCAGTTCCTGCCCCTAACCCACTTTTCTGGCCTCATAGTTCCCTATGTTCCTCTTTCTCCCACATGCCCCCTTTGCTCACCATGCTCATATACCACAGATTTCCTAAGCCCATCTTGATTTCAAATGTCAGAGCACGTCTTCTGACCTTTGATGTGGAAAATAATGTCACCATAATTATCCTCCAGACACATTAAAATTTTCTCCATTCTCTGATTGTCCTGGAAAGTTATGCTGTTGCTCACACTGGTTCTGCAGTATAGAATGCTTTCTACAATCCTGTTCAACTGAAACCCACAGTAAGCAATACAGCTTATCCAGTAGTTCATGCATACACATACACATGTAACTGAAATAAGTTTCATGAAATACATATTCTTTTTACAGTGATGCACTGATATTTTCTATTTCCTTCTACTCCATTCCAGTTAAATTTACTTCTCTTTTTGAAAAGAATAGTTTCGACCTGCTGAATTGATTTCATAAGGTACTAATGGGTTTGTTGTGACCTGCAATTTGATAAATGATGCTCTAATGGCCAAGTCTCCCGACTGAAATTTTTGTCTCAGGCTGAAGGCCATCTCCTGCCAGAAGTCTTCATTTGTTCATTTGTTTTCAACAGCAAACTTTTAATATTGTCTACTCTAAGCCCGCCCTGTGTTACATGCTGGAGAAGCAAAGCTGTAGGAGAGGCAGCTCTCATGGTGTAGGCTCAGGGGGCAGACGTGCAGTGAGAGTGATGGTCTTGCCTTTGAGCTCACAGAGCACTTTTGTCTCTACTTCTCTTCAGGCACTCAGCAGGGACTGGCTAATTCATTGATTTATTCTATCATTCACTGTGGTTCACTCTGTGCCAATTCCTTTGGGTTCAATGACAAACAAGGCATGGGACCCACAAAGAGCCCCCAAAGTAATGGGGTGAGATATCTTCTTATTCCACACCTAGTACAGAGTAGGTGCTGGTCAATATTTACCAAATGAGGCTTGTGTGTGTGTGTGTGTGTGTGTGTGTGTGTCTGTGTGTCTGTGTTTTGAGACAGGGTCTGGCTCTGTCACCCAGGCTGGAGTGCAATGGAGTGATCTCTGCTCTCTGCAACCTCTGCCTCCTGGGTTCAAGTGATTCTCCCACCTCAGCTTCCTGAGTAGCATGGACCACAGGCGTGCACCACCACACCTGGCTAATTTTTTGTATTTTTCATAGAGACGGGGTTTTGCCACATTGCCCAGGCTGGTCTTGAACTTCTGAACTCAAGCGATCCATCTGCCTCGGCCTCCCAAAATGCTGGGATTACAGGCGTGAGCCAGCATGCTTGGGCAGCTTGTGTGTTTTTCTCTGCTCTGTCCCTCGCTAAGCCTGCCCAGTCTCTCCTCCTCATAGGCTCTGACCCTCTGTATAGGATACGATTCTCTGCCTCCTTTGGGGTAAATTCTCTGGTCACCCATCCTTCCTTTTGCTAAAGTCCCCTGACTTCTTGAGCCTTTTCTCTTGGGGCTCAGTGTCTCCTGTCAGCTGAGTCTTGTAGCTCCCTGTCCACGACCATCTATTGCCTGATGGAGCCAATAACCTATTAGAATTAGAGGAACCCAGCAAGATTTGCCATCACATGATTTCTCAAATTCCCTTCCTCAAATAATGATTCAACAATCTAAACCTGCCTCCTCTCTGGGTGGTTGTAATACTGTGTCCTCAAACCTATTCTGAATCTATATTTGAATAACCTGGGGGTGGTTCGTCAGAACCTCTTCCTGTAACTTGCTAACCTGTCCAGCATCGGCAACCTGTAACTATTCACTGAGGGGATATCTGACCCACATCCAGCCCTTTCAGTCAGAGGAGTCCTCCCCAAGAGCACAGATGCACCCAACAACGGGAAACAGCTCTGGCTCGAGTGCTTGCCCAGGAGATGTCTCACGTTGCCCTCCCTTTCCCAGCTCTCTGATCCCAAACCCCACAGTGTGTGTCCTGGACTCTTTGTATTGACAGTGCAGTTGGAGGTCCTGCAGACCTCAGAGCTCCTCCTCTCCTAAGTGTCAATAGTGGACACCCTTCACTGTATTCTCCCCATGACTCCATGGGAGGGACAAGTATTCCACTAGGCAGATGGGACCCGGGCATCCAGGCCAGGAGAGAATGGTGGTATTCAAACCACTTAATCTGGTGACAGTGGTTCCCATGCCTACTCTGTCCCCTCCTACTTTAGGTCATCTCTGTCACTCTCCATCACAGCTCTGTCACTTTCTGTGGGTTTGAGGACAGCAGTGGCAGGATGTCAGATAGAGCTACTGTATTCATTAAACCTGCATTAAACACCTGCTCTGGACCCAGCACTGTGCGGGGCCCTGGGGACACAGATGAACCAGAGAGGGCCCCTCAGGGAGGCCTTCATCACTCCAGGAGATGGGGTCTGGCCTCTGAGGAAGTGAGTCTTGGGGAGAGCCCTGGGTGCTGGGGACTGGCTTGCTTGCTTTCACACCCAAGGTAGGCCAGTTGGCTCCAAGCCCTGGGCTTGAATTCCCCTCCCTCCTCTGGTCCCAGCAGCTGAGGTCCCAGTGTGCCTCATACTTGAGGCTCCCTGAGGCTGACCCAGCTGGGAATCTGCAGAGAGAAGGAGCTCCACTCTGAGGCCTGCCTTTCCTTGCTGGTCTCAGAAATGCTGTTGGGTTCTGGGTGACAACCTGCTTCCTGGAGGCTGTTAAATGAAATCTCAAACTACAAATTGTGGCACAGCACATGGGGTGCAGGAGAATATGGGGTTTTGTTGGTTGGACACAGGCCTAATTGTCATACACAGGCACCAAGTCAGGTCTGCCTCCCCATCAGAAATTCCACTCTCTGGAGAAACGCCACTGGGCTCCACTCTAACAAGGATCCCAACTGACAGCTGGCTGGCAAGAATGCAGCCTTTTCTCCCTTCCTCAAATAATGATTCAACAGCCTAAACCTGCCTCCTCTCTGGGTGGTCGCTGGACCTGGAGGGCAGGTTCCTCTCAAGTTTTACTTTCCATTAAGGAAGTGGATTTGGAAACTCTTTTTAATTAACATCATCATCACCGCCATGTAATTAGCAAGCAAGTTTTTGTGTGGCAGGTACTAGGTTGAGACTTTATGTACTTTTTGTTCCCATTTAATTCTCATAGCAATCCCTAGACACATAGACGTTAACACCCTAATCTTACAGATGAGCAAGTTGGAGCTCATATAAGTGAACAATTTAGGAATTTTCCTAAGGTTACAAAACTGGAAAGTGGATGCAACAGCCTTTTAATCTTGGTCTGTCAGATTCCCAGGCTTGTGCTATTTTCACTATGATATGCGGCTGCTACAAAAGCCACCATTTACTGATCACCTAATATGTACCAAGCCCTGGGCCAGGTGCTTTATTTTAGTTTATCCTTTCAACAGCTTTCATGAAAGAGTACCATTATTGCCAATTTATAACTAGAGCCACCTACACAAAGGTTAAATCATTTCCCTGAGGTCACACACAGCTAGTGGGAGGTAAAGCCAGGATTGTAACTCTGGGCACTTGCTATTATACCAAACTCCCTCATATGAGAGGACAGAAAGCAACTACTTAAACTGGGTAGTTGATTTCACTTTATCCCAGCTGTGCAAATAAGCACTGTCCTACTGGTCCAGACCAAGATCATCGAATACCAAGTAGTTAGTCTAATGAGAAAAGCATCTGCTGCCTCATGTTTCTACATTTCTAGTCACTTGGGCATATTTTACACAGGAATCTGTTTGGGGGTCCTTCCTGATAGCTGTTTCTTCTGAATCTAGATCAGTGAAGAGCTGGTACATAATGATTCTGGCAAATGTTAGGTAAAAGGAATTTTTACAGTAACTTTTTTTTTTTTTTTAAAGAGACAGTAACATTTTGGAAGCTTCCATTATCTATTCATTTGTAGAGCAAATACTATATCCCTGGCCCTGGCCAAAGTATTACAGGTTTGGAGAGATGAATGGTCTCTGTTTTCAAAGTGTATATAACCAACTGAAGGTGACAGATATATAAACAATGATCTGCAAAGTTGACTTCTTCTGCTTCTGTGACTAATCTGCAATGTGATTTTTAGCAGGTGATTTAACTTCTCTGGACTCTGAATCCTCAGTATAAAATTAGGTAAAATAGATAATATGTCCATCCTTCCTCCCTCCCTCAGTTCTTCCATTTCTTTATTCTTCAAGGCAATTTATATGTATATGTTTTCAGCAACTACTAAGTGCTAAAATGTGTAAGATGAAGTGTTTCCCTGGAGGACTTGGTTTACAGGGGTTGACAGACATTTACAGGATGCACTCTATTAAGCTGCTTGTCCAGAGCTATGTATCTAGAGCGGCAGAGCCAGGATCTGAAGACCAAGCTGGCCTCTCTCTGAGGCCTGTGTCTTCCCTACTGCTGAGGGGTCCATTTTCCCCAGCACAGGCTTCTCAAACTCCATACTTGGCTGGCTCCTTGAGGCCAGTCAGACTTGCTGGAGCAACAATACCGAGACCTGTGTGCAGGTCCCACAGTGGCTCATGGCGCTTAAGCAGCAGGCTCAGGAAGTGACCAGGAGGACATACAGGAGACGTGTCCCTGCTGGCATTGATCAGGCTGGCATGGCAAGGGCATCCAGTAAGCAGAACAGCCATAGGCAGCCAACAAGCCATGGCCCTAATTGGATCCAATAATGGGCCCCGTAAAGAATGACTGAGCAAGTGACAATTTCCTTGGTAGGAATATTAGCTATATCTCTAGTGGATTAAAAAAACTCACACTGTGGGAAGGCCTACAAGCATACATACAAAATCACACAACTGAAGAAAATAGCAGGAAGCTTCCCACCCAGAGACAGAAGCAGCATTTCTGGCCAAGATAAATGAATAGGTTTTCTCCTCACTCCGGCTCTGCCACTTGACTAGCCTTGTGAATTTGGGAAAGTTACTTAACCTCTCAGCTTCTCAGTACTCCGGGGGTAAGTTGGAGGGTTCGGACCATCAAGTAGCTTCACCTCTAGAAAGGTGGAGGTTTGAATTCTGCCACGCACTTGCTGGGCTTCCTTCATCTCACCTTTCTCATCTCGTCACGACTCCTTGCAAGGATGGGCTAGGGTGGTGGAAAGTGCAGGGGCTCCTTCCCGAGTCTGACAGACCTGCATGTCTGCATCCCGCTCCGTCATGTTCCAGCAGTGAGGACTTCTCTTTGGCTTCCCTTGTCACCCTCTGGGGATGACAGCAGCTGCCTCACAGGGAGGCTCCCCATGGCTTCTTCTTCAGTCCCTGCTCTTTTCTCATTACATATTCCCCTTGAGCAAGGTTTTTTTTTCTCCCTGAGATGGGGTCTTGCTCTGTCACCCAGGCTGGAGTGCAGTGGGACGGTCTTGGCTCACTGCAGCCTCAACCTTCTGGGCTCAAGTGATCCTCCCACCTCAGCCTCCTGAGTAGCTGGGAGTATAGGTACCTGCCACCACACCCAACTAATTTTTGTTTTGTTTTTTTGGAGAGATGGGGTTTTGCCATGTTGACCAGGCTGGTCTCGAACTCCCGGGCTCAAGTGATCTGCCCGCCTGAGCCTCCCAGGGTGTTGGGATTACAGGCATGAGCCACTGCGCCCAGCCTCCTCGGGCAACCTTTTGTGTGCTCATGGTTTCAACTGCTTGTTCATTGATGGCTCCCAAATCAAGAACTCTAAGCCCTAACTCTAAATGAGCTCCAGAATTACTAACTGCAGATAGACATTTACTCGTGGGTGGCCTACTGTGGTGTGTCCCTTTATCACCTTGCTCCCACCCTGCTCCTGCTCTCTGCTCCTCAGCCTGGTGAAAATACCACCATTTACCCAGGCATTCAAGCGGGAGACTCCTCTCTGCAGCATCCCGCAGACACAATCAGTTACCAAGTCCTGCTGATTTCCCCTTTAAATAGAGCTTGAAAATGTCCCTTACCCTTCCTACCCCCATCACTACCCCATTGTTCCCTCAGGACAGGGACCCTCTGGCACAGAAAAATGAACATACGAGGTGCACGGTGACTGCTGAATTAACCACACTGACTTTTAGAGAAAGTTCTGCACATATGAGGCACCACTACGTTGGAAGACATTCAAAAGAAATGATTATAAATCCCTGCTCTTGGATATGCTGTTCACTGCCCTGATCTAGGGTGCAGAGATTAGAGAGCTATTTTGTGTCTCTGGGTCTTTGCATGAGCTCTTCCTTCTCCCTGGCACACTCTCTCCCTTCCTTGCCTAGTTAACCGTCTCTCCTCTTTAAGACTTGATTCTAAAGCCCTGGCCTCCCTCCTACCCAGGAGTACATCCTCTGTGCTCCACAGTACCCTGGGGACAAAGTTCTGGCCTAATCACACTGTAACTGTCCCTTTTTTGTCTTCCTAGTGGACTGGGAGTGACCAACAATCAGGAACTGTGTTCTGCTCAACTCTGCAATCCCAGCAAAGGACCTGCCACAGACCTCCGTATAAAATTGTCCAATGGATGACACAACTGAAAACAGGGAGATTGTATGGGTATGTGGCCTGGGATGGCAGCAGATGTACCCACCCCCTGCCTAGCAAAGTCTTCTGGATGTCTGCTTTGAGGGTGAGCAGCATCAATGCCTTTCAGTTCATCTGGAGACCACAGGATCAGTAAGAGCTGACTGCAAAGTGGGTATTGATCCAAGATTCCCCTTGGACCTTTGGTTTCTCACTGTCTTCATCTGTCACCCAGTGGGAGCAACAAAACTTTGCTCATAAAAATTCCAAACTCCTTGGAGAGTAGTTTTATAAATGTAGGTACCTGAGGCTGCTTCTCTGCCTCCCCCGACATTCCATCAGGAACCATGGATGCTCTCACGTTCCTGGCTTCCTCCCACCCCCATTCATCCAAAAGAGGCTCTAGAGTGATTCAGTTCTCCCTCAGAGAGCCCTGGCTGGAGCTGGGGCCCTCGGACTCACCCTCCATCAAAGGGGTTCTCCCCGGGGATTATGTGCGTGCTGTCCCTGCCCACGAGGAACTTGATGCGGTCATAGAAGGAGTGTAGGTTCTGCTGTGACACAGGGACCTGTGTCTCCTGGATGATGTCCAGAGGGTTAGGGGAGCCAAGGCACAGCGGGTTGATATGGCACAGGGGCTGGAGGCAGCAGTCAGGGTCCATGCAGTCCACCAGGCCATCTGCAGGAGTGACAGAGCATGTGGTTTATATTGCTATGTTCAATCAGCCATGTTTATCCAGAATGCCTTAATTCATTTCTTCTCTATTTTTCACTCATTCAAAAACTTTATTAAATGCTGATATAAGCCAAAGTCTTTGCTGGGCACCAAACAGATGCAAGTGACTCAGATGTGGTCCTAGCTCACTAGTCTAGAAGGAGAGATAGACAGTAAGTGTACAGTGTCTGTACTGTATGTTTTTCCTTCCATCGAGAATAGAAGAGATTGTATGTATGAAGACCCAGAAGTGAGATAACACATGAACATTTGTGATGCTATATTCAAATGCTGATGGCCAGAAGGTGAGTGGAAGAGCACCATGTGAGGCTGCTGAGGTTGACAGGGGCACACCAGGCTGGGCCTTGCAGGCCAAGTTAGGGAGTTTGAATTTCACCCTCAGAACAATGGGAATCACCGAAGGCTTTTAAGCAGGAGGTGACTTCATCTGGTGTGCACTCCTGAAACCAAAGGGGGCCTCAGTGGGAGCTGGGAGCCAGACAGGAGAAGAGGGCATCGCTGAGGTTGCACAGGTGAAAAATAAAGGTTGCTTAGACTGCAGTAGTAACAGTGGCAATTAAGAGAAGTAGATGGTATTGAGAGACATTTAGGAGGTAAAACTGTAAGCCCTGGTGACTGCCTGGCTTTGGGAGTGAAGGCACAGCAATTCTCAGCGTCTCTCCCAGCCTCAGTGTAAGCGTGTGGCCTGCGGCTGAATCCTCGGTCCTCTGGAGGCCTGCTCTGCTTTCTGTGAGAGGAGGCTGCAGGGATATTTGTGCTTTTTGAGTTTGCTGGATGGTTTCAGATCCCTGACAGAGTTTCCATTAGCAGGGAATTCTCTTTACCACATGGATGGGCTTCTTCAGGACTGGAACTTGTATTACAGCTCTACTATCTTCCCAAAGTACAAAGAAAGTCCACCAGATCACAGATTTTTGGCCTCATTATATCAAAGTACTTTTACAGGCACCTAATATTAATAGACCAGCTTAAAATACATAACAAAGAGATAAGCAGGTAGTGTCCAAAGTGGTGGACAGGAAAAGCCCAGGGGTACAGTCTATGTGCTTTGTCGGCAGACAACAGTCTAACGACATGTATTCCTGCCTGGGTTCAAATTCTGGCTCTGCTGCGTCTCAGCTGTGTGACTTTGGGAAACTTCCTCACCACCGTGGGAGCGCACAGATCTGTTCTGTGTTCCAGCACTTAGTGGAAGTGCTTAAAACATAACTGCTATACAAATAAATGAATGGGAATTGAATGAATTAAATAGTGAAGCAGGGGTTGTGACAAATGCCAGTCCATAAAAGCCAGAAAACTGTAACTTCATCCCATTGAGGTAAGCAGTGTGCTATGGTAGGAGGACCATGATGTTCAGAGACTAAAGTTCAAGACCAAGTATGGCCCCCAACAGTGACCCTGGACAAGTTCCTGTACTTAGTCTCTCTGAGCCACATTTCATAAATAATGTGGGAGTAACAGTGATATACCTACTTCTCTAGTTTTCTCCATGGAGTTTACAATACAGAAGCTGCCCACCAAAGTACTGCAAATGCATTGGTTAGACTTGGTGTCCCCGATCCTCCTTGCTAGTGGTGTGGCCTCAGGTAAGCTACTTGATTGTCCTAAAACCTAGTTTTTTCCTTAATAAATTAGTAACAAAAAGCCTTTCTGTTTCTCTCCCATTTCTGCATGGTGCCCAGAAGCTTATAGTCTCCTTGAAGGCAGATAGTGATAAAGAGTATGGATTCCAGAGATAGACTGTCTGGGGTCAAATCCTGGCACTGAAACTTACTAGTGTGTGACTTTGGGCAAGTTACTTAAACTCTCTGGCCTCAGTTCCCCATATCTCTTAAAGGGGGATCATAAGAGTAAGTGTCAAACAAGTATTTGTTATATAGATAAAAAGTGCAGCATTATGTCCCCAAATCTAGCATAGTATCTGACACATGGTATCATAGTGCTTAATTCTGGGTTAGTTTCCCTTCCTCATCCTGAACTTAGAACATGGCTCACCAACATGAAGAGCCATTCATCCTTTCTCTGCTCACCTGCTAGATTCACTCTGAGATACGGAAGGAATGCCTCCCCTCACCCCAGCATTGACCTGCATCCTAACTTGTGGCTCCTGTCCCAGCTCCCAGATACAACTGCCTAGCAAAGCACCTGTCTTCTCCAGCAGTCGGCAGCCTCCATCACACATTCTCATGCTGCCCCTGTCAGACATTGCTTAAACACATAATTACAGCCCGAGCTGAGGGTTATTTGCATTCTGCTATTGATGTTAGCATGACAGATTCAGCTGTTGCATCCATAACTCTGCAGAAATGCTCCATTATTCAATCCCAGTGAGCAGGGACATTGACCATTAAATCAGCTAGCACAATTGAAGGGCCGTGAAAAGTCATGGCTAATTTGAAATTTTATTAGCTCTTTCCTGGTCTTGTTTACCACCAAAGCAGTCCCTGGAAGCCTGTGTTTTACCCTTTTATAAACATTCAGCTCTGTGGCACCTGGAAAGAGCTGCTTCCTGTGAGAAGGGATGTCTGCTCTCTAGTCCTGGGGGAAGGTTAGCCAGGAATGATAGCTGTTCTTATTAATATCTATATTACAGTGATGGCGATGATGATGATGAATTGCCACATTTATTGAGTGCCAGGCATTCTGCTAAATATATTACAAGGAATGCATCATTGAATCCTCTATGAAGTAGCCACTGTTGTCACTCTCATTTTAGAGAAAAGGAACCAGAGGCTCAAAGTGGTAAAGCAACTTGGTAAAGGTCATGTAGTCAGTGAAGAAGCTGACTCGGAATCTGAACTCAGTTCTTTCTGAGGCATATAATGTTCTTTAAGCTCTGGAGAGACTTTTAGGAACTATTTCTTAAGCAGAGAACATGAATTTCTGAATCTTAGTGAAACACTACTCTTCTGTGCCTCTTCCAGCCTCTTGGACAACTTCCATCACAGTACGTCTCTTTCCAATATTGTAATTTTGATTTTCTCTCCGTCCCCTGACCCCCATACTCTGCAACCCAAACGATGACCTCCTAGAGATCAGGGGTTGTCTGATTCATTTCATTATCCCAGGGCCCAGACCTGGGCAGGAACAGTGACTGTACTCCACAGAGGTTTGAGGGATGAATAAATGACTGACCCAGGTCAGGCCTGTCCCACTAATCCAGCATCCACGTCACAGGACAACAGAGGTCGACGGAGCCTTTTATTCTGTGATCGGTGGCCATATGGTGCTTAAGAGAGCCCTCTCTCCAGGCAAACTACCTGGATTTGGACCCCAGTTCCCAATTCTCATGCAAACTGTGTGACTTGGTCCAAGTTGCTTAACTTCTCTAAACCTCAGTTTCTTCATATGCACAATAGGGGAGAAAAAGAAGGATGGTTAATTCCTTAGACTCACCAATCTGTCTCTACAGCCAAGCGTGAAGCACAAAACTTCCCTTGGATGTCTTGTGACAATGAGACAAACATTTTCTAGAGAGGAACTTTTAGACTGAGACTCTGACTGCAAGCATGGGACCCAGCATGTATGCCTGCTCCACATAGGAACTGATAGGCCACACCATGGCCGTTTAATTAGTATTTGTGTCTCTCATTAGTTCTGCAAAGTTTGGTTTTGAGCTCTTTGAATATCCTCCTCTCCCTTTCTCTCTAGTCTTCAGGAAATTAACTACTAAATGCTTAGAGGATCTTCTAGCTTTCATGTCACTCAACCTCTTCCTTAATTTCCATCTTTTTATCCGCGTTCTATCCTGATTTGTTTCTTCAAATCTCTATTCTACTTCACTTATTTTCCCATCATTTGTGTCTGGTCTGCTGTTTAATTTGTTCTTCGGGTCATAAATTATCTTACTTTAAAATTTCTGAATAGGCTATTTGGAATTTTTCAAAATCCACCTGTTTCTTTCTTGATATTGTCTTGTTCTATGGTTTTTATATATCGTTTTCTCTCTTTAGTCATTTAAAAGTGTATTCATTTTATAGCCTTTTTCAGACTGTTAAGTTCTCGGGAGTGGTCATCCTTCTGCATGTTGTAGTTGTTGATTCTAGCTCATGGTCAATCATTTCCTACGTGTTCTATGATTCTGTTAATTCTCGGAAGGCTTGCCTTCCTATGGGAATCTTGTATGGTTGAACTAACCCTCCAGGGTGGTTTTCTTTTTTTTCTTTTTCTTTTTTTTTTGAGACGTTGTCTCGCTCTGTTGCCCAGGCTGGAGTGCAGTGGCGTGATCTCGGCTCACTGCAAGCTCCGCCTCCCGGGTTCCCACCATTCTCCTGCCTCAGCCTCCCGTGTAGCTGGGACTACAGGCACCTGCCACCACACCCAGCTAATTTATTGTATTTTTAGTAGAGACAGGGTTTCACCGTGTTAGCCAGGATGGTCTCGATCTCCTGACCTCGTGATCCACCTGCCTCGGCCTCCCAAAGTGCTGGGATTACAGGCGTGAGCCACTGTGCCTGGCCCAGGGTGGTTTTCTGATTACGTCAGCTGGCCACCTCAAGGGTACCATTTGTCTGGGACCACTTTTCAGGTTGATTTCTTAGGTTGGGGTTCTAGGACTGCTCTAGTATGTGAGTTTAGATTTCAAGGTCTTTTGAGGTATAGGCTTGGTCTCTTAGCACACCCCCCCAGCCCCGACAAGCCATGGCAGAGAAATGCCTCCATGTCATCCTTCTGGTCTAGTAGGCACTGTTTTTTTTAGTCCTTTTCTCACATGACTTGCAGCCTTTGAGGATCCCAGCTTTATGCAGGGCCTCAGTTCCAACCTCCCACTGTGGATGTGCCCTGTCTGCTGACTCTGAAATTATTCTGTTCTGAGTCTCCCTGGCGCTGATGATCCTGCACGTCTCCCAGGCCTGCTGTAGCTTGGGCTCCTGTGCCCACTGCTCTGGCCCATCAGCTTCATCTTGTTTCTAGAATCCAGGGCTCCCTTGTCTCCCTTTTCTTCTTTGCTCAATTTTATACACGAACAGTTGTACCCTGTCATCAGAGAATCTCTGTATGACCTAGTTGGCCATTTTGCTGAAAATAAGAGTTCCAGCAAGAGCTCTGAGCCTCAGTTCTCTGATCTGTAAAATGAATCATCAAACTTACTTCATAGAGTTGCTGTGAGGATGAGGCGAGATCATGGATGTGAGGCACTTAGCACGATAACTAGCAACTAAGCAAGTACTTGGCAAATGGTAGTTACTTAAATTAGCTCCTGCCCAGGAGCCTCCCTTGAACCACATTCTGGTAACAGGCCCTATACTGGCCCCTCCCTACACGCACATTACATGACAACCCTTTCTGGATAATGCAGTTTGGCCTTAGAGAACTGAAGTGGATAAACATGGTCATAGCAATGCACTGTAAATTAGGGTAGTAGAGGCCTCTGGGGATTTGCAGATTGGGGTCCTCTGCAATGGAAATATCACAAACTGTGCTCTTATGAGAGGCTCTGGCACTGTGGAATGTCTTACTCCATGCTTCCCAGGTGGGAGTGATTAATGCCTATACCTTCCTGTGGTGATGCTTCCTAATCATTTATTTAACAAATATTTGCTGAGTAGTAACTGCGGACAAAACTTCCACCAATGGAGGCAATCCTGTATAAATGAGACACACAAATGAGTAGGGCTTACAGCATTCTTTTCAAAGGCTGCAGTTTACAAGACCAGCTTCTGAGTAAAACCCTCTTTTTATTTTCAAATGTAGCATATGGTGGCCTGAAACAGTGCATATGGCTGTTCTACAGTGAGGGGGAATGGCTCCCAATTTAATTTTCTTAGGCATAGATGACAAATTTTAGAAGATTCTCATTAAAAGGAAAAAAAAGCGTGCTGTAGGGACAGAAATGTAATTTTTGGGATAGACTAGAAACATATTAATACACAGTTTGGGGGATTCTCTGGTTTTTGGGTGGCTTGGAAACATTTATAGTTTCCAAATACTTCATATCTCACTTAATTATATATCATACGTAAGTTGGTTGACTTATAAATTCTCTGTGTTTTGTATATTTGCTATCCCCATTCAGAGACCCTCATTATCACAGCAGAAAAAGAAATCAGGAAAGCAGAGGGTTTGCTTCTATGTCCTTCAAATTTTCTGTAAAACCCTCCTAAACCCCAGCTTTTGGGAAATAACTTTTTTCCCGGAAATTTCATTTTTCCTCATAGTTCTAAACACACACCCCCTTTTACATGGTGACAGTGAAAAGAGGCAGAAGAAAATGTCAAAAAGGCCAGGCAGGCCCTGGACGCTAGGGATGCAGCCATGCTGCACTCGAGTGGCCCCTGATGGGGAGTGGAGGGCAAAGAAAAGGGGGAAAAAAAGAAGGGGGGCCAGCATCTGGGGGCACTCAATGAAACAATCCAAAGTGGTTCACATATTCCTGACCCTTGAACTTGAAGCTCTGTGGTGCTCACATGCTGCTGGTGCATGGAGGGCTGGCTTCTGCTAACGTTTTCATCTATGTGCTCTGGCTGGAGGATGAAGGCCCTGCCATACTCTCACTGAGATCCCTCTTTGATGCCTGCCTTGCAGGTAGTTGTCAAATGACCCGGAGAACGAGGGAAAGGGGTGTGTGGGAGAAAGAAATCCAAGCTAGATGCCTGAAGACCTAGCCTCTCCCCTGTATCTGCCCCTCTCTGGCCATGAGACCTTGGGCACACCCTTCCTATGCCCGAGACGCAATTTGCTCCTGTGAAACCAGGATACTAGGCTCTGCCAACCTCTCAGGATTGCTGAAGGGCTCCAGAGTCTAAAAGAGTGAACGAGTAAGTCAACAAAAGAAATTTGAGTGTCTTTCCCATGCTGGTAGCTGTTCTCTGGAGCTCCCTCTGGAGACAGGGGCTGGGCTCAGACATAGGCCAAGTGAACAATTGCAGTCCTGACTAGAAGTGGCTTCCTGTTTGTTGTGTGACCTTAATGGTGGCCAGTGACTGGTGGGCCCTTGGGCCCCTCATTTCCCTTTCTTGTGTCTGCGTCCTTATCAGGGAGGCCAAGAGTACATGGGGCAGTCTCAAGGCTGTGGGCCTGTCTGATGGCCACCTCCTGGCCTTTACACACCAGAGACCCATTTTCCCTGGTGGCCAGCTTGCTGTGACTTTCACAGGAAGTAAAAGGTATGCAGGAGCGTGCTATTAAAGATGGGGGCAAGGCCAACCTTCTCACCTTTACAAATAAGGACACTGGGGCTCAGGTTATGTAATTTCCCTGACATCGTACCGCTAGTTAAAGAGCAGAACTGGGAATTTGGTCCATTATCTTTCTGTACATCGAGCTGTTAGGCACAATTCCACAGTGGACAACTCTTTACAGCAATGCTCTGGATTTTCTGGCTTCCAAGCCCTGTCGCCTCTCCACGTGGGGCAGAAATTGACTTGTTTATTTCTGTATCTCAAATGCACAGCACAGTGCTTTGCACACAGTAAGCATCACAATGGTTGAATGAATGAATAAATGCATGCATTTTTTTATGTAAGAATCTCAAATTAGACAGCTCCATCAGCTTGACAGGGCCCATCAAGGGCCATGGGGTGTGGTGGAAGCCATTCCCTACAGGAGGAGCTCATCCCTCTCCTTAGAAAAGAGACACAGGGAACATGCCTGTTAACGTTCACTTAGTACCCATTATGTGGCTGGCAGGACCTGTGTTAGGCACTGGATGCTCAGGAATAAAAGAGTCACGCCTCTAAAGGATTTGGTGTAGTGGGGCAGACAGAGACAATTGAGTGCTGGAGAAGAAGGAAGTAGAAGGGGCTGTGGAAGCCCAAAGGTGGGACCCCAACTCAGGCTGGGGGCTGGATTATTTCCTGGAAGACAGAATGCTTAAACTGAATCTGGAAGGATGGGCAAGGATAAAAAGGAGAATGGGGGTGTGGGCGGGGGCAAGGTGGGGCAATCCGTGGCCTAGTAAACTCTTTGTACTGTAGTTGTTTGCATGGTTCCTTAACCTCACAGCCCCATGGACAGTGTATAGCAAGCCCATCAGTCTTTTTGCAGGCTTAACTCTTCCTTGGCTTGACGACCCATTAGCCAACCATATCTCGCTCTTGTCTGCAGTCTGGCCACAGAACTGTTTTACAATAGTATCTGAGGAGGCCCTGGGGGTGGAAGGTGGAATGTGTCTCCCCTTCTGTACACACTGGGGAGAAGATTTTGTCATTTGCTATAATAAATTCTGTGCCTTCTTTCAAAAGGCTTGCAAAGTCTTTATCTTCCCGTTAGAACACAAGATTTTTAAAGGTCAATTTCTCTCTTGTCTCTTATCATGAGAAATGTGGTTTAGAGATAGTTTGAAGGGTGACCAAATTCTTTGGCTTTATGTGAACTCTCCCTTCCAGCAATAAGAGATGAGGAGGAAAAGAGAAGACAGAGACCTTTGTTCTCAGTTTTCCTGAAATTTCTCCTTCTAGGTTGCATATATCAATTATCTATTGCAACCCATGATTGTTTTTTCATGGGAACAAGAGCACCAAAAGAGATTATCATACCTTGAAGCTGCTTAAAGATCCTTTATCAGAAGAGGACTGGTTGCTTAAAATCCAGTGGAGTTTTTATCCTGGAGGCTTTTTAAAAAGCATAGGTTCCAATCTAATCCTAGCTCTCCCGCTGAGCCACTGTGTGACTTTGGGCAAATCATTTCAGTTCTCTGAGCCTTAGTTTCCCTGTATGTAAATGTGTGCCTTGCAACTTTGTTGTAAAGGCTGGAGATGATGTACGCAGAGCGTCTAGCACAGTGCCTGGCACTCAGGAATGTGCTCAAAAATGGCTGCTGTTTTCCTTTATGTACGTTTGGATTCTTTTCTAGCAAAGAGCGTGTAACAGTTTGGAATACAGACTTTAACACAGAAAATGAAAAAGATGAAAACATATTATATAGAGAAATATACCATAATCTTAAATGAAAAAATAGAATGTAAAATTTTATAGAGGACATAATTCCAATTTTTAAAAATATTTACAAATACATATTTTATAATAAATATCATGTTTCTGTGATTGCAGGTGGAGAGAAGCAGGAGAAACAACTGATATCTGTAGTTGATAAACTAAGTCTTAGAGAAGTTAAGTACATCACTCAAGGTCACACAGTGAGCAAATCAGGGAGCCAGGAGTTGAATCCAGATAATCTGGGTACAGATCTTGTACTTTTAATCATTGTGCTATGTTGCCTCTCAGGGCCTTTCAATATATAACCTGTGATCCTTATAGCAGCCCTGCAAGGTGGGCATTATTATCCTCATTTTACAGTGACTTAGCATCTTTGGGGCATGGTGTCACCATCTTTGAAATGGGCATGAATAAACATCCCTATAAGAGGATAAAATCAGAAGATGCATGTGTCTGTACCTAATAAGGGGCTTCTCAAAGCACACAGTATGAATGGGGTACACCTTCTTTGTCAAGTGGGGCACATAGAGACTTCACTTTGAGTAGGTGAGTTAGGGCCCCTCTGCTTGTCTACCTTCTGGTCCCTCTCAGGAGCCAGTGCCCAAGGTGAGAGCATCAGGAGACTGGCAGTCATCGAGTCACGTGAGGGATCTTGTTTCCATTTTTAAATCTAGCCAACAACCATACATGAAAATAAAAACAAACTAATAAAGCTGCTCCCTGGCTCAGTCATACTGTTCGGCTCCCCCAATTTTTTTTTTTTTTTTGACAGAGTCCTCCTCTGTTGCCCTGGCTGGAGCGCAGAGGCACAATCTCAGCTCACTGAAACCTCCGCCTCCCAAATTAAAGTGATTCTCGTGCCTCAGCCTCCTAGGTAGCTGGGATTACAGGTGCGCCCCACCAAGCCCAGCTAATTTTTTGCATTTTTAGTACAGATGGGGTTTCGCCATGTTGGCCAGACTGGTCTCAAACTCCTGGCCTCAAGTGATCCACCCGCCTCAGCCTCCCAAAGTGTAGCTTTTTTCTTTTTGTCTCATAGTTTAAAAACACTGCTGTAGCATTCTTTATGAAACTTGAAATTCAAGTTTAATTTAAAATATGTTGTTTTAAACCCAGCAAATTGGGAAAGAAGAGTAACCCGGAGATCTTAGATAACTTGAAGGGCTACAGGGATCTACAATGGGCCATATGTCAGAGGTCTGGACACAGTGAGAAGCTCTAATGTCGCCAAGACCTCACATACTCTGGCAGTTTCTGCGACCGGCCAGCTGTGTGACTTCTGCGAAATAATCGCTAAGCTTCCTTTTCCTTATCATGAGGGAATAGTAAGTGGATAATAAGGCCACATTCCTCACAGTGTTGCTGGATGGATGCACAATTGCTTTGCAAACTGTAAAGTGACATACAAGTTATTACGCTCTCGTAAGCCTTGTGGTACTGCTGCAGCCTATTTAAATCTGAGTAAGTACTCACACTACACTTCTAGGTGGAGGATAAATCACTAGGAGAAGGCAGAAGTGCTCTAGGTTCACAAGGCCATGTGGAATGGCTGAAGAGTCTAGTCCAGGCCATGTAATGACTTTCTCTGTGATTATGATGTGTGTGATGTCACCTCTCCTCTCTGGGCTCCAGTTGTCCTGTCTGTAAACATGCAGGAGAGGGAGTTAAAGTCAATGTTCTCTGATGTCCCTTTCAATCCTGTTACTCAACATTAAACTCTGTTAATTTCTTCTCCAAGACTTGAGTCATATCATCTAAGAACAACCACTAGTGAGACTCTAACACAATTTCCCTCCAGCCTGAATGATTTATCTTGGATTATGCTGTATACCCTGTCATGGCTGAAATAAAGGCACTTATTTAATTCTGCTTCCATTAGATTGAGTCATCTGGATGACAATTTCTTACAAATGACTGTGAGCTTCTTGAGGGAGAAAGACTGGGCCATGTTCACTGGTCTTTATGTCTCCTTGGAAAGGAGCATGGTGCCTTGTAGATAGCATGAGCCCTACAAAGGTGTGCTTGGCTGAACTGAAAGTAGCCCAATGCAAATATGGTTTACTCTTGTGCTCCTTTCTTCCTCTCTCCCTCCACTAAAACTGCCCCCGTTTGGCCAAGGCACAGAGTAATAGAGGCCAATGAGGATAACCCTTACTACCCTGGCACTTGGGGACAGTCCACTCTCTATGGTTGTTTCATCTATGCCATCCTGCAAAGCAGGGGTCCTCAGCACCTTCCCCTTGGCTCCCGCAGTGGGTGGACAGCCCACTGAACTGAGAGGGCCCTGAGGTGAGACGTTTCCTCATTTAATAGTTGAGAACCCAAGGTCAAGGACCCTCAACAATTTGGCCTTCCCAGCTGGTTCTATTTCCAACCATGATGACCCACGGGATGTCTTCCCGGCTGTTCTGAAAGTCCCATGGGACAGAAACCACATCACAGTTCCCAGTAGGGCACCCAGGCATCTGATATCAGTTGAATGAGTGGATGCTCCTTTATCCTGGCAATTGTCCCACTGCATTGCAATTACTTGCTGTTTCTCTCTCTCTCTAGATTGTGACCTTCACAAGGGTAGGGACTGTGTCTTATTTATCGCTGAAGCCCCAGTACCCTGGACAGGGCCTGATAACAATGTAGACACTTGGTTAACATTGGTTGAGTGAGTGAATAAACTACGTGCAAGCTCATTTCAGCCCATAACATGCTCCAAAAATGCAAGTGGCATATTCTCCCACAACTGGGGATTTTCTGGTTGATCTTTTCCACTTCCTACTGGCTCATCTCTCAGAACAGCTGAAGGAGGCTCTATTCCCCTGGGGTCTGCATCAGCCCCATTTCCTATGACAAGAACCTCTCTCTCCCCCCGAGCTGTGGGCTTTGGGCTATGGTATGCCTATGCCCCATGTTACCACTGGTGCATTCTAGTGCTAGGAGGGCTGGCTCTGAAGTATGGCAAACAAAGGATACACTTGAATTGCATTTCATGGGAGAGAATCAATGAGCCTTGTTCTATAACCTACGCTTGTATGTATACCGGTAGGGAGAGAGGTACGCCCTTTCCCCACATTTCCTAAAGACATGCAGTCATTTTGCTGCCCAGATGTTCAACAGCTGTTTAAAGGCTTTGGCCAAGACTTTTGACTTGTGAGAAGGGAATGGTGGCTCTTCTCTTCTTTTCTTCTATTACATGAGTGTTATTATTAGTCATTGGAATTGTGCCTACACAGGCAAACTGAAGGGGAATGCTGAGGAAATCATGCAGATAATGTAGGCTGACATCTCTTTCCTACGAAGAGCAAATATAAATACACTTTGCCTTGTCTGAAGACATGGGTGCTTAGTGCCCTTCCCTGCTTTGTCCTGGCTTGGCCCATAATGATGTCTCTGAATAGAGAGCCCTTTCCTTTCCGGGAAACCGCTACCCATCCAAGTGTCACCTTCTGATGAATGCTTTCCTACTCCCACAACAACTAATATATAACTCTACAACAGCACTTATCACAGTTTATTAGCACTTAACTTTGGGTCTTTCTCCCTCATTTGAGGTCCTGGCATATAGGGAGAGGACTTCCTTATCTCTATGCCTGGTATAGGGCCCAACTCTAAAATAAGAACTCTGGATATTTATGGAGCACAAAAATTAATGAACTCCACAAGTTTTAGATCGATTAAGGGATATTTCAATCCTCCAAGACCTCAGGAGAACATAGGCCTTCTGTTTCTGCCTAGCTACTGTGGCCAGCCCCATAAGCTCCCTGTTGACAATTGCTCCACTGGGCCCAGGCCTGGGTACATCAGGCCCAATTACCTCCTGGATTTAGGCAGCAGGTGGAAGGGCTGAAAGCCGGCTGGCTCAAAGAACAGTGCTCCGAAACAGCCCTTTCTAGGCTGCTGAAACCCACTCAAGGCAAATAAACCACAGAAATCACAACATCACACACTTGGCCTTTTAATTCTTATGGTGCTTTGGGGTTTGAGAATCCCTCTAAATAGAAAATTCCCAAAGGTTAGGATGCTGAGTTTCTGACCTATTGATTTCCTACCCTGTGCAACATATTAGAAAGTCCTTTGGTATAAATATTAGGGAGCCACATAGACTTGTTGGGACTAAGCCAATTGTTAGGCCATCACTAGGAAGAAAGGGTTAACTGTTTTGATGTTTTTTCATATCTTTATCTTTTTATTCTCCTAATAACCACCTGTGAGTGGGAGAATCAGGAAGGATTGATGTATCTTCCAAGTGGGAAAGTAGAACACATTATGGTTGTATTTACCCAAGTGAATGCAACAGAAAAATGAAGGCTAATTCTACGACTAAGATAAGGACTGAAATGGTACTCATGGGCCAGCTGCCTCATTTTATAAATAGGGAGAGTGAGGCTCAGAGCCACCAAACAGCATGTGTAAGGATGCACAGGGAGTCAAAGCCAGAACTAGAATTAGAACCCAGGTCTTCACTCTCAGCTAATGAATGTTCTAAAAGATGAGCACCTCCTTCCTTGGGCTTTGACTGTCTAGCACTTTAAAAAAACCCAAAGCAAAGGCCATTTCTATTACAAAAGGTGTCTGCTGGTGTGCAGTGAGGGTAACCTCCAGAATCAGAGGAGAAGAGACCTTGACCAAAGGTAACTCAACCTCCTTCCCTGGGAGAAGCGTCCCTCTGCAGCTTCTGTGATAAAGAATTAGATGGTCTCTTCTTATCCATCTCCAGTGAGGGGGACCCATAACTTTGCCAGACATCTCATCCTACTGTTGAATTGTTAGAAACCTCTTTCTTCCATATGCCTTCTCTTCTATAGTGGCTGCTGGATATCAATTACTTTCATTTACATTAGTTAATTTCAATTGATTCAAATGGAACACCTGTGATATGCACTCATCCCTAAGCCACATGTGCAGTTTTTTGCTTGCCCCGCAGGTCCCCCTGACTGGATGACTGGTGTGTTGGTGGCCTGTTAGCTCAGTAATATCCATTCTCCACTCTGGGCCTCCCACCCTCTGGAGCCGCCTGGAGCCCATGGGTGCCAGAGCCCTACCTCCATCATTGTCTTTGCTGTCACCGCAGGCAGTCTCCATGGAAGTGTCACAGCCAGCTCCTCTCCAGCCCAGCTGGCAGACGCAGTGCCAACCATTCAGGTCTAAGGTACATCTGCCGTTGCCATTGCACAACCCAGGGCAACCCTCTGAAAGACAAAGTACAGGGTTGAGGTCTGATCACCCAGAGTCAACTGCCATCACACACACTAACACGCTACCTGCCAACTTGCAAAATGCCTTCATATCCATCAGCACACGAATGCCCACAGCAGCCCAGGGAGGTAGGTATCATTAGGAATTGCCACTTTACAGAGAAGGCAACTGAGGCTCAGAGAGGTGAAAGGACTTGCCAGGGTCGCACAGTCAGAAGCGGCAGGGACAGGGCTGAAACCCACACCTTCTGCATCTAAAAGCCCCTCTTTCAAAAGTGACCGGGATTCTGGAGCCGGAGTCAGTGGATGTTGGCCTATCAGAATCTAACCAATGGAGCTTTTTGCCTGATCCTTGCTTCTTGTTCATTCTCATGTGTTCCTCTTATCTCTGGCGGCTGTTTAGCACAAAGGAAACATCTTTCTGTTTATTCCTTGCTTCCTTCATCACTTCTGGGTATCATTCTAAAGGGTGTTACTTTTTCCAACTCTTGTAGTAGGTCAATTTTATTGGACCCTAGGCTTTTCATTTATTTTGTCTTATTTTCTCCTAAACAACTGTCTTTGCTTTGAGGAAGAGGGCTTGGGGCTTTTTCTTAACATCTTGTCTACAGCTACACTTAGAAAAGGGCCCTGCACCCAGAGGAGCTGTGATCGCCATTGTGAAACACTAACTAGGGCTGTCTGTGAGTGCAACGCAGGTACAGCCAGGCTGCTCTGCTCTCATTACGCTCATATGCACATCTGCCTGCCTGTCTGTCATTTATTAAGCATCTTCTTTGGGCTAGCACTGGAGGTACAGAAATGAATAAGACCCGTTCTTATTCATGAGGTGCATGAAGCCTATCAAAGGAGACAAATTTATGTAGGCAAAAAATTTAACTGCTAAATGCCCTAAAGGAGACGTACAAAATATGGTGGGAACTTAACACAGGTGTGGCCATCTGAGAGGGCTGTAGATGATTTGATCAAGAAGGGTCAGGCAATATTTAGATGCTGTGTTCGTTCTGCTTGGACCATATTATAAAGTGGGGAAGTTTTTAAAAAATACTATTAAAGTAGATTTGCAGGTTTTTTGATTGCCACATCTTTAAACCTCTCCGAGTTTGTGGCTCAGAAATCTACGTTTGAGAATATGTTAAATTACGTGGTTCACTTCAGCTTCTATTGTGCCACTTGGTTTTCACTCAAGTCCTTATATTAACAATCCTGCCAACCCCCTTCTCCAAGGGGCTATCAAAAACCACCTGTCACTGGCAAGAGTTCCATCTCCTCTCTGCTGCTGCTCAGTCTTGGGAGAGGTATGGATGTGAAAGCACTGTGTCAGCTATAAAGCTTCATTTGTTTTATTATTATGAGCAGCAAAGTGCTCTAAATATGGCCACAAACTGGATCTTCTGCCATGAATTAATGGGAAATTGACTCATTATTCTTAAATGGGACAACAAATGTGAAAGTGGCTGTCCAGTACAAGACCTGGGCCAAGATAGCCACTCACTAAATGGCTGATCAATCAGAATCTAAAACTTGAGTGTTCCCAGGACTTTTGATAGTTGACTGTTATTCCAAAGTAAAAGAAAATAACATGTTTATTTCCACTTGAGATGTTCCACACAACAACCAAGCAATTTGGCCACTGTGTTTTCCATTCAAAGGAAGAAACATGTAACAATTGTGTACTCCAGCCTCGGAGGGATTCCTCCAGAAGTTAGAAGTGTATGTAGACTATGGGTTTCTGTATAGCAGAAGCCTGCTGGGAAAGATGAGAGGCTACCAGCATGGCCACCCCAAAAAGTGATTGAGAAAGAAGTTTTAAAAGCGAGCCCCAGGAGCAGAGCTGTGACACACAGGCGGCTATCCAGGCAATCTGACTTGGTTGCCAACATCAGCCACCATTAGTGATCTAAGCAATCACAGCTTTCTTTTTTCCTCAATTAGTCTCATGTCAATTTTTGTCCGTCCAGCCGGGACTTGTTTTCAATTAAGCCTGGTTTGTATTTGGAATTAGTCCTGGAGGAAGTAGGGTCTGATCTTTAACAACGGTAGCTGACTGCTTTCTTTTGCTGTAAGATAAAGCCTCTTGTAAGATGCAAACAGTATCTCTTACGTAAGAGCACAAGCTTGAGAGGCATATCAAAGTTTGCCTGTACCACTCAGTGGCTGTATGACTCAGGCATGTTATTGAATTTCTTTGAGCCTCAGTCTTTTTACTTATAAAATGGGGTTTTGGGGGCGGTTAAGTAAGGTATGCATGATGCACAAAGCCTGGCATACAGCTCAAAGACAATATCTGAATCTTCTACTCACCTTTACCTTCTCTCTATTTTGGGCAGAGGGCATATAATATCATATGTTGTACCCACAACCTCAGGTGGGGCTCACAGAAAGGCAAAATAGGAAACTGAGGCAGTTATCTAGATCAGAGTCAGCAAACTTGTTCTGTAAAGACCCAGAGAATAAATAGTTTAGGCCTGTGAGCCATATGGTCTCTTGCAATTACTCAACTCTGCCGTTATAGCTTGAAAGCAGCCATACACACTTTTAAATGAATAAGCATGGCTGTGCTCCAACTAACTTGATTTACAAAAATAGGTGATGGGCCCGATTTGGTCTGTGGGCTGTAATTTGCCAACCTCTGGTTTAGATGCTTCAGGACAGTGAGACAATGACAGCTGCCACATACTGAGGGTCTACTAGGACTGGCCACTGTGCTAGGCACTTTATATAGATTTCTAAAATAAGTAACTTTTTGTTAAAAATGTTCAGATCTTGATTTTCTAGGGCAGATCCAATTTTACACCATTTAATCCTAAATTTTTAGTAAAAGCCATGTGTTGTAATAGAGCGAGGACTTTGGAGGTGGACAAACCTCAGTTCAAATCCTAGCACCATCATTTTACTTACTACCTGTGTTACAACTGGCAAATTACTTCACTCTAAGCTTCAGTTTTCTCATCTGTAAAATGGAGATAATACCTGATTCAAAGAGTATGTGAGAGTATTAAATGAGATAATATATATCAATTATTTATCACAGTGGGTAACATACATAGGGATTCAATAAATGAGAGCTGTTATTATTATTATTGGATTTACTTGTTTTAAGTTTGTATAACTTCACTAAGAAATTCATAAACAAGAAAATAAACCTTTGCCAGCCCAACTTGTGTAACGTTTAGGTCAAAAGCTATGGTCCTTATAAATAAATCCTTGCCAAAAACGGTCAAGACAAACACTGGGCTTGCCTCATGGCTCCGTGAACATGCAGTGCAGTGGGAGGCGGCATGATGGGTTCAGGGCTGCGAGTCCCAGTGCAGGCCACCATTCATGCTTTCCTAGCATATTGTACTTCTCTCAATAGCAACTGTCCCAAGGATACTGAAATGATCAATTCTGCAATTAGTTTCATTGTCTTACTTCTTCCGTTAGAATGTACCAGTGCCTGCATGTAGCAGACACTCAATATATATTTGTTAAAATAAATCAATGAGAGGGACAAGAGGCCTGCGTTCTGGCCTAATATGGGGGGAGTTGGGAAAGTTACTTTCTCTCTTTGGGCCTCAGTTTCCCCATTTATAAAATAAGGATTTGGATGAGATGATCCATTAGGTCCTTCCAGCATAACTGACCCAATAGAGAAGGTCAAAACAACGTCAAGTTAGTTGATTCTGTTCTTAAATTCAATAAACTTTACTCAGTACCTGGTGGATGCTGGACTTTGTGTTAATTCACAGAGATGAGATATATCATCTGCCCTAAAAAATTTTACATTCTCTTTATTTATACCATACTTTGTTCCAGGAAGGGTTTAAAATAGGTCTTATAATCACAAACCATACTTCTGAAAGTGAACCTTGTGAAATAGTAGTTCTATGAGGTCCTCAAGAAGAAGCTCCTGCAGTCAAATAAGTTTGGAAAACGTTGCATCCTATATTCTTATTGTAGAAAGTCACACTGAATATCAATATATTAAAGGCTCCAAGAAGTCTTAGAATAAAGAAAGCTGCTTATTCGATTACTAGAGCATTATCCAATTTGACCTCAGAACTCTTTACCCCACCCAGTAACCTGTGTAATATTCCATTCCATGGAACCCCCTCTGGGAAGCCCTGCTCTAGTGAACTCCTGTAGGCACATGGCATCTTGGGCACATAGTCCATGCTGCTCTGAGGCTGCCTGAAAATATCATCACCAGACCTTTAGTGGGATTGGGTCAATGAATCATTGAGGTGCCAGTTTGGAAGATGTGAAGCAGGTGTTCTCAGGGAGGGTTAGCTCTAGATGTGGAATCACAGAGAATCACAAATGTGGAAATCCACAGTCAATTTCTTCAAATGGACCAAGTGATACCCTGAAGATCTGCAGTATCCTATAAGTTTCAGAGGGACTTTGAGTACCTGTGGGTGGAACAAGGTTTGCTTTCATCCAGCCATTTGCTTCCAGGATAATCACACCCCCATTAGCCAGCATGAGGAAGGCTCTTCCAGGATGACTTGCTGACTTTCTTAAAGCAATATGCCCGTCCTTACCCACTGAGGCTAGTTCCGCAAACCCTGAAACTCATCAATAATTCAGACAGCCCACGTGACATTAATAATCCCTTCGGAAAGACTCACACCAGGCATTTGCTAGAGTCAAAGTAATGTAATTTTAAAGTTTAGAGAAGGGCTAACAAAGCTTTTCAAAAGAAATGATGCCCTTTAAATGACAAGGGACCACTTTATCTTCAATCTCCTGCTTAGGCCTATGAAGAAGTCCCCCTTGCAGCTAGCACCAGGTATGATTAGAAGACTTTCAGAATCCTTGAAGGTATTTATTTTTTAGTTAAGTGGCATGGATTCTATGCAATACACTTATCATATATCAAATGGCCCATTTCTTTATGTTTCTCTTACTGGTCCTCTTGTACTTTTTTTCTCTCTCCATATTCACTTCCCTAGACAAAGCCATCATCATCTCTTACCTAGATGACAGCAATAGTCTGCTAATCGGTCTTCTTGTTCTCAATGGTCCCCCCTCAATTCTCCTTTCACAATAGGGCCAGACTGAACTTCCAAATCACAAATGTGACCTAGTTATCATCTTGCTTTTAAAAACCTTCAGACGCTTTCTTATACCCTCATGTTAAATTCCGCAATCTATAAGGCCCCAACAATCCAAGTTAGTGGGGTGGTTACTTGCTAAGTGGTAGCCTCTGGACTCCCCTGTCATAACCCTCATCACACTTTGTTGGAATTATTGGTTTTAGTGTCTTCTCTGCTAGACTGCAGGCACCTTGAGAGCAGGGACCATATCTGTTATGTGGTATTCATATTTCCTACCACTTAGGAGTTCAGCATATTTGTTGAGTAAACATTGTTTCTTTAGTCTCTACCAAAGCAACTGGGAAGCAATGAACAAAATCCGGCCCATCTTTGAACAGTAAAGTACTCTACTCTGACAAGACCTGAGCTTCCATGACACAGATCTCTGAATTATTTTTTTAGAATTAGTATCCATTATACCAAAATATCAGCCAGATGAGGGCTTGGGTCAGACCTTGATTTTGCCAAGAAACATTTGCCTTTTAAAACAAGTTATGATTCATTGACCTAATCCAACTAAAGTTCTGGTGATGATATTTTCTGAACTGAAGAGCAGAGCAGGTGATTTGAGAAAGAATATAGGCCACTTCCCAGTAAGGGTGCCAGTTTGGAAGATGTGGTGTGGAGGAAAATATACTGGAAATTATGGACATTCTCGGTGACTTATGGTGACAGAAGATAGAATGCTGAAACATGGATAAAGTCAGGAAATGCAGAGTCCTGGTTCTGCTACTTATTAGAAGTGTGAGCCAGGATGACCCATTCAACTCCCTCAACTTCAGTTTCCTTTTTCAATTGAATGGGTATCATTATATCTATTCCCTCAAAAAAAAATCACATGACTCACCTAAGACTCATGGATGTGAAAAAACTTCACATAGTAGGAAAATTTTCCATCAAATAGATGGTAACATGATAAAATTTAGCCCACCCTGAAGAGTCCTCTGCTAATGATAATGTGTGAAATGCCTGTTTTTAAAGAGGCTAGGAAGTACTACTCTTTCTTGCTGGAATGATTTTATTGTCAGTTGAGGACCAGCACATGAAATATGAAGACCCTTGCTCTTCCTCCATCTGTTGGATCCTATGCGACACCTTTGCTGTATTTGGCAAAGCTGTCCTAGCTGAAAAGCATTTAGTCAGTTATGTTTCCCCAAAACCCTTTCCATAAGTTTTAAAACAGCTGTTGCTATCTCTTATTAAAAGCCAATTTAGCCTTTTCCTTTACAGTTTCAAAAATTAATTTAGCTAATGAAGTCCTTCTTCAAATTAAGGGTGAGAATAAGAATAAGAATATGATGATAAAGCAGTATAATTCATACTTATTGAGCATAATTCCTGCCTATATACTAAGCACTTTGTATTTGTTACTTCACTTAATCCTCATACTAGCCTTATGAGGTGGGTCCTGTTAGCAAGAGAAGAGAAGTTAAATCACTTGCCCAAGGTCACTTAGTTCCCTGAGTGTTGAAGCTGGGATTCAAACCCAAGCAGTCTGACTCTAGAATATGTGTCCCTATCTGCAGAGCACACATTTTGTACCAGGTGCTGTGTTAGGGCCTGAGAACAAAAAGATGAATATGACATGGTATTTCTCCTCAAGGAGCTTAGAGTCTTTTCAGAGCACACATATCTGATTATTCTGAGACTTGTTCTTAGAGCTATGTGGCCTATTTGGAAAATCAGGTACCACCCAACTAATGTAAATGTTTAAAATGGAAGGAATTACTTTGCCTCTAGGGAACACTCTTCAAAGACAAAACTTACCAAAGTCAGGCCTTCTCTGAAAAGGAAAACAAACAAATAAACAAACAGACCATCTGCTCCCTGAGGTCAGGGATCTGTTTGTCCCCTTGTCTCCAGACCCTGGCGCAGGTGCCTAGTACACAGTGGGTGCTCCATAGATGCTCGTTGGACGAATGAACACAGTAGTACTAGAAAGTAGTCCTTAAAATTTCTTAACTTGCTCTTGGGTCTCTTCCTTTCTCAGGCCACCCACCCTGGTTGCCAGCATCTTAATTCTGGTGGACCAGGGGCCATAACAGATGGGCAGGGTGACATGAGATGGGGTGGAAAGAGTGAAAGGTGTATGTATGTGGGGCGGGGGGAGGGAAAAACAAAAGTACAATGGTATTGTCACAAACAGATCTGAGCATCTTGTGGGGAGAATGACACTCCAGGTATATCAACCACCTTGTGACCGAAAACCCATCCCCTTTGGGCAATGGATGCTGCGACAAAACTGGGGATGCATTAGCTTCCAGACATCATGCTTATGTGGTGTATATACATTTTTATATACACATTTCTTCTTTTATACTCATACACAAACACACACACAAAGACAACAGGAAAATAGAGGAAGGAAGACCATACCTTTAACTACCCTATCCAGATAGTGAGCTAGGGAGATAAAAGACAGGACATTTAAGGTAGGATCCAGTAAGTGCAATATCGCCTGCCACATAACCATGCCAGATGCTACACAGACAAAGGGATTGTGCCCCACGTTTGGGACAGGCCTATGCCATGGTGGGGAAAATAAAACCAAAGACAGGATGACATGAGAGAGGAGAAGGGAGAGCAAGCATTCTCCAGGGATGGCCAAAAGGAACTTCAACTCATTCTGTGATCCAGGCATTTGGAAATGTGATCACAGAAACAAGAAGACATATGAATAAGGAAAACAGACAAAGAAGGATGGGAAACTGCAAAAGTGGCCACACTCCTGCTCTGCCAGCTTCGTCTGGCTTTACGGAAAACTAGAGCCCGTCCCTTTGACTACTCAGAGCAGCATCCAACCTCCCTACAGGTGAAGCAGCCATAACAAGAACAAGTGGTACCCCATCTCGGCAGAGGCCTTTCCAAGAAGTTGGAATTTAGAAATACGCAAAATTTGAATCATCTCTGATATGCACTAGTGAAGGGGGTTGAGTCTTTGGTCAAATATACTGCTGGATTATCTGTTTGCCATTCTTGAATTTTCCATGTACACATGTGCCCACATATGCTTGAATGCAAAATGCTTAGCGTTCTAAGTAAGATGCATTCCTCCTTTGTGCATCGTACACAGACTATGAGGTGCAGGTCAATGGATGTCACTGTGAAAAACAAGACAAAGCAAAGAAAATCTGACCACTTCTCAATGCTTATTAACCCTAAAGAAAGATGTGTGCTTTGTTTTCCAATGGAGGGGTTGTATCCAAGCCTTGAGTTATTTGGCCTTCTAAAGTTTTGCTTATTTGAGGATGAGCATCAAAGGTTGCTCTGAAATAAACCCCACTGTGTCTATATATGGGTGTCTGGCTGTGTGTTTAGAGCAGGGCAGGCCTCTTAATTCCCAGCATGAATCACTAATACCATTTCACCTGCCCTCCCTAGGCTGTAGTTATAGCTCTTTGAGGAGCTTCTCTTTCTCTGTCTCTCCACACCTCCTACTAGTGTGTTCTGCAAAGGCCGGGTAGCTGGGCAGTCTCCTGAAGGATCTGATGCCTTCAGCCAGGCTGCACTCCAGCCCCAGCTGAATTTCACACATGAATCAAAAGTCCATCAGACAGGACCGGACTGCAACGGTGTGGCCTTATCAGGAATCCCTAGGGTTCTTTAAATATTCTTACTCTCTTCATAAAAAACCATAAATTATATTTTTTCAATTCTCTGGATAGAACAGATATTGTTGTTCATCACTATATATTAGCCTCAAAGACTAGTGGATGAGAGGCTGTGTTCTTAGTTCAGGTATCCGTGTGGTCTCTGGTTCAAGATGAAATATGCTTCTGGAGCCTGCACAGCCAAGTGGAAAATTGGGAAGAGGAAATTTTAACTGAGGCTACATGCTTTTCTTCATTCTTACAGATGTCGTGGAGTCCATGAGATGCAGGATACAAGATAGGAACATGAAAGAGAGTACTTATTAAGTAGGGGTGAGTAAACAAAGCTATGGAATGCCAAACAATGAAAAATGGGGACAGCCCACACGAAAAATGGCCTAGGAAATACCTCTGGCTAAAGGGAAATCTTTCTTGATTCTTGGCTTATCTGTCACTTTAGTCTTAGTCAAGCTAATTTATCTAATTTTGCAAAGTGGTCTAAAATTTCTTATATCTCATCTCCCAGGATATGCTATCAAAGGGCATGAATACATAGAATCACCTGGCTCTTGTGGTTTTGTTAGCTTTCTTATCTGCAGAATTTTTTGGAGGGTCCCAATTATAAGTTCTTATAATAACTCTGAATCCAGTTATAGAAGAGGTGTAGTGAGCCTAGATTTTTTTTTCCCAGGGATGGCTAGGCTGGATGAGATGCCATCACTGGGATCCAAGTGGTCATAGCTTCCACCGTGAGGGAGTTCTCTGATGAAAAAAACTTTCCTGATTGTCTCCAAACTTAATGGTAGTATAGTGGTTCTGGTGGTGAGTGAAGCTTATATCCATTCTACAGGATAATCTCCCCAGGGCCAGGGGCTGACTTAAGAGAGCTCTCTCTCTTCTAATGCCATTTCATTTTCAAGAACCACATAACCATGAAGAGCACTATTAAGTGAAAATATGTTTTTGATACCTTTAAAAATTCTTACTAATTTCTCCAGACCACAGGTAGGAAAGAAAATCAGTGGAAATGATGGAGGCAGGCTCAGGTTACCATCAGCACTGTGAGTTTTCAGGAGACAAAAGTAGACATTCAAAACTTCAAATCCTGACTCCACAAATCAAAAGGGATTCCTTTGCTACAAAGAGCCCCCGAGCCACACTGTGAATCCAAAAGCTGGTAACAGCCAGTTAATACCAAGTCCATGAGTTTTCCGGGAATGGAATGGAGCTTCCTTGTCTCTGGCTATTGAAAATGGGAGTGACAAATGGGTCTTTGAACTTTACTGCCATTTATTTATAAAAGGCATATGCGGAAGTCCATACTGTGGTTGCTTTTATTGTTTGAAAACCTTGGCACATATGCTGTTGAGTACAGTTGTTTAAAAATTCATGATTTTAAAGTACCAACTTTTAGAAAAGATGATGCAAGCTTTGCATTATGAAAGGTGGATTCAGGACTTCATCAATTCCTGCATCTTTCTCTTCAGAACTTCAGGATGAAGATGATGGCAGTAGGCATCTTTTCTCTTGGGCAACGCTTGTTTCTTTGGCATTGTACAAATGTTTCTCATACTCCTACTATGTTCCTATCTCTGTGTGAAAAGCCGGAGATAATAAAGGTACTATAGCTATTTATGCTACAGACTGAGCTTTTGGCATGAGGTTGGTCTGCACGGTCTTAGCTCTCTTTGGCCTTTCTCTGATCACCAACATAAAACTTCTTTCCTTGACTTGCCTCTACCAACAGAGGTTTCCAAAAGTTTCTCTTGGGATAATCTTAAGAATCTTCAGGGGCCCCCTATCCAAAGTTATGGAGAACATGGCAAGAGGCTTTCCATTCTTACTCTCCAGGAGCCTCAGGGCAACTCGAACGGCTGCATCATTGGTACATGTTAGGCCACAAGAAACAAGGATCACTACAGCAGGTGATGGGTTGGCGGTTCTAGTCATCTGAACTTCTTTCGGATGGGTGACAAACCACCAAAGAGATGTTCTTGCTAAGCTCTTGGATACATCAGTGCTCTTCTCTCTTTGGATAAGTGGTCAGTGACACCCACACTGAGAGAAATTCAAAGCCAGATTCCCACCCCACCACGTGTGGGCTGAAGTCTCCCAGGATCATCAGCAAATTAAACTTGTGCTCTGATAACTTGAGGTAGATCCCTGTACATTTTCTCTTTCTCCTTGTCAGCATCTGTCTTGTCAAACCACAGGTCCTGTTGTGAGTGAATGCTTTCAGGAGGGATAACCATAGCGTTATCACAGGGTCCTATACCTCATGAGTGATTTGTGGGCTCTTGGTTAAGGATTTTCTGATTATGAAAAAGAAATCTGATAGCTATCATTCAAAAGCAAACAAAGGGCCAGGTGTGGTGGCTCGTGCCTGTAGTCCCAGCACTTTGGGAGGCTGAAGCCGGTGGATCACTTGAGGTCAGGAGTTGTTAGAGACCAGCCTGGTCAACATGGTGAAACCCCGTCACTACTAAAAATACAAAAATTAGGCCAGGCGTGGTGGCTTATGCCTGTAATCCCAGTACTTTGGGAGGCCGAGGCAGGTGGATCACCTGAGGTCAGGAGTTTGAGATCAGCGTGACCAACATGGAGAAACTCTGTCTCTACTAAAACTACAAAATTAGCCAGGTGTGGTGGCGGGCGTCTGTGATCCCGGCTACTTGGGAGGCTGAGGCAGGAGAATCACTTGAACCCGGGAGGCAGAGGTTGCGGTCAGCCGAGGTCGTGCCACTGCACTCCAGGATGGGCAACAAGAGTGAAACTCCATCTCAAAAAAACAAAAAACAAAAATTAGCTGGTGTGGTGGTGCACACCTATAGTCCCACCTACTCGGGAGGCTGAGGCAGAAGAATTGCTTGAACCTGGGAGGCGGAAGTTTCAGTGATCCGAGGTGGTGCCACTGTACTCCAGCATGCGCAACAGAGTGAGACTCTGTCTTTTTTTTTAAAAAAAAAAAAACTGGACAAAGCACGGAAGATTTTGTGGCTTTTCTTTATAATTTCTCTTCATTGGGAAGTCTGGTTTTACTCACACAAGTAATTGCATCTTCAGGGTATCATTTTGATCTTTACCCCCAGAGGAAGCTTTTGTTTAAAAATCAGGACTTCTAGGATTGGACAGCTCTCCTGAAGTCTGGTAAATAATTCTGTATATGTGGTATCTTGAACAATCACAGCTTTAGAGTCAAGCTGGAATTTTATTAATGTAATCAGAAGCTGGCATTTTCTACAGGTGTTTTCTTTACTTTAGAGACAAGGGGCACTGAGGTAAATAGAAAAACCATGATAGAATTGATCCAAAATGTTAGTAGTGTTTTCAAAGAAATAGGAAAAAAATTAAACGCCTTGTTAAATTTAACTACGATTTTCAGCTTTCTCAAAGGAAATCAGAGGTCAAGCACCAGACTTCATGGATCCATAAAACTCCTTGAAAAGATCCAAAAATATGCACTTGGTGACTCTCTGTCAATCATATACTTGAGAAACAGATCCAAATCAATCCATCTTAGCCTGACTTCTGGACTAGGAAAACTGGGTTTCATATATGCAAGTGGGAGTATTAGTGCCATGTAAGTAACAGTAAAAATGAAGAATCCCTTTTTCTTCATGAGATATTTTTAGGAGCAGGTGACTCACTTTTGGGCTGATGGGTGTGCAGTTCTGTGGGCAGTGGAGGAGGGGGATGAACTTCTGTCACCCTTGGGGACCTACTCCAGCCACTCCATTCTGTGATTCATGGATAGAGAAACTAAAGCCTCAGGCAACTGCGTGGTCTGGCCCTGGTGCTTTTACCAAAGACCCTTCTTCAAGATGCAAAGAGACAGGTGATTCCTAACATAAGGAATTAGGATTGAATGTGAAATATTTTTGCTGTTTGACAAAAATACTGTCATTGAAGAGGATGCCACTGTCAAATTCCCTTTCATTCTGAAAACCAACCTCTCTTGAGAAGAATCATGTAGCTTCCATGAAAGATAAGGTGAGCCAAAGGCTCCAAAAGAAGATATTTAATTCCTACTATAATAATCTGCTCTGGGAAATGTCACTGGGGTAAAAAGGCTCTTAACGCTGGGGACTTGGCCATAAGGGGCCCAGATTTGTCTTGTTCTTTAAATTCTGTATTCCTGCTGTAAGGTCATCAAGCCATTCCTTCCTGTTTACGCAGGTCGGCAGTATGTAAATAAACAGGCCCTCTTTTTTTGCTTCCACTGCCTAGAGGTCTCGAAATCAGTGTCATGGATACCAGCTCTTTCTCTGGTATGGGAAATAACTATTGCAGCTAGGAGCTAGCTACACGATAATGACCTATTGTATGATAATGAAATCTGATAACAAGAGAAAATTTAACACTTTGAATTTCTAACTTTTCACATCAGCAGTTTTTTTCTTTTCCTAAATGACTCTCACAGGGAGTAAAGTTCTCTGGAAACAAGGAAATGCTTCTTGTTACCATCAAAGACTAAAAATGGATTTCCCCTTCTCATTTCTATTTCAACAAGAAAAGGATGGGACCATTGTTTCTCTACTTTGCCTCCCCTCCCCCTTCCCTTATATCCTACAGGGTTATTGAAGTGTTCCTTCAGCACGAGGGTGGTGAGTTTCTCATGGGGACGCAGCTGGCCACGGGCAGAGACCCACAGAGAGAAGGTTACCATGCAGGAAAATTAGACAAGGACGAAGAAAATGCTCACCACACAATGAGAGGTATTAATAGAATTCCCAGCCAAAGTCCTTTCAGCTGAGCCACTATGACTAGTCTATTGCTTCTTCAATGTCCTATGACATTTCTTTGGTATTTAGGACCGTCAACCTTATTCTTATATTGTGCACATTTACTTTGATGTATTTCTTATCTGGAGGGGAAAAGGTATCTGCATCCCCAAGGTGGAATCTGTTCTAGAAGAGCGACAACAGAGCATACAGGGGAGGTAGAAGTGGATGGTTTGACTTCTTGGCATCAAAATAAAAGGGACATTCTTAAGGCCAGGCTGATGAATATCCAGAAAACACTGCCTGTAAAACAGCCTGCCCACAAGCCCCAACATGAGTCATGTGTGACTAGACGAAGGGAGAGGTTCCCTAAGATGAGATGCGTTTATCTTATAACATTTTTGTCCAACATTTGCAAACGTTTTGGAGTTTGGTAAGATGAGCTGAGGACTCTGTAAGCAAGAGACAGCAAACAGAATGGGCCCTCTCTGGGCTCTGGTTTTTTTGTTTCTGTTTTTGTTTTTTTTTTTTGTTTTTGTTTTTTAGATAGGTGTGGGCTTTCTTCTGGGCTGGGAGGTTGAAAGGTTGGTTCATCCTCAGTCATGCAGAAAAGGGAAGGTGAGGGGAAAGCAGAGTTTAAAGAAGAGGCCCCCTCAGATGACCAGGGCCACTTCTCACTAAGGGGTTTCCAGGACAAGTGTAAGGGAGGATGACACCGATATAAAGAAGCCATCAAGGTGCACACAGTAACATGACGCAGCACAACCTGCAGTGGCTGCCATTGTGATGGAGTGGCTCTGTTGAGGGTGGAGGCTGGGCAGATTAGGTGAGGGACTCTGAGTGCAGCTGCCACGACAGGGCACAGTCTCCAGGAGGGACAGGAGCAGATGCCTCAGTGGAAAACCAGGACTTTATCGTGCAAGGGCTGCAGAGTAAGCAGCTGGTAAGGAAAAATCGAGTGTCAAATTCCTGCTCTACCTCTTTGAAGTTCCGTGACCTTAAGCCTCAGGTCCTTGAAAATGAGGAAATAATACATACTGCTTCACAGGGTGATTGTAAGGAGGATAAAATAATGCAGCTAAAGTTCTTAGTGCAGCTCTCGGCACGTTGTGAATACTTAAAAATCAGAAGCCATTATTATTATTAATATTAATAAATGTAAGGTATTCCATGGCCAAAACCCAGGGATGTTGCAGGGGCAGGGACCAAGGATACAAACTAATGTTAGGCTTCAAAACAAAAACAATGAAGACTGAAAAAACCCTCAAGGGGTAAGAGGTAGCTCTGTTTGCTCAAAATTCCTTTGTCTCTCCAAAGCTGTGGGGCTTGTCTTCCAGTTTCTCTAAGACCCAAGAGGTCACTTTCTAAGCCAGAAAGGTACCTGGAATCCTGCCTTCTAAAGCCATGTGCTCACCATCTGATCACAGACCCTTCATTTAAAAAAAAAACCAAAAAACAAAAAACAAAAACGGAAGGGGAAGAAGCTAAAACACACATATATACACAAACCGGTTGATTCAATAAAGAGCTTTTGGTGAGTGCTCATTCCAGGATAATAAACCAAGCAAAACGTCTGGCTGAGTTTAAAATCAACAAAACCGGCAGGAAAGGCAGAAGGAAGGGAACGAAGTGATCAGCTTGTTTTCAGAGCTGCTTCAGCAGGAGCTGGTGCCGAGGAGACCCCAAGGGAGGGGAAAGGAGACAAATGCAGACAGGATGGAAGCTGAGGACGGGGGAAGATCCCAGGCCTAATGGACTCCAGATGTGGCCTTAGGGCCTGTGGGGAGCTCTCCCCAGGATTCCAGACCTCTTGGGGAATTCTGACCTAGGAGCCCAGTGGGCATGGAGGGCTCAGAGCTAAGCCCCAGCCATCCCAGCAAGATAATGCATTGGATAATAATGGCTGCATGTACTGGGCACTCCACTGTATGCCAGCCTTTGCTAAGGTCTTCACATGTATTATTATCCCCATCTTACGAGTGAGGAAACTGAGGCTCAGAAAGTTGACGGGGCTTGCCCATAGCTGCTAAGAAGTGCTCATCTGCCTCATTCCTCAACACAGAGCTCCCTGACACAGATCCATACCGCATGTAGCCTTGGAGGAGCTAAAGAGCAAGGTGTGCTAACCAGCTAACCAGGACATGGGAAATGGAAATTGGGAGTAATAAGGTTGAAAATACCAAATCGTGAGTTTAAATCCAACCGATGGCTAGGAAATGCCAGTCATAATACCTCCAGATGAAAGGACTTTCTTCCCCATCCCCACATGCGATGAGGGCCCAGGCTGGCCCTGAAATGCCCCAACAGACAAAGATGTCCTGCAGACCAGAGAAGGTACCCGGGGACCTCGGCCCGCCATACCGATGGTGCAGTGTTCGCCATTCCAGCCAGGGCTGCACTCGCACTTGCCGTCGCGGCAGGTCCCATGCTCGGCACAGCGCGGGTGGCAGGCCCGCTGGTCGCAGGCTGCCCCCATCCAGCCATCCTCGCAGCGGCAGGTGCCCCCTACGCACACGCCATGGCCACCACAGTCGGCAGCACAGATCTCTGTGGGGAGGAGCAGAAGAAGGGAGGACACCAGGGCCAGGATGGGAGGCAGTGGCCAGAGGGGCAGGGGAGAGAGGAGAGAGAAAAACAACAAGTATTGAGCAAGTTATTGTTGGAAACCAAAGTCACACTTGGCTACATACCTGGGCTTCTGTGACAGATCAGGATTCCAGAGGCTCGCGAGACTAATCTCCGTGGACAATGACCCTCAGATGAGAACAATTCTCTGGGCAGAAGCCTGCCCTGTGCCTGTTTCCCCACCAAAAGAGGAAGGATTGTAGGGCTCTGCTCAATTTGCTTCTCCTTCTTGCCAACCTGTCCCTGCCTTTGTGCTTGCCCCTTCCAAAGGGGACCGGCATTCTGAACAGACATCAGGAAAAGTCAAATGTAATTAAAAACCAGTTATGTGTGAAAACAAAGTAAGGATGAGTCCCCTTCGCCCAATGAAGTGCTTGTGGTCTGGCTGGGCACGTGATGAGTTCTGGGGCCTGCATTTCATGACGGCCTGGACTCTGATTGAGGTTGGGGTGCGGGAGGGAGGCTGAACCCCAACCCCATGAGTATACTCTAGGTTGTTGTCCAAAACCTGCAGTTTGTTCTGAGCTTTTGCTGGGTTTATTCTCTTTCAGCTTCCTGCTTCCTCACCCCAACTCCAAGAACCATCTAAATGGGGTTTCAGATCCAAAGCAAATGGTTTGGAGGGGGGCCCTTCATAGCCAGAGTGGAGCTGCCCACCCTTCACAAAGGCACATCTGTGAGATGGTGCAAAACACACAGGGCCCGATTCACAAGCCCCTCAGGCTCCAGGCCAGCAACAGCTTCATGCTTACTGCAGGGAGCGGTGGTAAAGTCTTCCAAAATACAACTGCTCTTTAGGAAACAGGTTGAGCAACCATGTCCACTGAAGCTCTCTGCCAGGGCTCTGAGGGAGAGAGACTGACTTGATTCTCATGCCTCGTGGCCCCACATGCTTCAAATTCACATGAAAATCTCAATCCTTTTCATTTCTTTCAAACTAAATTAGCTGGCACCTCTGTCAAGGTGCATTTGCTCATCTCCCTTCCAAACTGCATGCTTAGTTTAGAAGCTGCTAATAATCTTAGCTACTTTGAAAAAGAAAAGAAAACAAAATTAGGTCTCAGAGGCTCAGACCTTCCTACCAATCTACAAGACAATGAATAAAATGTTTGAGAATTTAACAAATAGTACGAGTCCCCATGTATGTTGTGTTCCTGTGCCAGACATCCTGCCAAGCACATTACCTCAAAAGGGAGGTACTTATTACGTGCAGTAACACATCAGATTCTTCAGCTGTAAAGTGGGAAGGGACATCTCTGACCTGGAGCCAGGGACCTGGATCCTATGCCAGGCTCAGGAGCTTCTGAGCTGTGTGACCTGGGGCAGGTCCCTTGACTTCACTGAGCTACGGTTCCTGTCTGGAGAGTTCCTGGTCCTGTCAGACAGTTCCTTGTCTGGAGAGTGTGAGCTGCATGATGCTGCCTTGCAGCAGCCCTTTGCTGACCTAACTGGGCTCTGGCGAGCACCCAGTGAAGTGGATGACAAAAAGGCATGACAAAGATCAAGCAACTCAAGAAAGGTTTCCTGAATTGAGGTCAGCACAGTGAACTTCAGACAGGGAGTCTAGGAGGTTTGTGAGATCTATACCTGCTCAGCCACTAATCTACTGTGTGGCTTTGGGGAGGTCACTTCCTCTCTTCTGGGTGTCAGTTTCCTCATCTGTTGCAGGTGGAACCTAATGGTATTTAAGATCCCTTCAGGCTGTAAGAATGTGGGATTCTATGACAGAGCACCCTCCCTGTTAGACAGTGTAATCTACCCCCAAGACCTGGCTGAAAAGCACCCCCTCCTCTGAGAAATCTCCTGTAATTCACCCTGTGGGTTATTCACTTGTTTCTTTCCTTCCCATTTTTACATGGTAGAGTGGTTTTCTGTTTCTTTGTCTGTCTTATCATCAGACTAGGAACCCGAGGCTGGTCTAATTCCTTTGATCACCTCCATCCCGGGTACCAAGCACAGATCCTGGTATAGAATAGACCTCTTACTAAGGTTTGTTGGATGATGGATGAATTACGGTATGCCTGGGGCTATAGGTGCCTGAGAATGGTAAACATTCACCACACCCCACTTAGCCTGGCTGAAAAGTCCAACCAGGCCCACCTGTCTGTTTCTCTCTAGCGACCTGCCTGTATGAGACTGTCCCACGTGAGGACAGGGCTGCGGAGCTATGTCAAGCAGCCCCCTAGGATGTTGTTCAAGCTCTTTTCCTTTCTTGCTCACATAGACAAACACTTGGGCTTGCCTCAAGATAAAGAATGACAATCTCCAGGCCCCAGGATATCCTAGGTCCTGTCTCTGTAATTCCCATTTCTTCTGTACAACATTGAAAGGGCAATGACTTCCTGGTGACTCTGGAGGCTGGGCCTGGGGTCAGGGCTGGAACTTTCCCTTGAGGGCCCTTGGAGAGATGAAAAATCAGCTTAGTATTTGTTTGGGTTTACTCAGCACTTTTGCCAGGTGGTGGTTTATGGTGTGAAAGTAAACAGCAGAAAGCATACTATTCACTGAGGTGTGAGCCAGGAGAGGGGCGGGCTGCTGGGGCCAAAGCCATGGTGTTTTCAGGCAGCAGAGCACATGGAGCCCATCAGGGACCAAGAGAAGAGGCAGGCTTTTCCCCACAATGAACTTCCAGACTTCAGGTCTTAGCTAAAATGTACTTCATTCCTTTATTAAGTCACCTGGAGACAGTACGGACAAAAGACAGTAAGACTTGGAATCAGATGTGATTCCAGATCTCAGTTTTGCCTGCTCTATGACCTACTCAATAGCTGTAAGCTTCCTTTTCTTCCTCTGCAAAGTGGCAATGATGATGACAACCACTTCAGAGGCTTCTTCCTACCTTATATATAGTAGGTATCAATCAATTCATACTAATTCATGTATTCTTCTAATAATATCCACACATGCCTACTATATGCCAGAGACTGTACCTGGTGCTAGAAATACAGAGGTCAATAAGATATAATCTCTGCCCCCCAGGAGATCTCAGTCCAGATAAAGCACAAACTAATATTGGCATTCAAAAGATTATCCAAATAATCTATAGCTATGACTCATGCCTGCACCTTTTTGCTATGTACAATGAATTAAAGAACATGGAACTTAGGGTCAGACAAGTCTGATCTGCCTATGGCTTTACCACTTACTGGCTGGGTAATCTGCAAGCTGCCAATTATGCAATTCATTGAGCCTTGCTTTCCATTTCTGTAAAATGGGGTTGATAATTCCCACTTCACCAATTTCACAGGGTTGGTGTTAGATCAAATGAGGTAATATGTGGGAAAGCCATTTTTTATTTAACTAATGCTCACATCAAGTTTTACAGTTTGCAAAGCACTCTTCATGGACAATTTCTCATTGAACTATCACAACAAGGCTGTGAAAATGCCTGGCTATTATCCTTCTTAGTGGTGTGGGTACTGAGGCCCAGATAGTATGAGAACATTCTATGAGGTCATGTGATCATCTAGTGTCTTTTCATTGTTTTGACAATCCTTGGAACAGTACTTCAAGGCAGACATTTCACAGATAAGGAAACGAAGCCTCAGAACAGGCAAGGAACACTGACCTGTCACAGGTGGGCTTCCCTTTGAGAGAAACTCTCAGCTTTTCCAGCAGATCCCCACCTCCTGCCACTCCTGGCCCTGCTTATCCTTTGTTATATCCAAGTCAGACCCTGATATATGTGAAATGAAATGAGGTCCTCTACACAGAGTTTCCCAGGCACTTAGTCTCACCCTTCCCATCTGGAGACTACTGCTCTGTCCATCCAAACACTCAACTTCCTTGCCAGTTTACACTAGACATGCTCTCCTGGCATGAAGTTAAAGTGGCCTGGTGACTGGGCACTCCTCCACCAGCCCTTTACAAGCTGGGTTGTGAGCTCTTACACATTTTAATGGAAGGGCCCTTGATGTTTATGGGGTGCTAACTGAAGGTAATACAGCTTGGGAGTGCTTGGATTCTCTGCAGATGGGCCCATCTGACTGAGTGAAGAGACCCACAGACTCAAGATGAGAGTAGAAACCTGTGATGCTACTTTACCATTTGGCCTCAAGTCATAGTCCCTATTGTTTCTTTTTTTCTTATTTTCAAATACCTTGAAACAAAAGGAACTGTTTTATTTTTCCTTCTCAGATTCTGCTTTGACATTAAAGCAGATAAAATTTCCTGAAGTGGCTAGTGAAAGCTAAACAGGACTATGCTAAAGAATGTGCTTTGACAGCTCATATGTCTTTTACATAATGTAAGTGGTCCTTTGTGAAATGTGGGTTACAGCTCCTCTCCTAGTCACAAGTTCCCTTATGTAAAACAGGGATGACGTCAACTACTATACTTTGGAGGACTGCTGTAGGAATTACTTTCATTTGGTTGATTTCTTGGGTGCTCCCTGTGTGCAAGCCCCACAGTGGGCACTGGAGATCCCATGGTGATTATGACAGGCATGAATTTTTCCTTGACCTCAAGGAGTTTACATTCTAGCATGGCAGACAGATATAACCTAAATCAATTTAGCATGAACAAAAGTATAGCTTCTAACATAGTGCCTGGCACATATTCAGGATATAATAAATACACACATTTTTATGAGAAAGGAGATGTAGTGGCAAGTACACTAGACTAAACTTAGAAGACCAGATATGAATTCTGACGTTTGCAACATACCCAATAACAAGGGAGGGTTTGATAAATGCTAGTTGGCTTTCACATGACCAACATCAGAGCTTTCTGAATTAATGGAGGAGGGCTGGGGTCTGGGAGGAATCTTTTGAAGTACTAGGAGTACACAAGCCATAGAGGAGACTTGAGTTCAGATTCTGACTCCCCAGTTTCCTAGCTGTGGGTACTTGGGGAACTTAATCTCTCTGAGACATAATTCTTTACCCCTAAAATGAGGAGAGTAATAATGGTCCCCCTCTAGGATGAGTGGTGACAACTGAAGAAAATAGTTTATATGAAAAGCTCTGTGTACACTATGCTGTGTATGACTAATTGATGAGGACCTAAGATGATTCCATCAGCACAGCTCCAAGTAACCCAGCAGAGGAATGTGTTCCTGAAGAATGAAATATTTGCTTTTCTAGTAGTGGTCTCAAACTTTGGGGCTACTACTAGAAAAGCATGCTCTTCCTCTGGTCACCTAGCATGGCATCATCAGCCAAGAGTATCAAAACCTAGGTAGAAGCCATTTGTATTTGTAGCCTGGACTTCCTCTCAAAATCAGAGGAAAATCTCCAACTGTCCAAAAATTCCTATTCCAAGCTTACAGAGTTCTTGATTGAACTGTACAGGCCCTTGGAGATGAACCTGGCAACACGTGAGCTCTTCCCCTACAGAAAGTCAAACCCATAGCACCACCCTTTCCCTACCCCACCTCTTCCCTGCCTCACCCGTGCACTGTCCTCTCTCTAGATTGGAAGCCCACCTGATGGGAAGATCAATGTGGTCCCCTGGCACTAGCACCAGGTGTGGCCCAGCATGGCTTTCAACAAATGTTTGTTGAAAGAATAGATGAATGAAAAAAGCTTTAATGGAAGAGGTGTATGTCGGTTGATGCGACTCTATCTCAGTGCCACGTTGTACACAGGTTATTTTGTTAAATATATTATGTAGAGGCTCAGTGTCCTTTGTGCCTAAGCTTCTTAGAAACTCATTTTCTCCAATCTCTGTGTGTGAACTCTGTAATTTAAAACAATGCCTCAGTCCTTACACCCACAGACACATCTTCTTCATGCTAATGCCCAAGTCACACTTGTTCTCTTTCTATGATGTGGAAGGGGGTGAACACACGAGGAAGAGGCGAAAGAGCAGGGAAAAGACACAAGGTTTGGCTCTTGGTTAATTATGTCAAAAAATGTATATGTACAGGAAAAGCTGCCCCAGGCTCGTCTCATTAGATGTTAATCCCCGTGCAAGCCCAGATGAAGCCTGGGACCTATCGCTGCTACGTTTTAATTTGTCTGGACTTACTTTACAATCCTGTTCATTAAAATAGCTGGTAGGGGAAGCTGTGCCTTTCTCCGAAAGGGAAAGACTTATGCACAATTTTCCCACAAAATTTCTTCTACTTGGAAAGATGCTCAAAACTGATACAAGTAGGGGGTAGAAGGGCCCCCGCCCAAAGATCTGCACGCCTTCCTGCTGAGCAAGGAACAGGTGCAAATGAAGCTGTTTCTAAAATTCCAGTCATGTGGAAACAGAGTCTTGCTCCCCGGGACCTCCTGGGAAGTCCTTTCATAAGTCTGCATTTAGCACTAGAAGAGGTAATAAGTATAATTGTTCTATTTTGCTGAGGACCTGAGATTCCAAGAGTGACCTTAAGAAATTTTAATAGAGGGTTAATTTTAAATGATTCCTGCCACGATTTTTTGTTTTATCACTAGCTCATCTGAGTTACTGCACAAGTGGGGGAGTTTATCAGAAATTCTGGCATACTTAAAGTCCAAGCCAAACCATTAATAGTCAGCATTTGAGGCAAAAATAAGAAAATGAAGTACCTTCAATGTTCCAGAACTGCAACTGTTGTTGTTGGAACACAAATATTAACTCATTAAATTCTCTCAATAGTCCTGCAATGATGCTTTCACTCCCATATCATAGTTGAGGAAACAGCTTGGAGACATTAAGTGCTCAAAGGTACTTAGCTAGAAATGAAAGGTGACTGTGATTCACATGATTTTTGGCCTATGAGTTGTGGGATCAGGTTTAGACAATACCTCAGATGCCATATGAGTGTATCCCCTGATTGTTAATTACATCTTAGATCATAGCCCCAGCTAGACTATAAGATCTCTGGAATCAGTGTTTTCAGTTTCCTTCCTCACCTCAACCCAATGCTGACTGTGTTAAGCACTTTTCCTTTTGTTTGTCTGTTTATCCGTCTGTTCATCCTCCATCCAACTGTCTGCTCATCCATCAGCCCATCTATCTGTCCATCCACCCAAATGTGTAATCACCTAACCAGCTGTGTGTCACCAGGCCATCTAAGTGTCCCAACTATTTCATGTTTATGTGCTGGAAAGCATCAGGGAAAGGAGGGGTTGAAGATACTGGAGGGAGCAAGGGGATGCTCAGCTGAGGTGCCTTTCAACAGGTAGAGAGGACTGTTTCCGAAGCACAATCAGAGGAACGGGCATAGTGGGTACTTCACCCTCTGGGTAGAGGGATCAGACAGAGTCATGTGGGACACAGTCTGTATGGGAAGCAGGCAGGATAATGGGGCAGCACTAAACTATTGGCCTCAGCGTTCTCCGTGAGGTAGGAGGCGGGAATCTCCCTGGAGCAGGGTGCTGGTGAATAGATGTGAACATTTGAAACAGCCCCCTGGCGAATGAGAGCGAGAACTCACAAAGTACAAGAACTGCAGCTGGGAGGGCCCAGGAGAGGCTAAAGATCAGGAGCATGATGTGATTTGGCTTAGTGGCATTCAGAAGCACAGCTTTGAGATCAGAAGTGGTGAATGGTTAAAATGATCCTGGGTTTTGCAAGGTGGATGTGGAATAAAGGCACAGAGACCAGGGAGCTGTGAGTGATGGACCAGCGGAAGAGCAGAAAATGTAGAAGGAGATTGAGCCAGGAGAGAACTGGCACTGGGTAGGAAGTGGCCTGGTTCTGGCCAGGACATTTCCTTTAGGTGGATTAGTGTCAAGGAAGAAAAAGAGCAAAACTAGAGGAGCAGGCTTTATGGTTAGAAAAGAATTCTCTAGATGGGAAAACTAGGGCCCATCTAGGAAGTACCTTATCCTATGCCACACAGTGACATGCATGTCAGTACTTGAGTAGGAACTTGCTGGCTGCCTTGGCAAACAGTCAATGTAAGGGGGCAGCTGGACAAGTAGCTGCCAGATGGTGGTCGCTGCGCTCTTTGGGCCTTCTTCTGTGCTTCTGCCTGGGCCATTTCCATAGTCTGGGCTCCTTTACCGTGATCTTCATGTATTCAAATCTAAATGTGCTTTGAGTTCTGGCTCCAATGCCACCTCCTCCTTGAAACCCCCTCCCGGCAGCTGGAAGGAGTTTCACCTTCTGCCTTCCCAAAGCACTTTTACGTGGATCTCCCTTTCTCAGGGTTATTAGTCTACCTGAGTTGTCTAGAGAACCCTGCCATCATCAAATTAATCTCTGCATTCCCTAGTGAGTCTTACACAGGAAACATGTCTTCTGACTGTATCTGTATTGCCAGATTCCAGTGGTACAGGACAGAGTGCTCACGTAACTGTTCAAGATTCTGTGATTTTTCAGAGAAGAGGCTTGGAATCAGGTAAGAGCCTGCTCTGCTACTTCCTAGCTATGTGAAACAAATACTGCACACCTTTGAGCCTTATTTTTGTCATTTATAAAATGGTGATAATGATATCTATCTATCAGAGTTTTAAAACAGATTTAAAAATATACTGAGCATCTACTATGTGACAGATAGGCCTAGGGGCTGAGGATACGAGATTATATGAAATTATTCGTATCCACAAGAAACTCAAGTCTGCCTATGTGTGTAAATGTGCACAATGCCAGCCACCATGCCCAGCACACAGTAGGCTAATTAAAAGTTAGCTTTTTCTCCCACAGACCAGATCTCCATATATTTTGTACAAATTAGCATTCTGAAAGTATGGCACCCACGCTGTCTCCCTGCCTCCCTCACTAAGTTGGACAGATGGCTTTCAGTCTCAGTGCAGGTTTCAGGAAGAAGCCAGAAGGGGAAGAAGGTACAGCAAAGGAACCTCTGACTTCCTTACAGTAATTAGTCTCCTTTAGACATTGAGGCCAAACCCAAGCTACTCTCCTGTGCTTTTCAACTTCCCTCCCTATCACCCGAGAGTCAGAGCTGCTTCAAGCCATGGCTCTGTTCCACGGATCGAGATGGCGGAAAGTTAATGAGCCTTGGAAACCACACGGCCTTTCACCTCATTCAAGGAGCTTGGAGAGCTTTCAAACCAAGCAGAAAAGTGGATTCCAGTATGTGGGTGCAGAGCAGGTCTCCACATCTATTCCCCCAGGACTAGATTTTCAAGTCTTTACAAAGCACCTACCACAGGAAGCAGTAAGCCACTGCTATTCCTCTTAATTGGAGAGTATCTGGCTTCCTGATTAGAGGAGTTCAAACCCAGCTTGGAGGAGGCCTCCAAATAGGAGCTGACTTTGCAGAAGGATAACAAGTCAGGAAAGAACTAGTGAGCAAGGAAGCCAAATAACGAGACTGGGATGTGTATTTTCGGCCAGGACTGGAACACAACCTGACCCCCACTAAAAGGGCCCAACTGGGTGAAATGAAGAGACAGCTGATGTTACACTCTCTTCCTAATGACCTCTGACCCTAATAACCTTTTGTAAAAGGCTCATTTCTCCACTCAGTCATAAGCTCATCTATCTAACTCTTTCCTGGACACTTCCACCTGGCTGTCCCCCAAGAACCTCCAACTGTATGCTGACAATAGAGTAGGTTTCTAAAACCAAACCTGACCTTGTCACACCTCCGCCTAAAACTTCTCAGTGGCTCCCAAAGACAGAAAAAACCTAAACTCCTTCAAGATTATTCATGCTGGCTTTCCTCATCTTTTCCCCCTCTCACTACTGCCACAAATATCCTAAAAGCTAAGCCACTTCAAGCTACTCATCTTTCCTAGAAAATGCCTTGATCTCCCATCTTTGTATATGTTGCAAATCTTTGACTTCTACAATTGGCTGTTGCAAGGTGCTTGCCTCTTCCTTTTATCACTACCTACTCATATCCAACCTCCACCACCACCTTGAATTCCACTTCCTCCAAGAAGCTTCCCTGACCATTGGTTGAGAGCAATTGTTCTTTTTCTGAAACCCTTGTAGTAATATTAGTACACCAAAGTCATGATCCAATTTACATGGTTCCTCTGGCAGTGTTACTAAATGAAGTGCTATCCAAAACCTGATACCTGATTTACTGGCAGTTTCAGCACAAACCTTGGTAATAGCCAATGGCAGAGTTGTGCAGAGGATAAACATGGGCTCTGAAGCCAGAGAAGCCTGGAAGTGAATCATTGTTTTCTCAGAGTGTCTTTGAGCAAGTCACGCAAGTTCTCTGGACCCTGGTTTCCTGGGAGTAACACCATCTGCAATGTCAGAGGTTAATGTATTTGCTGTTTGAATAAGTCATGAAGCACGTACATGAAGGAGCTCTGTAAAATATAAAATTTCCATTGAAAGAACAGTTTTTTTTTAAGATTACAAGTTATAATAACAGCAGTTTGATTCAGGAAGACAACTAGAGATTTTGTACAAGATATCAGCTTGGGCATCCAAATAGAAACTTCATTCTGAAGCCCAATTTCAGAAGGGCTTATATTTGCATACTGAAGAGATCCAATTCTGATAGAAAACGTTCCAGGGCTGTCAGGGGAAATTCTACTAAATTACAAATCTGCCAGCTCTTGGTTTATCAACCTTTAACTCTGGCAGTATTTAGCAGCATGCTTGTCTGGGCCCAATTTTCCAGTCTTTGATTAAATGTTAGGAACTGACCATCTCATTGTGTCTAAACCGCCACACTACCTCCCAGGCAACTGGGAGGCTCTTCCGTGCCGCCCTCTGACACTTCCCTTCCTCTCTATGCCACTGTCAATCTCCTGGATATTTATTATTCTGAACTTTGATTTCAGGCTATCACTTGCTGTTGGGAAGGGGTACAGGAAATGTCAAGTCTCAATGGATATTATTCCTCTGGAGAGATTCTAACCTTGAGTTTCCCCTCCTATAACATGCCTATACAGAAATAGCCTAACTTGATTGTTTCCTTTTGATGTTTAATTGGATGTTGGTGCTGTGCTTTCTGGACTGAGAAGCTAATGCTTCTCAGAGAAGGAACAATTCTAGCTACACAAATGAGACTTGTAACAGGGGAGAATGCTCAATGCTGAATCTAATTTTCTCTCCCATCCATGAACATAAGACAATTTCTCTGGCATTAAAGCATCTCACTCAGTCTTTCTGTCATTAATAAGAATTAAATTCTGTTCCCTCAAATTTAAATGTAATTATATTTTGCCTCGTAAATAAAATTGAATTTAGCTCTAGTGCAACTGCTATGTTTAGAGCTTTAATTATTTTAACCCGGTTGCTACTTTAAGCTTATTTTTGTTAAAGCATTGAGTTTATTTTGCTGTCGATTGTGACCTAATTTGATAACAGGGCTTTTCAGCGCCATATCCATCTAGTCGTTATTGTTATTATTTATGCTTTGTGATTCTCTTTCCCTTTGGGTAGGGGAGGAGATTAATAGAGAATAAACTGAAAGCTTAGAGGATCTGAGTGTGAATTCTGGAGGGTTCCACTGTGTTAAGGTAGAATCTAGGCCAGATTGAGTTGAGAGAGCCAAAGAAAGAGATCTGATGTGGAGTCTGAAAGGGCAACAGTCAATGTTCATTGACAATTATTTTAAGCCAAGATTTTCGGCACAGCATTCAGCGGGCTCCGAGGTTTGGATCCTGCCTACCTCTGGCCTTCTTTCCTGCCACCCACCCCTGCAGCTTCTATCTCCAGCTGGACTGAGCCGCGACTGTCCAGCTGATCATGCATGCTCTCTACTTGTGCACACGCTGTTCCCTTGGCCTGCACTGCCCTCTCCTCCTTGGCCACCAGGGGGCCTCCCTTCAGTCCCCTTTCAGGGTCTGGCTCACAGATCTCTGGCTGGTGACAACCTTCTCCATTTCCTCTCCCATCCCATTACTGGCCAAGTTCACTGCTTCTGCTTTTGTGCTCCCAAACCCTACTGTACACACAACAATCAGAGCTCTGCTCATGCTGAATAATTAGGCGTCTCATTTCCTGACCAGGCTGTGGGGCTGTCTGATCCTCGGTGCCTAAAACAGTGAATGCCCAGCACACAGGATAGGCCAGAAAGATTCAGTGAATGAATGCAGTGAATGTGTCAGCGTGGGAGCAGGTCTGGAGCTACTGTGGGGTGCTCTCTCTGAGGAGGTTGTGCTCTTCTCTGGAATGGACCTCAGGAAGCTTGTGATGCTGAGAGGAGGCTGACCCTAACTCCCTTGTGCTGTGGGCCACTGACCTAGTTGTTTGGGGTTAATGTGTCAGCTTTTATCTGACTCTTCATCTAGACAATGATCTAGATAATGACTCTTCATCTAGAGTCAATGACCAGTGTTGGGGCTGGGGAAAGGGGATGGTAGAGAGATTCAGAAACTGCAAGGAAACTGCGCCTCTGAGAGAGCAAGTGAGTTGTTTACGGTTACACAGATTCAGGTCCAGGCCTTCTGGCTCCAAACCTTCACTGTATAAACTGTCCTAAGAATTACACTTGTTAGAGTCTAAGGACTGTTTGGATAACTTAAATCTAATCATGCATTCTAAAACTATATAAAACTACTTCATTTATTGACTGCTTACTGAATGCAGCCACCATATACATGTGAAATCTGATTTGGAAAACAACCCTGCAAGGCAGGTGTCATTAGCCATAGTCTATGCTTAAGCTTAGTGTTGAAAATCTAGCCTGGTCCTACTCCAAATTTCATGCAATTCTTGCTGACTGCACGTGTTACCTCCAAACCTGTGCCACTGAATCTCTAAAACATCTCCACCTGTTATTCCACAAAACTCAATTGCAATCAAATGATAAGAATCATAAACCCGCAGCATGAGCATTTTACAGGCAAAATCTCTGCCATGTATTGCTTCTGTGAGCCAGCAACCCTAAGGAATAAAATATAGGGAGAGGGCCCTCTCAAATAAAAGTCATTTATGGGAGACAAGACTGGAGAGAGCTCATATAGCAGTGGAAATGAGGAATAAATTTATGAGGCTGAGGAGAGAGGCTATGGGGGTAAGGGTGGGGAAGGAAGACCTGAGGGAGAACCAACAGGGACAAATGATGAGTCTAAGGGATGGCTTTTGAAAGCGTACCATGGAAAATGCCACAGAGGCTAAAATCTTTAGAAGCCATTAAGCTCTGAAAGAAAGGTGAGCCTTTCCAATTCTAAGGACCATCTCAAAGAGATTAAATTCTTTCCCTTTTCTGAGACAGCTCTGAGCCAAGAGGGTGAAAAGCCAACTAAAGCACAAGGAAGGGGAGATGGGAGGAGTTGTTCTGCTCAGCAGTGCTGCTGAGTGTACCCACTTTATGCAAAAGTTGATGAGGCATTCAGCCCAGCAGGCCTGCTCCCTAGGGAAGATGGCTTGAAGGAGGTGAAATGATGCCAGCTCTTGTCCAGGAGGGCTTCTGGCTGGCTGGCACTGCGCATGAAACTAACATGATCTAGGTCTGGGAAGTGACAGACAAGGAGCACAGAGATTTGGTGTTAGCCCAGCACACTGTGTGGGGAGTGGGAGGGAAGGGGTTTATGAGGAGGTGGGGAGGAGGTGGAGTCCTGAGAGAAGGGATTAGGTTCGCTGTCGGGTAGTGTGCTGGGATCTTCCTGGACAGAGCTTTCGGCTGCAGCCCCTCTCTTCCCTGTGTTTCCAGGGGGCTCTTTTTCTTTCTTTGACTATTCACTGGTTAAGTCATTCATGCAATAATCACCAAGAACCTAATGTATGTTTGTCCCTATGCTAGGGATACTTATAGGCCCTGACCTCACAGAGTTCACAGGGGAGAGAGAGAGAGAGAGAGAGAGAGAGAGATTGATTAGAATACATCAGTCAATATAACATAGTGTTTAGGAGAGACCTTGGAGCCAGATGTGGTTTGAATCTGGACTCCGCCACTTATGAGTCGGGTGAGGGTTGGGGGAGAAAAGGGATGCCAGTATGTAATTTAATCTTTCTGAGCTTCAGTTTCCTTATCTGGAAATGGTAATACTAGTAATACTTCCTTCCCAGGGTTCTTATGAACCTTAGCTAAGATAAGGTTGTAAAGGACTTAGTTCAGTGCCTGGTACATGCTAAATACTAAGAAATGGATGGCTCTTTGTTACTCTATCCTGTGGCTTGTCAGAAAGAGAGATAAGAATGGCAACATGAACACCTCTTTGGATAGAAAGGGGGCATGAGGCAAGAGCTGAGGACTTGGGAACAAAGGGCCTGGATTTAATTCAAACTGCCTCAGGTAAGCTGAGTCACTTAGGGCCAGTCATTCCCCGCTTCCAACTCTTTTCTATCTGTTTAACAGCAACAGCAGTAGCCACCTCCCCCACCATCACTACCACCACCATGATCAGTATCATCCTCACAAGTGACTCAGGAAGTGAAGTCCCACTGGGGCCTATGTCCTGTGCTCTTCTGGGGCATAAGAATCTGTTGCAACAGTTATGTCGTGTGATTTATCAGGAAGGAAGACCACATGCATGAGGCTGGACTGAAAGAGGAATTTCTGAGACGAGACTGGAAGCCAAGTTGCCAGGAAGCCAGGGAACTGAGTAAACACTTGTATAAAATCTGACTTCACTGTTTCCACAAACCTAACCAAAGTGCTGAGGAACTTGTCAGCTCACATTTCAATACAGGGCTGGTTGTTGAGTGCAGGGCATGTTGATTTAAGCTGCTTTCATTAAATCCTGTTCTTGGTGCCAAACAGCAAGACACTCATCTCAGGGAATAGACAGTGTTCCCTCCTAGGAGGCAGCAGGCAGCAGGGGCCCATCTCTACCAACCCAAGAACCCAGAACCAATGCTGATGGTGCAAGGATCACTTGGGATTTGTCCTTTGGCCTGCAGCTCCTGATGGGAGGGACTGGGCAGTGTCTGTGCCAGCTCTGCCATGCCAGGCAGCAAGCAGCATAAGCAAGATGACTTGAGCTACCGTTTGTCTAGGGTGTGAGCTGTGCCAGATACTACAAGAACTACTTTGCCCAAATTTCCTCACCTAATCCTCACAGTGATTCCATAAAGTAATTTTACCTAAGGGAAAATTAAGGGTTAGAGGGTTAAGCCACATGATGAAGCCATTCAACGAGTGGGGAGCAACTCTTCCCCCAAAAAGCCCAGTGCCTGTTCTGCTGCCCTGTAGCTAACTCCCTAAACAGAAAGATAGTTTCTTGGCTCTAGTGAATCCAGGCAACGAGGCATTCCTTGCATAGCTTCACTGCAAAAACTCAATAGCTTTAAAACAGCTTTCACTCAATGAAAGTGCCCTTGGAAGGGAGGTGGTAGAAAGACATTAAGTGCTTACTGTATGACGGACACTGTTCTACGTGCATACCAAAACGATGTACTTTAATGATTACATAACCCGCTGAGGCAGGTACTATTACTATCTCCATTTTTCAGATAAGGAAACTGAAGTCAAGAAAAGTGAGCTTTCTTGCCAAGGTCGCATGGTTAACATGTGGCAGAAGCAGGGTGGAACCCAGGCCAGCAGTTCCTGCACAGCAGGGGCTGAGGAGAGAGAACAGTTGAAATGCCCTCATTCTCCTTCAAACCAGCTTCCAGAGGTGAAGTGACAGCTGAGGAGGAACGTGGCCTGTGGAGAGTGCTGGAAAGCAGGCTGCCCCAGCGTGGGGCCAAGCCTTGACTCCCAGCTTCCTCCCTCACCAGCATGGCTCATGCAAGTCACGGCCACTCCTCTAGCCTCATCACAGGAACAGGGGCAATACCGTACCTGTCATCCCAACCTCACAGGGCTGCTGTTGCGCAGGGTGTGTGTTGCCATGTGAAACATCTTTGTATGCTATGGGACACTCAACAAACGCCAATTGTTTTCACTATTACAATACTTTTAAAGCTGCCTTTTATATTCCTGGCCTTGTGGCAATCATGAGACCCTTCTAGTCATTTATAGGATAGAGATTTAAAAATTAGAATCTATATTTCTGAAAGGGATTTCATCTTCCATCTTATAATCAAATGTCTTTGTTAATATCAAGTGCTCTACCAATGAGTGTTTTAATCATCATCATAACAACAGCTAACAACTATTGAGCTCATATAATGGGCCAAATCTTTTTTTCTTTTCTTTTTTTTTTTTTGAGATGGAGTCTCACTCTGTTGCCCAGGCTGGAGTACAGTGGCACGATCTCAGCTCACTGCAACCTCTGCCATCCGGGTTCAAGAGATTCTCCGCCTCAGCCTCCTGAGTAGCTGGGATTACAGATGCTTGTCATTGCGCCCGGCTAATTTTTGTAGTTTTAGTGGAGACGGGGTTTCACCATCTTGGCCAGGCTGGTCTTGAACTCCTTGACATCATGATCTACCCACCTCGGCCTCCCAAAGTGCTGGGATTACAGGCGTGAGCCACTGTGCCCAGCCTTTCATTTTCTTAAATAATTCTCACTATAACTCCAGAAGGTAGGTACTATCATTATCTCCATTTTATAGCTTCAAAGGGTAAAGTAACTTGCCCAAAATTATAATTAGTAAGTAGCAGGGCCAAGATTTGAAACCCCCAAAAAAAGATTTGAACCCAGGTCTGTCTGACTCAGGGACTTTCCTCATCACATGGTTCTCTCTTGCCTTTGCACATGAGGACAGATACGTGTTTGACACCAGTTACGGGGAGTGGTATAGCCAGGACTGAGGAAAGGGAGATCTCATAATTCTATTCAAAGTCCCTTCTAATAGTTCGGTTGTTTCCGTTTACTGAGCTAACTAAAGAATACTTAGTAATCTCATCCAAAGTTATACGTACCTCCTCAGAGGCTGTGGGGTTTCATCAGGGATTAACAGTGCAAGACGCAGTTATATACCTATCATAAATTAGCTTTGTGGCCACATAATGAACAATGCAAGCCAGCGTAGCTTTAAGAGGACCATTTATTATATCGCTATAAACAGAGCTATATAAAAAGAATTATTCCTAAGACCCTGCACATCTGTGCTTACAATCATGCCTTTACATGAGCTTTGCAAACAAGGATAAAAGTCCAATTTAGACTGTGTATTGAACATCAATTCTCTATTCAACAGGGAAAGGTAATTCAAAGTATCCCAAAGGCATGAATGCTACATGGATCTCATTTTTGCCAAAGGTCTCAGCCATCTTTCTTGGTCACAACCAGAACTGTTAATACACAACATAATGAGCTAATCTGATACTCACTTTGTTTAAACAGCGTGGAGTGCCGAGGAAAATGATTTTGAGTAAAAAAGCATAGCTGGAGATGCTATCACTTTTTAGCTTTTTGTCCCTGGGCAGGATCACTTAAAATTTTTCCAAGCCTTAGCTTCTTTATCAGTTCACTTATCTCCATTTTGTTGTTGTTGTTCCCCTCCCCTTTCCCAGAATGCACACTCTACGAAGGCAGGGGCTCTTTGGTCTCCATCCTCTCTGATTAGAAGAGTGCCTGGTATACTGTAGGGGCTCAGTAAGTATTTGCTGTTTAAAGTATTATGTAAATTGGTAAAACATGGATAGCTGACAGCTTTCTTGTAGGGTTTTTGTGCAGATTAAATGAGAGATGAGACGTGACCATAACCCACTATATACCTATACTGTGCTAGGTGACTCACGTATGTTCCCATTTAATCTTCACTTTGAAAGGACCTGTAAATCATAGTGTTTTCAAACAGAAGGGTGCCAACATAATTATCCTTTGTACCTTATATGTACAAACCCTGTGATGAACCAAATGCCACAATCAAGAACACATTCAATCATGTGTTCATGCATTCATTTATCATTATTTATTGAGCAGGTGCTGTGGGTCAGGCCATGCTGAGTCCTGGGGCTGCAGAGGTGAACAAGACATGTTTGCTACCCTCATGGAGCTTAGTGACTAACAGAGCATTTGGCTAGAAGGGCAGGTGGGGGCCAGATCCCAAAGAACCCTAAACACTACACTGAGTTTGGACTTCATTCTGAGAAATGGGTGAAACTGAAGGGTTTGATGGCTGGGACATTTATCCTATAAGGCCCACCCCTACAGAGCTTACCTAGGTACACTTTCCCTATGGCCTTGCCTCCAGGGATGATGTCTTAACATGAGATGAGAGTTCGGTGAAACACATCTGTAATTATAAGCTCCATTGTTAAGGGGTAGTTTTGAATCTCAGGGCCACTACTATGGAAGGAATGATGTAAGGATGTAATTTTTGAATCCTCTCTTTGTCTAAGAGTAGAGGTGTTGAAGGCTAGAGTTCAGAGAAAGAGGAAAAGCACTCAGAGGCACGGGGAATGCATTGCTACGTGATTGGGAACAGTCACGTGATTGGTGACCATGTCACAGTGGAAATCCCCTCCCTCTACCCATGCTTCTTCTCCCCCTGCATTTACCGATAGAACAGTCGTGTCCAGTCCAGCTTGGGTCACAGCTGCAAAGCCCGGTGTCCGGGAGGAAGGTTCCGTGGCCTGAACACTGGTCTAAGCATGTGGCCCTGGGGGTCTCGCAGTTGGTGCCTCCCCATCCCACAGAGCAGTGGCATTCGCCTCTCACGCAGACACCCCGGCCTGAACATGTGGGGTCCATGCAGTCCACTGTGAGATGGAGGAAGGAGAACATAGGTAAGCATCTGACCAGCAAAGGTGAGGCTTCTTTAAGCAAACTACTTAGCTTTGTGGCCAAGGGGCTTCATACATTCTGGCAGAAGGATGCATAGGTCACTTAGTAAGGTGAGAGCAGTACTGCGGCAAATGGCAGACCTGGCTTCCCAACTCCACCCAGGTAGAAATCCCTACCACTTCGTTTGTGGGGCAAAGTAAGAAATGTGTCTCAAGCATCAGCATAGCACTTCATGTCTACTAGATTCTGTTTCATTCACTTCTGAATCTCCACCTCCTAGAACATTGCCTAGCACACAGGAGGTGTTTAATAAGTCTTCATAGAATGAACTTTTATTATCACTTCATAATGCAGGTTTATTTTTGTAGGCATGAGACTAAAATAGATTCCTTCATTTAAATGATAATTTATTTTTAATTAAATTCCATTAGATTTTATCATCTTCCCCAAATTCTTGAGATTGATATGAACTTTCAAACTTCACTTTCCTGGCCAGGTGTGGTGACTCACACCTGTAATCCCAGCACTTTGGGAGGTTGGGGTGGGAGGATTGCTTGAGGCCAGGGGTTTGAGACCAGCCTGGGCAACACAGCGAGATCCTGTCTCTACAAAAAATAAAAAAATGAAAAAAATTAGCTAGGCATGGTGGCACACGCCTGTAGTCCCAGCAACTTGGGAGACTGAGGCAGGAAGATTGCTTGAGTCCAGGAGGTCAAGGCTGCAATGAGCTATAATTGTGCCACTGCACTCCAGCCTGGGCAGTGAGCAAGACTCTGTCTCTAAAAAACAAACAAACAAAACAAAGACAAAAAAATTCACTTTCCTGAGGGCAAACACTTCAATATGTGCTGACTTTGCACAGCTTCTCCTCATGTGGTAGGTGAGTCACATAGTGGTGGCTCACAGCCAGGCAGCCCTTTAGTGCTCCCAGGGCCAAGGGTCAAAGTGGTCTCAGGAGACCAATCCAGAAAGAGGGAAGAGAGAGTAACATTGTGGGTTATCTGCTCTGTGCTTACATGCTAAGCACTTTATATACACTATCAGATTCAGTTTTCTCAGTAACCCAGTGAGATACAGATGAGGAAACCGAGGCTCTGAGAGGTAAATAATTTATGCCAGATCACACAGCTAAACTCTGCCAGAGAGGAATTCTTTTCCTGATTTCTAAAATGGTGGTAAAATACACATACATAAAATTTACCACCTTAGCCACTGTTAAGTGTACAAGTCAGTGGTGTTAAGGACATGGATACTGTTGGGCAACCATCACCACTGTCTCCAGAACTCTTTTTATCTTGCAAAACTGAAACTCTGCACCCATTAAACAATTTCCTATTTCCCCTTTCCCTCAGCCCTCGACAACCACCATTCTATTTTCTATCTCTATGAATTTGACTACTCTAGGTACTTAATGTAAGTGGAATCATCCAGTATTTATCTTTTTGTGATGGCTTATTTCACTTGTCATAATACCTTCAAGGTTCATCCATGTTGTGGCACGGCCAGAATTTCCTTCCTTTTTAAGGCTGAATAATATTCCATTATATGTTCATACCTCATTTTGTTTATCCATTCATACATCAACTGAAATTCAGGTTGCTTCCAACTTTTGGCTATTGTGAATAGGTTGCTATGAACACAGATATACAAATATCTCTTTGGGACTCTGCTTTCAATTCATTTGAGTATATGTCCAGAAAAGAAATTGCTGGATCATATGGTAAATTCTATTTTTGATTTTTTGAGGAACCATCATGCTGTCTTCCATAGTAGTTCTACCATTTTACATTCCCACCAGTAGTGCACAAGGGTTCCAATTACTCCACATCCAGAATCTGAAGACAGCTCTGTCTGATCCTGAGGCCAATATTTCTATCAGGGGCTGACTTTCCCTAATCAAAGCTTTAGTTATGGGGCTACAACAACATTAACAGAGACCTCTAATCTTCTGCAAAGCACTGCATGGAAAAGGAGAAGAGTACTGAGAATTAACTGAAGTGGCTCCAGTTCATATGGAAAGTGCAACAGGTGGCAGAGAGAAGACAGGATTGGTAAAGGAGGTCGATTCATGTTCTTTCTCTACCAAAAAGTTGTTAGGTCTATCTTTCTCTTTAGGGAGGTAGGGATGCTATTCATTTTATAATTGTTAGGGGACGGTGGTATCCTGGGGAGAAGGGGCAACATGTAGCTGTTGGAGAAAGGGTGCTGATGACACTGTGATGAGTATGGTCAGGCCCCTCCTAATAGGAACTCACTAGGGAGCCCTATGCTGCAGAAGAAAAAGCTCTCCATTTGGCCTCAAGGGTCAAGGGACAAAATGTACTGGTTCTAGGTCCATGGTCCAATTACATAACTGCTCTGTGCTTCCCATCTATAAAGCAGGTATGGTAAAGATACTGACTACTGACTTCTCAGGTTGCTATGAGGAGCAAATGACATGATGATTTGAAAGGACCGTATAAACTGTTGCAAAGAGGTTATCTTCCTATCCTATCAGGACATTCAGTAGCATAGCTTGGGGTAAACTATGGTCAGAGCTCATTTTAATTCAGACATCCTTTAAATGTATTCATTAATTATATTTTGTAACCTGGTATATTTGACTTTTACATAAAAGACTGGGAAACCCAGGCTGGGTAGGTAAGAGTCACAGACACAAATGGGCAAAAACTTTACAAATGGCAATATTCTGGGAACATTTATTTTGAGAACTAGCTTATTAAGAAAGTTATTTTGCTATTTAGGGTCTTAAAGGTGTTCAACCTAATAACCTAAATGATAAATAAGACGATCGGGGTTCAGGAGTGATCATTTGGTAATAACACAGTAATGATCACAATAACAATCAACATTAACTTATTCCCTCTTCTCTGCCATATTTTGCTATTAAGCATTTCATGGACATTATCTCATTTAATCCTAACAATGTAAGTATGAGGTAGCTACTTTTATCATGTTCATTTGACAGCTGAGGAAACAGAAAGCACAGAGAAGTTAAATAACTTGCCCAAGATTACACAGTAGTATGGCAAATGGAAGAATTTAAATTTGAATCACCCTTTCCTGGTTAGGCCTCTTACCATTTCCCCTTACAATCTTACTGGTTCAGAAATACATGCATGCATATATACTTACATAAACACAAAAAATGTCTTAAAAATAGAAATCAAAACAAGAAAAGAAATAGAGCAATGTGGAGGATTAATGAAGTCAAATGAAGGCAAAGAATCTCTTCTCCTGCAGTCTCCTGACACCATTCAAAAATGGTTAGAGCATGACCTGTTGGAATGCCTGATAATTAAAAATAATAAATGTAATAATTGTGATAAATTCTCATGACCTGCCTCAGATCTTGGAACCTCAGAAGGATTATTCTGGCCCATTAGGCTTCTGTGACAATCCCCTAGACCCAGAGAGCTTTCCAATTTGACAGGAAACAACTCAGCAATTCCTATCCTGAGGCCAATAAAGGTATTTCCTTTTCTGTAAGTGCCTGAACCTCAACTTTGGGTTGAAACTGTCTCTGAGAATCCCAGGGCACCCTTGAGGTCGAACCTATAAATCCCCATCATTAGCAAGCAGGCTGGGAGGGTGCCAAGTGCAGCAAGAGGCTCTGGGTGGCACAGGCGTGTGCTTCCTTAGACGTAATGAGTCTAAGGAAGGACTTAGGAACCAGCAAAGTGAATCCTACACTCCCAGCAGATGGCCCAGGCAGAGAACAAAGATCAGAAGGAACTGACGAGAGGCTACCTCCAGGCAATTAATCTTTGCTTCTGAAGGTCAACTGGGTCAAGTTATTGTGGAGCAGGAGGGAAGTTTTAAGGAAGACTGCATCTCAGGAGGGAAGGCAGCTCCCAGAAATCTAGGCTGAACTGGCTGAGGTTCCTGCTGGGGCTGGGCAGACACTGTCCTTGTGCTCTACTGATCCTATAGGGCCAGTATCTATGCCACAATGATGCTCTGCCAAAGAGGTGGTAGGTAGACTCTGCCTCTGCCTTTGCATCCTGGAGCCTCTGGGGTGGTGATTAAAGTTGGCTTCTTTCCATCACACTGGGACAGCTTCAGGAACAATGGTGATTTCCCAAGGAGCTGTGTGTAAAGTGGGGAGAAGCGGCCAGCTTGGGGTGGAAGGGAGTGGTGATGAAGGAGTAGGAGCAATGGTCAGGGAGGTGGGCTGGCCTTTGTCTGGAAGACAGCCTAACTTAGTTTCCTCTTAGAGATGTGTCAAATAGTTACCTTTTTTCCCCTTGCAGAGCTTGCCATTCAAGCCAAATTTCTGGCAGAAGCATAGCCCATTAACAAAATGATGAGGCCTGCATGACCAGGCTGCGGACACAGGTCTTTCCCCCAAAAATGCCATGCTTCAGTGACCACACAAGCTATTAGACACTCTGCAGGACCAAAAACACAGGGTCTCACTTTTCACTGTGAAAGGTCTAGGTTTTTTCTTTTCTGCTCCTCCCCCAACTCCTTCCCAGTGTCCTACTGGCTGCGTTCAAGCTTTAAAAAATATGGGGCAATAAACTTCAGAAGAAGGAAGGGGGAGAAAAAAAAGTGAGCTTGTTAGCTGATGTTTTATAAACACAGTGAAACCAGTTAGCATAGAGCAGAGGGAGGAGGGGAGGAGAAGTGTGGAGGACAAAGGCCCCAAGAAAACCCCATTATAAACACAAGGACAACGCAATGACGCTTCACCAGAGAAACAGAAATAATAATGGGAATCAGTACCAGATGGCCCTCCTCAGAAAAGAAAGCTGGAGTAAGAACATTTCTTTTCAAATAGATAACGTAAATCAAAGTTCCAGACATTTTTTTCTCTCTTATAAATAACACTGCAGCTCTGGGGTGCTGTGCGATGCCAGCTCATCTGGGGAAGGACGACTGCCTTTTCCTGGCCCACACAACATGGGTGGGATTGGAGGCAGCTCACAGTTTCAAGAGGAATCTCCTCTTTGTTTCTCTTTCCTTCTCAGGGTCTTCACCTCAAGTGACTCGAATAAAAAGGGACAGCAGATGAAGGTCACCATTCTCTGGATAAAAAGGCCCAGTTCCTTTGTTAAAGGGGTTGGCGTTCCTTCTCTCTCAGACAGCCCAAAGTAATCCCCATCAAAGTTAACAGGTCTGAATCAGGACTTCCAGCCACGCTTGGGGTTTATATACAGCTTGTCTCAGAGAGGCGATGCTTTTCAGACACTAATCTCTTCTTGTTCCCCACTCTTTGAAAATGGGCCTGTTAATGTTCTGTTTTATTTTTAGAGCAAAATGACGCCTGGGAGAGGGCTCTCTGTTAAACAGTAAATGGTTTAGAAGATCAGCTCTCCTTGGAGCCTCTTCCACCCACTGGGGAAGGTGCCAGGGTGCTAGATGGCAGAGAATGGGAGGTAATGACAGGCACACAGCATCATCCGTCAGTTTCAAACGGCAAATTCCAACCATTTAAAAAGACCTTGGATGAAGTGAGTGGGGCGAAACAGGAAATGTGCTTCAATTGTCCCCAGAATAATACTAATAACATAAGAGCTCACATTTATGGAGCGTTTACTATGTGTCAGACACTGAGCTAAGTGCTTTACATGGGTCATTTAATTCAATCCTCACAATGGCCCTCAGAGGAAGCCATTCCCATTTTATAGACAAGGGAACTGAGGCTAGTTAGTGGCAGGGCCAGGATGCAAACCTATATCTGATTCCAGAGTGTGCACTTTTAACAGCTACTTTACATTGCTTGCGAATAAGGCTCTTCCTCTCAGCTGGAAACACCATGCAGTCAAGAAGGAAGAGTCCTGGATTTGAAGTGAGACCTGGGCTGAATCCCAATTCTGCCATTAGTCAGTTCTATGACTGTGGGCAAGTCACTGCCCTTCCCTGGGCCTCAGTTTCTTAATTTGTGAGATAGAAATATTCATTTATTTCACTTGGTTGGATTTCCTAGCAAAGAACAGATGTCAGTGTTAAATCAACAGTTCACTTTTCCAGCCTCAATCTATACAGCCATATATTTATTTTATAAAGGAGAGGCATGCTCATGGGCACTGCAGAGCCATACACATGAACACACACACACACACACACACACACACACACACGAGTGTGATAAAAGAGGGCAGAGTTTGGAGGCCTATAATAGAATCACACTTCAGAAATGGAGATTAAAAATGAGCAGATGAGCCTAGAGGGGAGTGAAAAGAACTTGGGCTATGGAGCCAGAACGACTGGGCTCAAACTCAGCTCTGCTGTCTACTAGCCATGTGTCCTTGGGCAAGTTATTCAACCCTCTGAGTCTCAGATTCCCCAACTATAAAGTAGAGATGATTACTCCTCCCTAATAAGGTTTGAATTACATGACTCGAGGCTTCTAGCACAGCCCCGTATATGGTAAGTGCTCAATACATGACATTTCTCCCCTTCATTGACCAGGACTCCGATGTGTTTGGCCTCTTCCTTTGGATTAGTTACTGTTGCTGGTGGGTGGGCTCCTGGCTTGGGGAGGTGGGGTCACAAAATGGCTCAGGAGGCTTCCCCTGCTCCCTGGTCACCCTCTTGGCACTATATGCCAGCCTCTATCTCAGAGGAAGGTGCCGGAGCTGCCACCTGCAACTCTTACCTTCCTCACAGCTCTCGCCCTTGTAGCCAGGGTTGCAGATGCAGGTGCCCGTGATGCAGGTGCCATGGTTGCTGCAGGCCACATCGATACACTGGTTGGTGGGCACATCGCACTCAGCGCCTTTCCAGCCACTGTGGCACAAGCATCTGCCTTTCATGTATTGGCCATTTCCGCTACAGAGCACGGGGCAGGAGGCTGGGGAGACAGCACCGGAGTCTGGCATGAATCAATGTCCAGCACACCCCAACTGCCTTTGTCTCTTTCTCCTCCTGGCCTGCCTGGCTTCACCAGTAGCCTCAACTGCTCTGCCACAAACACCCATGTGTGCCCATCTGTCTTCTTCTCTTGCTTTATTTCTTTCCAGTTTAAACACACCTAGATTTGTAGGTGATAGTGCACAGTGCAGGGCCTGGCAGGGTAGGTATCCACTTAACCCCATCCCCTTCATGTTGCTGATGGGGTACAGTGGCTGCCAGGAACCTCAGACAGGAAGCTTCAGTCTGTTCCTCCATCTCACTGGAAAAGCCAGTGGCTGAGCCTCCTGCCTGCCCTGAATCCCTCCTCCAGCGCTCTCCTCTAATAACACTCCACTTTCACTTCCCCACACCTCATCTGCAGCGCCACTTACTGTCCTCTTTAACCCAGCAAATCTCAGCTTCCCTTGCCTTTCAGTCCTCCACTCCAGCCCCATATTCTACTGCCCCCTTAAGAAGAGAGCAGAGCCCAACTTGGCTCTTTAAAGTATTATCTTTTCATTCTGCCTCTTAGAGTAAAGGATTTTGTGATCTTCTCTATGAAGGATACTATATAAAAATAAATTATACTGCATTGTGCTGAAAGTACTTACCAGTCTTATCAAGATCCAATAAGGCTTTTTTACACGTGACTCTTAAGTGCATATGGGACGAGACGGTAATTCTTGTTAGAAGGAATGACTCATCTCTCTCTGCACCACCTTCCCCTGGTCCCCACCTGGCTTCTTTCCTTTTTAAAGCACTCAGCAGGTAATCACTGTGTTTCCTTGGGGCTGCTAGCTTTGCTGCCTCAAACTGAGTCTGTCTCACATTAGGAAGAATAAACAGACTCTCATGGCATAGTACTTGCAGGGTGTAGTTCACGCAGCCTGGAAAATCATCTCTGCCTTCTACTTATGAACAATTTCTCAAGCCTCAGGACTCGGGTGTAGTGTCACCCTCATTTGGGAATCCTTTCCTGAAATTCATCCCTTCTACTCTCAGACTGCTCTTCCCTTCTACTCTGATAGAAGCTCCCTGTATTTAACTGTGTTATAGCGTATTTCACTTACTATCGTACTGCTTTGCAGTTGTCTATTTACTTGTCTGTCTCTGAGACCAGACTCAGCGCTCCCAGGATTGGGTCTTGCCTAGCACAGGACCAATCCCTAAAAAGGCATGAAGCAAATGGCTACTGAATAAGGGAAAAAGGTAAAAAAACAAAACAAAAGAAGGGGCCAAGTTAGTTTCCCAGGGGAGTGCCAAATTATCAGGACTGCAGATCTCCTTGACACTTTCCTTGTTAATTATTCCAGGACAGAAATGATGGCCAAAAGCATGGGATAGATCGTGGGCAGGCTTTTAGACTATCTCCACAATGTTTATCATGGGCACTGGCAGTGTCTAAATATCAGGCACCATTAGGGTCCTCTGTGGAAAAAAGTGGCCTGGCCTCCTCAGTCCCTCCCCTTGGGGTCTTGGCTGATTCTGCCTGTGCTGTTAGAAAGTAGCAACAGAGCAGTCGTCAGGCTCCCCATTTACAGGCCAGAGAGACATCACACTAGCATGAAGATAAACTTCAAAGATGCACGGCCAGGGACGATCATTGCTATAAGAGGAAATCAACGTTTTAAAAGAACCCCCACTGCCACTCCACCTGCCCCAGCAACAGACACTGACTTCACTGTGGCCACCCCACAGTGAATTCACCCTCCCTTCCTGACCTCCCCGATCATCCACATGTGGATAACAGCAGCTGACAAGGTTATGGCTCTGCCTGCACACCTCCCTCCAAGGGCTTCTGGAGAATGGCCCTTGGAAACCCTTCTCGTGGGCATCAGAAGGTGGGCTGGATTCTGCACTTGCTCTGAGAAGTAGAAGTGAGCTGCCTGAGGGGTCTGGGAAGCAGAAATCCAGAGCTCCAATGCAGAGTTCTCACCTCTGCCACAGTCGGGGCCCAGGAAACCCAGGAAGCAGTGGCAGGTCCCAGAGATGCAGTCACCATTGCCATAGCAGTTGCTGGGGCAGTTATCCACCGACTCTGGGGAGAGAAAGGAGAAGGAGAGTTGAAAACAAATTTCCTTACCCAAACAGAGAGCCCAGGAATCAAGCTTTAGGTTAGCCAAGACCCACATATTTGAGCTCTTGTGGCCCCGTCACTGAAAGGAATGAATGGAGTTAAAATTCTATGTTATTTTTACTCTTATGGAAGCACAGTTCAATTGACATTAGCAGAAGTGTTCTGGAAAATGTCTGCCTGAACCAAATTTTTATAAATCAAATTTGTATCTACAAACACATTAGAGATTCTTCAGCTAAAAACACTGAGAGAGAACAGTTTAACCTGTTAACAGTGGTTTTCTTTGGGTGGTGTGTTACTGGGTGATTCTTATAGTCTTCTTTATACTTTTTGTATTTTATGCTTTTCTCAGAATGGGCTGATATTCCATACTTTGTTTTGATATAAAGCTACTGAGCATTTACAAATCTGTCTTTTCCCACCTCTGGCTTTTCATATATCCATGTAGGTCCCCACCGTCTCTCACTGGAGCCACTACACCAGCCTGAGGCAGGCCTTTCAGCCTTCCCTCTTGCTCCTCACCTTGATGTGTTCACCACCCATCAGCCTAAGTTATTTCTTTGAAACAAATCTGATCCTATCACTCTCCTTAAAACCCTTCAAGGGCTCCCCATTTGCTAAGATGAAAAAAATCCAAGTCCTTTCCAGAGACAAAGACGTTCTCTTTTCTGGCTGGGCGTGGTGGCTCAGGCCTTAATCCCAGCACTGTGGGAGGCTGAGGCAGGTGGATTACTTGAGGTCAGAAGTTTGAGACCAGCCTGGCCAACATGGTGAATCCCCATCTCTACTAAAAATACAAAAATTAGCCTGGCATGGTGGTGTACACCTGTAATCCCAGCTACTCAGGAGGATGAGGTGGGAGACTCACTAGAACCTGGGAGGCGGAAGGTGCAGTGAGCCGAGATTGCACTATTACACTCTAGACTGGGCAACAGAGTGAGACTGTGTCTCAAAAAAAAAAAAAGTTTTCTTTCCTATTCCTTCTGCACTACTTGCATCCCCAGACACGCTCTCTGTCATGCCCCCCTTTTGCAGAGATGTTCCTTTCTCTAACTCCTCCTAATACGTTTGTTACATGCTCTGTGTGACAGGTCAAGAAAATATAGAATCAATTTCAGAAAGATTTTAATCAAAAGTCAGGCACTGTTTTGTAGCTCCTGTTGGTAAACCTATTATCCAGAATGTGTGTTTATTTGGAACAGCTCATTTCTCAATAATGCTGGATGTGGAATGAGGCACAGAAGCAACTATATGCCAATGCCTTCTTTGTGCCATGTATTTCCACAAATTTATCTCATTTCACGGTCACCAAATCTGACAAGTACATATTGTTATTCCTATTTTACAACAAAACAAAACAAAACAAAACCAACAGGTGGCTGAGAGAAATGAAGTGACCTGTGGAAGGCCACAGATACTAAATCAAAGAGGCAAGACTGCAAGGACTGGAACCCGAGCCTTCGGGCTCCACGCCTGGCCTTGCTGCATGACACTATGCTATCTGGATCTTGAAGGAACTTATTCCACAGCAGAATCTGGGGAAATGAGCAAGGCAGATCTATCGGTATAGGATCCCCCAACTTCCCACTTTTTCTGTGTCCTGATTGAGAAATACAGGCCTTGACCGCTCTGTGACTGACACAGCCATTAGCAACTCTTCTGCAGGCTGGAGTCCACGCTGAAGCCTTGAACATTCTCAGGTACTGAAAAAGGTGTTTAGGTTGTTTCCCCAAACAGTAAAGAAACTAGCCCTGGCCTTGAGCCAAACTCCTTAAATCTCTATATAAACTCCATACCCTGGGCACCTTGCTATGGAGATACCTAGGTAGAAAATCCCTTTCTCTTGCTGTCTGCACGAGAATTGCTACAGCACTCTGTAAGTTCCCCTAATAAATGCTTTGGACAGATCAACCTGGCTTTTAGTGCTTCTTTCTTTGCAATCCCAACCAGCCCTATCTTGGGATAGTTTGGGGCACCCCCTCATGGGAACACTTCCCTGCCTCTATTTTTGTGGCGACTCTAGCTATGGGTTCACTGGATCAAACAGTGGGACAGAGAAGCCCATCCTGAAGGCAGCAAAGGATCTATTTGTAGGATAGAGAATTCTATAACTTTCAGAGCTTGGAGGGATCCTAGAGACATCCAGCCCAATGATCTCATCTGATACAGAAGGAAACTGAGACCCAGAGGAAGGGCAGTGACTTGCCCGAGGTCTCAGAGGGAACCAGTAGAGTCAGATTTGAAAGTAAAGGAAAAGGTTAGTTAAGCAGGCAGTCTATTGTCTTAGCTCACAACTATAAGTCATGAAGCCAAGATCTAGGCCTGTGTTAAATGAATGTTACTACATTAGATACAAGCCTTGCCTATAGGAAATTTGCAGCTTAACTGGGAGAATAAAATAATAAGTCAACTGTTGCATGAGGCATAGAAAAAGCTCTGCCTGGAGGTAAGAAAACCTAGTTTTGGGATCTACTCTTAGTACCATGATCTGTGACCTAAAGCAACTTCCTTCCCCTCTCTGGGCCTCACCTTCCTGATATGTGAAATGAAGGCAATGGTGGAGATGATTCCCTGCAACTGCTTCCTGTTCTAAAATTCTATGAGTCTATAATTAATTAAGAGATCAAGGGTGGAGAAAAGGCATCTAGACAAGGGCATCAAAACTTAAATGCAGCATAGCACTTAAGGGTAGTACTGTGGCAGCTGGAATGGGGCAAAATTAGCAGAGGGAAGGCTTCTCAGAGGACGTGGGCTTGAAAAATGGCTTGGTGATATATAGGTGGAGGTGGCGGCATTTATAGCAGATGCATTTTCAAGAAATGTCCTTCTTCAAGGTCTTAAAGTGTCAACTTAAGAACTATTTTTAAAGTTTGGAAAAATGGTCCAAATGTGTGGCTCCTTTAGTGAGTGGGCAATTCCACTCACTCAGTGTTGTCTCTGCTAACACAAGCAGTGCTTTATATTAACACAGAGTTAAGAACAAGAAGGTCTAATCCAACACGTGGCCTCGTTTCAGGGCAAAATGGTCTGGGTCCCAGCAGAGCAAGGCTTAGGCTGGGGACCTGAAGATCTCTATTCTCCATTGGCTTTACTTGGAAGAATCCATGTTCCCAAGACCTTTAAGTCAGTAGTGGATTCCTAAACACTGTTTTCAGAAAGAACCACTTAGGAAGTTTCACTTTGAATATTCTTTTAAAAAATTAAAATTTTGAGTAAAGTCTAAGGCAAGATAATTTCCACTTTAAGCTACTGGGCTAATTGTACAATTGGAGAGACAGTCCTGCCTGCAGGGCTGAGGAAGGAGTATAGAACAGAAAGGCAGACGGCCTGGCTTCCAGGTGTTGTCCTGCTACTGAGTGGTTGTGAACCCTTGGCCATGTCACATGATCTTTCGGTACCTGTCTTCTCATTATTGCACTTGCTCCTACCGTACGTTCCTGCTTGGCAACTTCTATTCCTTCTTTCAAATCCAGTTCAAATGCCACCTCCTTGGAAAGGCCTGGACATCTTACACAGGCTAAGTTACTTCCAGAACTCTTTTTCCCTCCCTCTTATTAAAATACCATATAGGTTTCATTGTTGACTGTGAACTCCTTGAGGATAGAAATTGAGTTTACTCATTTATGTATTTGCCCTGGTATTCAATCCAGAGGAGGGTCTCAATAAATATTTGTTTCTACTCCTGAAAGAATTCCACTAGATGAGCTCAGAAATCCCTCCCAGATCTAAATTTCTATGGTTCAATCCTTCTCAAACCCAATGGTATAAAGTATAGCTCCTAATAAAATTACTATAAATACAAGTTGCATTTTTAACAGGATCAACTGCAGATAAGTGTTATATACTTTGTTAGATTCTGATTTCCGGAGTCTGCAAGATACAACCTGTTTATCATCTGCCGAAAAGCCTTCATAGTGAGAAAGGGACGAAAGCATATTTTCTGTGACTGAGTGTAGTGTTGGTTGCTAAACCTGACAGCATAGAAGCCTGTTTGCTACAAAACTTGCCCCAGGCTACTGGTGTTAGAGAAGGCAGAAGTTTTGGGAGACACGAAATAATTTTAAGATAGCAACAAGGAAATGGAAAGGAGAAATATAGAGAATATTTTCTTTTGATAAAATGCTTATGTATATATTTTTCTTCCACTTGGAGGGATTTCAACAACTTGAGGTTCAGTTAGGATCCCACAAATAATGAGTCTCCACTGACCAGGTATCTCTGTGCTACATTCTAGGGCAGAAATGATATTCTTTGGCTTGGGAAAAGTGTGAACTTTAATGCGTAAGTACTGTGGATGTTCCCAATTAGTGTTTGGTGAATTTCTTCCCCCACAGTCTCTCCTGCTTTGCTCATGTTCACACTGCAGCTGCCTTCATTTAGCAGAAGGTGTGCCTTTAGATCTGCTTGGATCCAAATTAAAAATTCAGCAGCCTATGAATAATTGGTTTTCATAATTGGGTATATGGCATGTTGGAAAATGGGGCCTTTCCCCCAGCTTGTTTTTCTATCACAGCAGTGGGTCCTGGTAAAAAAAAAAAAAAAATACATGATTTTCAGGAACTTGTTTTTCCTTTCATCTGTATTGGAATGCAGAGTTTAAGTGTTTCCTTAGCTCATTCTCTGGACATGTGTTGTGAGTGGGAGTGTTCTCTGGATATTGAACAAAATGTTGCTTGAAATACAAAGGGGCAACTGCAGAAGGAAGAAAAGACAACAGTGCTTCTTCCCAGTGGAGACATGAGAGTCAGGAACCCACAGAGGCCTCAGGGAACCCACTGCGGTGCCCGTTTTGACTGTTCACTACTCCTGATTTGTTTTCAGAAACAAATCATTAGCGCAGCTATGTCAAGGTGAAAGATGATCACAGCTGATAACTAAGTTCTCCTGAGTCCAGGGTTGATGTTGAGGAAAGTCTGCCCTCATTTGCATCCTTCTGGTTTTCCTTTCTAAAATCCTGAAGCCTCATTTTGTAGGAAACAAGGAGAGACCACAGAAGAAAATCCTATTAGGAGGACTACCTGGACAGCCCAATTGCCTCCTTAACTGTCTCACAGGGGCAGTAATATCAGTAAAGGGAAGGCAGCTTTTCTCCTCTGTCAGCTCACCATGGCATGGGCATACCTGCCTCTTGCCTTGCTCTGAGTGGGCAAACCTCTGTGGACGTGCGAGCTTGATGCCGGACTCCAGCATCAAAGACAGAAGGAACCAGCTTTGTGAATGAGGTCAAGGCCCACTCGACACTCTCATTCTCTCCTTTCTGCTCACCCCACACTTTATCCCTCCCTCCCAGAAGCTCCTGTATGTCTTGTTCCCTTGTGATATGTCCAGGCTAATAGAAGCCTGCATTTACTACTAATATCTCCTTCTGTTTTTGTTGTCTCCTTAAATTATAAAAGTGGTTGTCAGGAACTCTTTGGGAACACCTGGTTGAAGTACCAAGGTATACCCATTGCCAGAGATCTACCTTCTGACTCCTCCTGGCTTCCCCAGAGGAGGATGGATGATAATGCTACAGGCAAGAAGGAGCTTGAACTCCAGGATGGCCACCTGGATATATCACTTTGACTGCAGCTGGTGACATTTATACTTCAGGTTACACCTATTTCATCCCCTTTGCTCCTGAAATAGAAGGGCTGGATTTATTATTAGCAACCAAAAAGAAGAAATGGAAACTAGATAGCATAGCTGGGATTTAATTCTACAGCAACTCAAGGTTGAAGGAAGAGTCCAACAGAGACCCTCTCATTCCCTGAAATGGAACTGCGAAAAGCAAATCATATATTCTAACTTAATCTTCATAAGAATTATGAGACATAGGTACTTATGTCACCATTTTACAGTCTTAGATAGAGAATGGGAGATGAAGTCACCTTCTCAAGGTCACACAGCTGATAGGGGAAAATCTGGTAGGTGAACCTGTCCTATATGCAGCCAAAGTTTGCAGCATTTGGCCTGGACCAGAGTATGGGCTCTGGAACCCTTACTAGCTAGATGCCTTTGGACAAGCCATCTCTATACATTACTTTCCTCATTTGTGAAATGGGGTGAACAGTAACACACACCTCAGAGAGTTATTTTGAAGACCAAATAGGGTGATGCTGTGCATGTAAAGAGGTTGGCCCAGGACCTGGCAGAGCTGGTATTTTGGTTTTAAGGAAGGGTCACACATGTCTTCCATTTATGAATTAAAAAACAATCTGACTTGGTCAAATGAATCCAAACAAGGAAATGTGGGTTTCTGGGGGGTAAACCCACAGACACATAGGCACACAAGACACATGGAAACTCCCCATGGTAAAAACTGGAAAACAAACAAGCAATGCTTCTGAATGTGAAGAAGGCAGGGTGTTTGAGTAAATTTTCTCCTGGGGGAAAGCGCTGTGAAAGCAAATTAAACTTGTCTCCCAGAAGCACAAACACAAGCAGGCTCCTGCCAACATCTGAAAGAAGTTTTCTCCCATTGCACTCTAGATTGGCACTGGGCAGGTGCCAGGTGCTGGAAAGCTGTTCCATGGCCTGTGATGTGTCGGTCCCTATGGATGTCCCAGCTTTCTTTGCAGACGATGGAATTCAAAGGCCTTCAGTCTACAACAGTCTAGGTCAATGCAATGACAAAAATTTGACAAAGCCCCTGACAGACTGGGCTTGAAGCCAGTTCTGTGCCAACATTTGAATTGGAAGATCTGTTTTCAGTCATATCCAGAAGTCCACCAACCACTATTAAGACCAGCTCTAAGGAAAGGTCTAGGAGAAAGATTGTTTCCTTATTATATTCAGTCTTGGCTATTTGTTAATTATTTCTTTGGGGACAAACCAAATTTTACCAATAAGACTGTGAACTCCTTCAACACAGCCATTATGTCTGGTTCTCCAAAGAGTCTTGTGATTGCTAAACACAAACCAAGAACTCAATAATATTTATTGTATTGATAAACAAAGCAGGAATACAAGGGGAAAATAGAGGAAAGAGGTCAGAGAAGTGGGGATGCCACAATAATCAGGTTCCAGAGGCGTTTGGTGGCCAAGAAACATACTGTTTCCTTTGCCTCTATTTTTTTATTACAATGCCTAGAATAAACAGTGATACGAAGCTGAATTCCACATTGTACTCTCAGACCATATTTGGAGTTCAGCAGTTCACATCTGGGAGCCACGTTTAAGACACTGATGAGTTAAGCTAGAACGTGTTCACTGAAGAACAACCAGAAAGATTAAAGAACTTGAAACCACATTTCAAATAAAGAATTCTTGAAGGAATTGAAAATTCAGCTTACTAAGGGGGTTATGACATCTGTTTAAAAATATCTGAAACGTAATCAGGTGAAATAAGGACTTTGTTTTGTGGCCCTAATAGGTTGACCAGGGTCCAGTGAATAAGGACTATAGTCCTTGGGAAACAGACTTGGTTCAAAAGAAGAATCAACTTACTCACTTTCTAAGAGTCAGAGCTGAATACTACTTACTACATTGGGTTACGTTCTGTTTACATGTATGTATCTGCCCAAATATTGTAAACTTCTTGAAGGCAGGAAATGTGTTATTCATCTCTGGATCTCTGGCAAATAATATCTGACTCAAAGCAGGTAATGAATGTTTGTTAGCTGAATGACTAAAACGAATGACCTAGGTGATCTACAAAGTCATATATTTTCAGTCGCTGGATGTATTCAAGGAGAGAGCAAATTAATGACTAGTGGGGATACTGCAGGGGGTATTAAAGATGAAGCGTATGACATCTTCCAAGCCTGAAATCTTATGACTCTGTGAGTCATGGTGTAAAGGAACTTGCTTGGACTGTCTCAAGAAACTTGGGTTCTAGTCCTACTCCTGCCATCCACTTGTTAAGTGACACTGATCAAATTCTTTCCTCCTCAGGGCCTTTCTTTTCATCTACAAAATTTATAAAATTTATTCAGTAAATATTTACTAAGAATCCACTCTAGCTCAGGAAGTGTTCCAGTGAAGTGGATGGCTTTAGTGATTGGTCAGGTCTAACCTCCTGTGATCTGATGAATCAACCTGAATTGTCAGGACTTAGAAAATGATACATATAGATGAAAAAGCTGAGAAAAGAATCGTCATGTTCCATGAGAACACATGGATACAGGAACGTGAACAACACACACTGGGGCCTGTTGTGGGGTGGGTAGAGGGAGAGTATCAGGATAAATAGTTAAGGCATGTGGGGCTTAATATCTAGATGACAGGTTGATAGGCGCAGCAAACCACCATGGCACACGTTTACCTATGTAACAAACCTGCACGTCATGCACATGTACCCTGGAACTTAAGATAAAATTTTTTTTTTAAAAAAAGAAAAACAATAGACAAGAAATAGGAACTAAGGGCTGATTTACATTTTATTACTTCAACCAATACAAACTGTAAGTTAAAATTAAGAAGAAGTCATCATGTTCGTGGCCGGGCAGAGGGCAGAGGGGGAGACGTTTGCTCATTTCAGGAGCTACCTTAACTTTTTAACCCTCCCTGCGGTTCCTGAGATAACAGTATCGCATTATCATCCATCCCTTGATGGGAGCCTCAAGCGGCCCCGAGGTTAGCCTCCTTCCTGGCTGTTGGCAGCAGCGCTCTCGGATGCCAGTGCCACACTCTGGGCTCTTGTTCTGCTGCGTCTCCCAGCGGTGCCCCGTGAGCACGTGCCAGAGAGATCACTGAGACACACACCAAGTACTGGGGAGACAGCCAAGTGCCGCGCTCTTCAAGAGCACTAGGCCCTTCTGAGGAGAGGCGAGCGCTCCCGGGAAATGCCTCGTCTTCCCTCCACCCTTAACCCACAGCAGCTCCAGTGCAATGCCCCGGCCTCAGCGCCTGCCCAGCGGTGGCCCAGGTGCAAGAGACAACACCTCGCCCCGTTCCCACTGCCCACAGCTGATTGGACCCGGCTGAGCACCTGACCCAAGCCAAGCTCAGGCACAGGCTGAACGGTGCTCTGTGACACAGCCCACTGGGCAGAGGTTCCGGGCCAATAAGAGCCCGTTCTCTAGTATTTGAACTAAAATGTACCCAGGGAACTTAGCATTCAGGAGCAGGAGCCAAGGGGTGTGATAGGAAGAGACGGGCTGGTGAGGTCCTTAAGGTCAAGGTGGAACCAAAGTGAAGAGGAAGCAGTCCTGAGTGAGGAGAGAAAGCTCATGAATGGAGCTGAAGCCTGGAAAGAGGCGGGAACACTGCAGCAAGACCAGCAGTGAAGCCCATGAAGGAAGAGAATGAATGAATGAAAGGCCCCTGAGCTGCCCGGATTCCTAGAAGCTTCTCGGTGCCTATTTTCGTCCCCAGCAATAGGAATGTTTTAGAAACGACTTCATTGCCACATCAGCTTTTCCTTGAGATTGCTTGTGTTTTGCCCCTTGCAACGGAAAAAACTAATTTACCTTGGCACGTCACCAGGATCTACTTCATAGCTTGGAGGCTTTGATAATAGCTGATAAGTGCAGAACTTTTTGTTTTTCAAGTATTTCCACATACAGTTTTATTTCATTCCTACAACAGTTCCGTATGTAGGAAGGGAAAGTGTTCTTTCCCATTTCGTAGATGAGAACATGAAGGCACAGATACTTGCCTAAGTTGATGCCGCTAATAAGTGACAGGGCCAGTATCAAAATCTGGATTTCTACTCCTACCTAACCTAGGGATTCTTCTACCATACCACAACTGCCAATCCGGTTAAAAAAATAAAAGCATGCTGTATTAGTCTGTCCTCATGTTGCTATAAAGAAATACTGGAGACTGGGTAATTTATAAGAAAAGAGGCTTAAACGGCTCATGGTTCTGCAGGCTGTACAGGAAGCATAACACCGGCATCTGCTTCTGGGGAGACCACTGGAAGCTTAGAGGCATGGTGGAAGGTGAAGTGGGAGCCTGCATATCACATGGAGCAAGAGCACAAAAGCGAGTGGGGGTAGGTGCTACACCCTTTAAAATGACCAGATCTCGGGAGAACTCACTATCATGAGGACAGTACCGAGGGGGATAGTACACACTCCCTTTTCAGAAATCTCCTCCCATGATCTAATCACCCCCTACATTGGGGATTGCATTTCTTTCTTTCTTTTTTTTTTTTTTTGGAGGTGGAGTCTTGCTCTGTTGCCCAGGCTGGAGTGCAGTGGCACGATCTCGGCTCACTGCAACCTCCGCCTCCCGGTTTCAAGCAATTCTCCTGCCTCAGCCTCCCAAGTAGCTGGGACTACAGGCGCACACCACCACGTCCGACTAATTTTTTGTATTTTTAGTAGAGATGGGGTTTCACCAATGTTGCCCAGGCTAGTCTCGAACTCCTGAGCTCAGGCAATCCACCCACCTTGGCCTCCCAAAGTGTTAGGATTACAGGCGTGGGCCACCAGGGGATTACATTTCAATATGAAATTTGGATGGGGACACACATCTAAACTATATCACATGCTGATCCCATTCCTTTTGCCTGTAGATTAGTCAATTATAGAGTCAGGACTACTGCAGAGGATGCTGCCAGGGCCAGTACATTCCAACTGGTATCTATTTTGGCTTTGTTAACTGAAACTCTGGTTTTCAAACATGCCTACCAGTATTCAAAAATCAAAATGCTGCTCCAGCCACTCGCAAATGTATCACACTTGGACAAAAATATTGATTTGTTGATCAAGTCTCTATTGACTCCACTGTGTTAAAGCTGTCAGGAGGGAGGATCCAAAGCATAGTCCTTATTCTCGAGGAGCACTGGGAAGGCTTTAGCCTTTAGAGTCACTACACCGGTCTAGGTCTGAATTCCAACCGTGTGACTTCTGAGGGTGTGATTTGGAGAAGTCACTGTATCTGAGTCTCAGTTTACTTATTAGTGAAATGAGAAAACTATTTGCCTTACACAGTTGTGAAAAATAAAACCACCATATATATGCACCTGGTACATAAAAGATACTCAGGAAATATTAGTTTACTCCTGTATAAGCTCTGTGATTTTCAAACTTTATCCTTGTCAGCCATCTGAAAGCTTGTTAAAACATGGATTGCTGGGCCCTACCCACCAGAGTTTCCAATTTAATAGGTCTGGGGTAGGGTCTCTGGTGATGATAATATCCTTGGGCTGGGGCTTTGAGAACCGCTCGTCTGGAAGAAAGACAGACTTTACACACAAGTCTGTAAAAAACAAGCCAGAGGGGGCAGAAAGATCTAAACTACCCAAGAATGCAAAAGAGCTTGTGGACCAGTTCCAAAGAGGAGGGCTTGGTCCTCCAGGAGGTAGTATTTGAATAGCTCTTAAAGAATATACAGGCTTTTGAAATGCAAAGCAGTTCTGGGCAAGATGGAGGTCAAGTAAGAGTAAGAGCCAGATCCAGAATAATCATTTTTGCTGCTCCCACACAGTGACCGGCTGATCATAATGCCAACTTCATGTCAAGTCTGTCTCTGGGACAAATTACTTAAGAAATCAGTGTAAAACACTCAACTCAGCTGCTGGCTAGAGAGTTCCATCTAATGAGCATCACTTTGTGTTGAATTCTTCTGTGATGACAGACAATGCAGGAAAAGAAACAGGTTCTGAGGAAGTGGGGTGTGGGGAGCTGCTAATTAGTCTCCAATCATTTATCCAGGCTTGTCACCAAGCTCTCTACTACTTACAAACCAAATAGAAAACCAAATCCCCCTCCTTTTTTTTTTTTTTTTTTTTTTTTTTTTGAGACGGAGTTTTGCTCTTGTTGCCCAGGCTGGAGTGCAGTGACACAATGTTGGCTCACTGCAACCTCTGCCTCCAGGGTTCAAGAGAGTCTCCTGCCTCAGCCTCCCAAGTAGCTGGGATTACAGGCATGTGCCACCACGCCTGGCTAATTTTTTGTATTTAATAGAGACGGTGTTTCACCATGTTGGTCAGGCTGGTCTTGAACTCCTGACCTTAGGTGATCCACCCTCCTTGGCCTCCCAAAGTGTTGGGATTACAGGTGTGAGCCACCATGCTCGGCCGGTCTCCTCCCTTTTAAGTCAGCATAGTCAGATATGAAAATGCACAAAACTATATAAAGATAACCTAGAGACTTACAGGTAAAAACCTCTATGTTGGCTTGGACTGTACCTGGAAAATGGAAATATCCAGGCCATGTTACTCATGGCCTGGACTGCTGCATCAGCATTCTAAGTGGACTTCTGTCTCCAGGCCTGCCCCTTTGTGATGTCTACTCCAGATGATAAGGGGCAGTAGCCTTCCATAGGGTTACTGTCCCTTATCATCTGGAGTAGATATTACAAACAGGAGCCCTATGGACACTTCTGTTTATGTAGTGTTTTCAAAAATTTGAATTAGTTGCCAGAACTTTTTAAAAATGAGGTCAAAGAAAAATCTTCATGTTGGCTTTCATATATCTATTTCGATACTTAGAACTTGTTAAATACAAAAAAAAAGTTTTTAAATTGGAAGATCCAACATGGGAATAATCTCTTCTCATTTAGGGCAGGCCCAGACCCTATGATCAGCCACAGGCCATCTCTGTAGCTTCCTGCACTAATGTCACCTGCCTGGTTTCTAGGCATCCGAGTATACCACCCAGGCCTGGAGCAGTGTTTTCTAAAAGTCACTTATTTGGGTACTGCTTTTATGCTGTTGCCATATTCACATACCATCTGTCCTATTACTCACTTAGCATTTTTCAATTCATTTATTTTCTTAACTTTATTTAACATAGAAATTCAATATCACTATGAAATAATGATTTGCTATATCTAACTATATTTTTCCAGTTTACTAAAATAAATACATAATTTTTGAAATAGAGTCTGTCTATGTATAATCTAAAATAATCTTGGGAACTATACTTTAGAAAACACTGGAGAGGAGAAAGCCCAAATTTCTGAACCAGGAGTTTAAGGATCCAATTGCCCTTTTCAAGTAAGGTCTTTCTCATGCCCTCTTTGTGCTGCTGCCAAATTACTCCCCACCTGAACCCACACTCCCTTTTCAGCCTCCCTGACTGAGCCCACTGCTCATAACTTTACCTGAAAATCCTCTTTTCCCACTTATCCGCTTGTCCAAGTCCTATCCATCCTTCAAAGCCTATTTATTTATTTATTTATTTATTTATTTATTTATTTGATGGAGTTTTGCTCTTGTTGGCCAGGCTGGAATGCAATCGTGCAATCTTGGCTCACTGAAACCTCCGCCTCCCGGGTTCAAGCAATTCTCCTGCCTCAGCCTTCTGAGCAGCTGGGAATGCAGGCATGCACCACCATGCCTGGTTAATTTTGTATTTTTAGTAGAGATGGGGTTTTTCCATGTTGGTCAGGCTGGTCTCGAACTCCCAACCTCAGGTGATCTGCCTGCCTCAGCCTCCCAAAGTGCTGGGATTACAGGCGTGAGCCACTGCGCCCGGCCAAAGCCCAGTTTAAATATTACCTCTTTCGTGAAGGTCCCCCTGGCTCTTCCTAGCAAGATAGAGCTCTCATTTGAATCCTGATGGCAGTTTACTTCTGTCTTTCACTTATTACCTACTGCTGTCTACTTTGCAATCTAGTTATGTATAAGTATGGCTGTTTTCCCCTAGTAGACTGCAAATTCATTGAGAGGAAGGATCCATTTCCAATTCTCCCTCTTATCTGTGCTGCCACAGTGACTAGCACAGTGTTCTGTCTGGAGTAGCTGGGCAGTCAACACTTTTTAAATATCAAATGACAAAGTGCAATTTCTGGTTGGTTTTATGTCCTTTGGTGTGTTCAGCCTCAAATCTTAAGGCTGGGCTCTCTCTGTGGAGAATGCACTGCTTACTTCCTTGCTGATTTCTGTTTTTTCAAATTCCCTTTTTATAAATTGTTTCCAGACCTGCAGCTTCACTGTGATCTGTCTTCCTCTGGGCCTTTTACGTTTAGCTAGACATGGTACTGGCCTCTCTTCTCCCAAAACAGCACTAACCATGTATTTGGGGGGCATGTAGTAATATCACTTTGCAGGACCCCAATTCTTTTCTCTAGCAAGAGCTGCCAAGATGGCATCTGTGAATTATGTACTTAAATTATTTCTATCAGGATATAACACAGTAAGTTGAATAGCAAGATGGATAAATTCTCAGGCTGCGGTGGATTTTTCTTCACAATAATTATAATGCGTGTTGGTCAGCAGCACGATGATTTGAACAGTATTTCTTTCTTATTTATCTACTAGGTAACACTCAACATAATAACTTGGGTCTATATCTTTGAGCCAGAGGCCAAGTTGGACTTCTTCTTGACACCAAATCCTATTAGAGATCATGGTAATGTAATTATATGTTCAAGTCAAATATTTTATAGCTGCTCTAGCCACCTAGGCAGATACTTCCTCAGCCTCTAGGCAGAAACTGCCCAGTGGCAAAAGCGGTAGCTACATATCTTGCAAGAAATTGAGAAATAGTTTCTGTTGTGAAAACTTTATAGAACCTTCTGGCCATTTCTGACTTTGGCAGCAGCAGGACTTTAAGCCACCACTGGATGAAGTTATAATACAAATGTTAGCTCCAGCCTGGGCCTGGCCTAAAGGGCCAGTTCCTCCCCAGTTCCCTGACCAATGTGACCAATGAGAGGGTGGCCTGTGGGGCCATCTGCTCTCCACCCAGTGGGAGGTTTGGAAGTGGTTTGGTGCTCCTACACTCAGCTATCTGTATGCCTAGATGAAGACAGCCTGAGGGGCCCCTCAAGCACTAGACTGCAGCCCCTCTGTCTGGCCAGCCTTCCTCCTGGGTCCCTGGTTCTTTCTACTTGTCCACTGGGCTGGTGTGTGAGTGTGACCCACGTGTGGCCAGCAGGGCCCTATCTCCCCATGTGAAGTCTCTGACTGCCCCTCAGTTCAGGGGTGGATCTTGTCTCTGGCATGTTTTGACTTGACAAGGCTGAACTCCCTGGTCCATGGCAGAGCATGGACTATGCCATCAGACAGACGTGGGTATGATTTCCAGCTCTGACTCTCACTAGTTGTGTAACCTTGGGCAAACCATTTAGTGTCTCTGAGCTCTGGTTTCCTCACTTATCTGTTTCATGTTGGGGTTGGAGGGCTCAATGAGATAATGCATGGGAGGCATTTAACGGGGCCTGCAGTAAATGTCTCATTAATAGTAGGTAAAATGAAACCTAGTCAGAACAAACCAAACAAAGCAAAACCATTGGGACAGGCCAAGTCGGAGGCTGCATGGTATAATGGAGAATGCACCAGCTTGCAGGCTTCAGAATGAGACTCTGGGGGTTCTAATTCTACTTTGCTATCTCCTTTGTGACTTTGAACAAGTTACTTCATCTCTCTGTGTCTCAGTTTCCTTGTCTGGAAAATGGGAGTGATAAGAAAGCCCCTGTCCACAGCAGGGATTATAGTATTAGCAAGGGAAAGACTGGAAATAGGGGCCTGCAGACCCTTCTGTGTGGGTTAGTTTCTAGTGGCTGTCCCCTAGCTGGCCTTAGCTCACTTCTTCTCCTTCACCAGGGGCTCCTAGCATACTGTGCATGCAGGTGCGTGTACTTTGTGACAACAGGATAAGAGGGAGCCTGGATCTTGTCCTGGAACAACAGCAATTAATGCTCCAACACCATCTCCACACAGTACTGGCTTATATCATTCAGACACAGTGAGTCCGTGTGAGATGATGTTTCTTCCGCCTACACCACAACACACAGGGATGCACCCACATGGACGTATTGGGGCTGCTGAATCCTCTCTTCCTTTTGGCTCATACCTCCAAGGTATGGACAAACATTTTACAGACATTACTCCCTCTTTCTGTGAAAGATGAGTTTTAAAGATCTAGCCTATTCCTAGAACCCCCCGGGGCATTTCCCATAAATTCCCATCATACTGGCCAATGTCTGGCTTCTTTCCTCCACTACTGCTCACCCTGGACACCTCGGTGGTGCCCATGACCAGGGAGGCTGTTCTGATGACTGGGCCTGATCCATCAGTACAGCCAGGGGCTGGGCCCAGCAGCCCAAGGTAGAGGGTGCACAAAGGAGAGGCCTCTGAGACCTGCTCACTGTTGGCTGTTAAACTGAGGGAGAAGTGGGGCTGAGGCTAGACTTGCTGGTCTCAAGGCTTCAAAGGAATGTAACGGAAAGCAGGAAGAACAGATCAGCACCCTCCCAGGGAGCAGACTCCCCCCTGCTGAGCCCTCCATGCCTGGCAGTGCACCAGTGTTTAGCAGGACGCAGGTGCACATCCCCTCCAGAGCAGTTGGCCTGAGGTGGCCGCTGCTCGGGTCATCTGATGGCTTTCCAGGCTACGACTCTCCGAAGGCTTGGGGAGAGCAGCTTTAATTAACGATGGCTGAGTGTAACCTCGCTTTCCTCTCAGACCCTGGGGAAATCCCAACCTTCACACTCAGCCGCCAGGACAGTAAATTAAGAGAGAGACTCCGGGCAGGAATACTTTCAAAAACATCCACTGAAAGTCAAAGAAGTACTAGAATATTTGACCTCTCATTCATCCCATCTAAACTTCTCTGATTTTTAGTGCAGATCCAAGTTTTTAATAATAAAGTGATGAATTTAGACATGAAATAAGGTAACAATAGTAGCCATCACCACCACCTGTTATTGAGTCCTATGTGCTAGGCACTGTGATAAACCCATTAAACTCATACATTATTTCATAACTCTTACCCCAGCATTAAAAGTTAGGTATGGTTATCCCTACTTTTCAGATGAGAAAATGGAGGCCTAGAGAAGTGAAATGACTTGCAGATCCCAAAACTGTCAGGCTTCCCAAACAACTAGTCACCGAAACCCTACTATGTGCCATGTGCAGGCAATTAAGGGATTAATTGCTTTCTTCTCTGGTTCACCCACAACACTGCCCAAGTTTCATGGCAGCTCAGGAAAACTGCACTGGCATTAGTCATCTGCATGTCTGCCTGCTGTACTGTAACACGAGCTTGGAGGACCAAGGTGGGACCTAACTCCCTCTATGGCCCCAGCTCCCAGCTCCCAGCTCCTGGCCGGGTGAAGAGCAAATGCTTGGTCAGTTGTGATATGATGAAGGCACAGCCTCTGCCCTCTACTCTCACAGTCTGATGCACAATGTGCTAAGTGCTTGCGGTAATAAATGCGTAAAGCCCAGATGATGGAGCAACATCTCAGGGAAGGCGAGGAAGGCATTGTCACTCAACCTTGGAGACTGGGCAGATATTCTCCAGGCAGAGAAGGGCACAGGGAATATTTAGAAAGAAAGAACATTACCTTCAAAGGCAGATGTTTTCAGAATTACAGGTAGTGCAGCGGGGCTGGCACACAGGAGGAGCGGCAGAACTGAAGCTGCAAAGGGCGTCAGCTGACAGATGCCAGTAATGAAGGACAAAAGAGACTTCCCATAGTTTGAGCTGAAGGCTCAAAGCAGCTTTATTTTAGGCAAATCACAATGCCTACTATTGTAAATATTTCTCCTCTCTGAACAGTCTTTTGAGACTGACAATAACCAGGCTGTTGGAACTACAGGTCTGGGCCTAGGGCTCTGACTCCCTCCAGAAAGCTTCCTCATTCGAACCCCAAGCCAGTCAATATACCCTTGCTTTGGGATTCAGACTAAAAGTACAAATTAAACAAAGTAATATGAGAGCCTATTGCAAGTCAGGCACAGTGCTGGTACATTGCATTGTGTCATTAATCCTTCCAAGGCTCAGGGAGGATAACTGATGTTCTCAAGGTCTCACAGCTGGGTGGCTGCAGAACCAGGATGGGAACCCCGCTCTCATTCCCAGCCAGTCTCAGGAGGTTTCCCGCATACTTCAAGCAGCTTCTCATCTTGGATTTTTGTTCAGTGCCTTTTCCTTTCCTTTCTTCCTATCCAAATCCTTCCGGGCCTTCTTGGTCCACCCTAGTCTATAGTGACCCTCATGGTTGGCTTTCTCAAAATTCCCTTGACAATTCACCTTGTGCCATATAGTACTCCCCCAATTGTTGTTTTTAATGCTGTCAACGTTAAGTCTTCTCAGGCTGTGAGAAGCTCTTAGAGGACAGGGACCTCAGACTTGCACTGCCTTTGTCTCCCTTTTGGGAGCAGCATAGTGCTTTGCGTATGCACGCACACACACAACACCAATACATATGTTTGTAAATGGATTTGCTTTTGCTTTTTATCCATATTAATAGAGTTGGGCTTTAAAAAGTAAAATCTAAATTTGGACAGTTGTGTGACTTTCATAATTGTGTGAAAGCAAATATGAAAGAGGAATTTGGAATAAAAATAATATTAACATCTATTGCACACTTAGTGGGGAGCCTGCTCTGAACACTTTGCATGTGTTAACTCATGTAATCCTCGTAATAAGGGCAGGGCCTATTATTAATCCATTTCCCAACTTGTTGCCTTTGCTAAGTCTGCCCAAGGCAATGTAGCTAGTAAGAGCAGGTGGAGGAATTTGAACCTGTGTACTCAGGCTCCAGAGCTTATCCTCTGAACCCGTACAACAGTGTATGGAAAGGCTGCTAAATTGTCGACATGTTCCAATCACCACAGTATCCTTAACTCGGATTATTCTAGATAATGAATGCCTAGAAACACAGACTCTCTTCCTGGAGAGAAATAAATGCATGCTTATTTGGGTCGAATGCTGGGTGTGGACCTTGCCCTCAAATAAGCCATCCAAATGCACGGTGCTAAGTGAGGAGATGTAGAAGAAACCCCACAGGTCTCCTACAGTTCCTACCGCTGCCTCCAATGCACATTCTTCAATGTCCTTTCTTCCTTGACCTCTGTAGCATTAAAATGTTTTCCCCCTAAATCAAAATAATATATGTAAACAGTTTAAGAAGCCAAAGAATACTATGAAAGTTTATAATAAAAAATAACAGTCTTCTGCTTCACCCACATACCTGAGTGCCATTCTCTCAACTCCTTTGCTATTTCTTCCAGAATTCACTTCAACATATCTAAATAATGTGCTTATACAGCAATTTTTGATTGTCATGTGATGTTCTCTACTACTTCCCTCCATTGCATTATCTGCCACTTCTGACCAGTAGAATCTAATGGAAAGGCGTCATTTTTTGCTTACTTAATTTCCTATGTTTCTATTAATACCTCCACCCAAATTAGCTGACAGAACTATAAAATCCCTCTGACATAGACTTTCCCGCATGGTCAAACACACCAGGTCATTTATCTGACCCACAGCTGTCATCTGCCCAGAGCCCTTGCTGCTGGAGCCCTCTGCCTGGCCACAGTCTGGTCAGGTTGTTTTCCAGGCCTGCTAAGCATTCATCATTTGTGACTTCTTATCACCTCCTTCTTTATTAAACCTTTTGCTTCCTGGACCCCCTTCCTTGGCTTACTTTATCATGTCAGCAGAGTGCATTTTCCAGCTGCTGTCTGAGAAAAGGTGAATCGGGGGTATGATTTTAAGATCTTGCATGGCTGACGTTATCTTTCTTTTACTCTTACACTTGATTGATAATTTGGGTATAGAATTTTAAATTGGGAATAATTTCCCCTCAGAATTCTTAAGGTTATTCATCTTCAGGCTCTTCTCTAGTGATGTCTATTGGCATCTGCTTCCTAACTCTTTGCATGTAATCTCTTCCCTTTCTGGGAGCTTTCAGGAAGATGAGTGACTTTGAAAAAGTTAACTAGGTTGGCCACTTGCAATCCGTCAGCCCATGTCCCTCAGCTATGGGAAATGTGCTTGTATTATTTCTCTGTTCTTATTAGTCAGATTTTGGACTTGCTGAATTGATCCTTTAGTTTTCTTACCTATTTTGTTCTATTTATTTTTAGCACACCTCCCCTTCCATTTATCTTTCAACCCATTTATGGGAATTTTAACTTTCCTATTTCTAATGTCCAAGAGTGCTCTCCTTTTCTCTGATCTATACCCCTTTGTGTATATGTTCTTGTTTTACATTGACAGTAATATATTTTCTTTCATATCTTGACAGGCTATAGTCTTTTTCTCTTTGAAGTTCTCTTCTCCTATATTATTTTGTTTCCTTTGAGTTCTTTTGTTTTCCTATTTGTCTTGGTCTTTTCTTACTTGCTGGAAGGTTTCCTCAGATGTCTGATGATCCTCTGTTCATATTTAAGAGTGAGATGCCAAAAAGCTCTGTGTCAACTGCTGACTGTCATCGTAAGGTGATGGAGTGGGGACCCAGGGATTTTGTGGAGGATCCACAGAAGGCACTACCAGAGTCTTTTGGTCCCCCCACTCTTCTGCTGATTTCTTTTCTAATCTCCTTCCTTATAGAGGAGATATGATACATTTGGCTGTCAAAAATGGGATCTAGAATGTCATTTTCAAAATTCAGTTGGTACTTATTTCCTCTGTTTTTGGTATGGTGACTCTCCCTTCCCTGAATCTGGAAGCTCCTTGTTGATATCTCTACGGAACAAGCCTCCGATCCTCTGCCAGGGTGGGAGAAGACAGTCGCTTGTCCATGTGAGATGAGGGAGGAAACTTAAGGGTTTCATTGCTGCTGCTTCCACGTCACATAGACTCTGAATCCACCCGTTTCCAGCTCTGTGCCTCACCCCTGCCTTTGCTGTACCTGGAGGTTTTCTGTGACTCTGCTTCTAATTGATACCTCCCTCAGCAGGGGCTCAGCATTCCGTGTCTCCACACTGCTAACTCCATCCACTCTTTTTTTCAAAAGTCTGCTGGCATCTCTTGCTGGCTCTTGTCTCTTATTCTGTTTGTCCTTGTGGGTTTACTCCTGCTTGTTTTAAATCATTACTCTTATTATAGTGGGACTCCAGGGCGGTGAGGCATGTAACAGTCAACCACAAGCTCCTCTCAGTAGCATTTGACATGATTCTCTAGCTCCTCTTTGCTGAAGCTCTCTTTTCCCTCAGCTTTAAAAACAGCACACTGGCCGGGCACAGTGGCTTATGCCTGTAATCCCAGCACTTTGAGAGGCCGAGGTGGACAGATCACAAGGTCAAGAGATCGAGACCATCCTGACCAACATGGTGAAACCCTGTCTCTACTAAAAATACAAAAATTAGCTGGGCATGGTGGTACACACCTGTAGTCCCAGCTACTGGGGAGGCTGAGGCAGGAGAATCACTTGAACTGGGGAGGCAGAGGTTGCAGTGAGCTGGGATTGTGCCACTGCACTCTAGCCTGGTGACAGAGCAAGACTCTGTCTCAAACAAACAAACAAACAAAAATCAAACAAACAAAAAAAGCCAGCATGCTTTCCAATAATCCTACCACTGTAGGCCCTAGTCCTCATCCTCCTTTTCTGGCTCTTCCTCTAATTATTAATTGTTGGTGATCTTCAGGCCTCTGTTTTAAACCGATCCCCCCTTCTCACCTAGCTCTCTCTATCCAATTTTTTGAGGTCTCAGCTTAGATGTCGCTGTCATGTACTTAATATAAACCTTCCCTGACTCCTACCCCAATTAGGTTAGCACCCCTTGTTGGTGCACTCCTAGGCCCCATACTTTTCCTCTGAGCTCATCACAGTCACATTACTGATCAATGTCTTTCCGGACAGACTTGAAGATCCACTAGGGCAGAGTCCCTGTCTGCTTGTTCACAACAGCAGCCACAGCCTGACCAGAGTGCAAGGCATATAGAAGGTGCAAAAGAAACACATACCGAATAAACACATTCACAAAAATACATGAATGAATGAAACGAGAGAAGTGCATTTAAATCTGGTCTTGTCACACTTGCTGTGTGATCTTGGACCAGTGAGAAAGCCTTTCAGGGTTGGGGGCAGTATGGTGGCTCATGCCTGTAATCCCAGTACTTTGGGAGGCCGAGGTGGATGGGTCACCTGAGGTCAGGAGTTCGAGAACAGCCTCACCAACATGGTGAAATCCTGTTTCTACAAAAAATTAGCTGGGCGTGGTGGCGCATGCCTGTAATCCCAGCTACTCAGGAGGCTGGGGCAGGAGACTCGCTTGAATGCTGGAGGCGGAGGTTGCAGTCAGCCGAGATTGCGCTGTTGCACTCCAGCCTGGGCAACAAGAGTGAGACTCTGTCCCAAAAAGTAAACAAAAAAACAAGAAAAAAACCTTTCAGAAAAGAGCCTTAATTTTTCTGAAACTCAGTTTGCTGTGTCTACTAAGTTGGGACAATAATCTTACCATCCTATTCAGTAGGTTGTGTGGATCAAAAAGGAAAAAAGAAAAAATGGTATGTCATTGTGTTCAGTAAGCTAAACTCTTACACAATGTAGGGGATTATTACTGTAATGGTAAACTCTGTTACACAGAAAATTCTTGTCTGTTTTGGGGATGCGGATGTAGGAAACAGAACAGCAGGCTCGAGTTTTCAAATCTCAGGATTCTTTAAAATATGCTTTCTTTCTTAAAGTGAATCCTCAGTAAGCCTTCTCTGTATTTTCTAACACTAGGCCTTCAAGATCTAGAGACCATCTGGGGTCTTTTTTTTCCTCTCAAGCAAAACTGGTTTAGAAACATGGTGGGCCTTCATGGCTAATGGTTTTAACTTAATGCAATTTCTTAAACAACAAAAGCAAACAACATTGGAAATATTTAAAATATTTATATGCATACAGGTGTGTAACAGAGCTGACAAAACATACACGTGCCCATGTCACCAGGGGCACTTAAGTAATTACACTGGCAGGAAGACTTTTGCTCAACTCAGATCCTTTTCTGGTCCTTTACATTTGTTCATTTTATCACTTGAGCTAAATGGGGAGAGGAGGAAACTCTTAGAAAATCCTAGCTCTTAGAGGTTTTAGGGTTGACAAAAGTGTTGTCTTTCTGATATGGTTTGGCTGTGTCCCCATCCAAATCTCATCTTGAATTGTAGCTTCCATAATTCCCATACGTTGTGGGAGGGACCCGGTGGGAGACAACTGAATCATGGTGACAGTTCTCCCATACTGTTCTCATGGTAGTGAATAAGTCTCATGAGATCTGATGATTTTATAAGGGGTTTCTCCTTTGGCTTGATTCTCATTCTCTCTTGTGTGCCACCAGGTAAGATGTGCTGTTTGCTGTTTGCCTTCTACCATGATTTTGAGGCCTCCCCAGTCATGTGGAACTGTTAGTCCATTAAACCTCTTTTTCTTTATAAATTACCCAGTTTCAGGTATGTCTTTATGAGCAGCATGAAAACAAACTAATACATTTTCACATCCCCATCAGAATCTTTGAAGCACCACATCAGGCTCAGCTTGGTAGATCCACTGGACTCCAGTGATCAACCTGATGAACCTTCTCCTGACCATACCCTGTAAATGGTGCCTTGGCTTCCAGGGAAGGAAGTGGGCAGGTGGAAAAAGCAATGGTCTCAGAGTTGAAAGACTTGAATTCCAGTTCAAACTCTACCTCTAAATATGTGGATTAGGCAAATTACCTTGTTATTAATACACATGTTTATATTGTAAACATAACTTCTGTTTTCTTTCTCTTGGACTGAAAATTATAAGCATTTTCCCATAGTTCAGACTTTTATGATAATTTTAATGGCTATATAATATTAAGTAGATATACTATATTTTATTATATGCTTTCTTATAATTAGACATTTGGATTGTTTCCAAATTGCCACAATTTTAAACAATGCTGTGATAAGTGTGCAGCTTTTCCTAGGTACTGGTTTATTTCTTTAAGAGATACTCTCAGAAGCTGAACATTTTTATGGTTTAATACAAAATGCCAAATTGCTTTCCCAAAGGGTTGTACTGATTTATGATGCAACTAGTAATATATATTGGTATAGTTCCACCGCAGCCTCAATGGGATTGGATATTAACTTGAAGGATTCTAACTTATTAGGCTAAAAAAAAGATACACCATTATTTTAATTTGTACTGCTTCAATTATTAGTGTGGTTAAACATATTTCATGTATGTTTATTGCGTACTATACATTTTTTAAAGCTTTTCTACACATAAGCTTTAGCCATTACCTGTAAGATCATAATGCCTTTTTTCCTCCCACAGCATCTGAGCTTTAATGTAATATACATATTAACTCTTGGTCACTCATGTTTACTGCATATATTTTCTTACTCTGTGATTTTTCTTATTTTGTAAGTTTTATAAGACATGTGGAAATTTTACATATTTATGTAAACATTTCTCAATCTTTTTCTTTGTGGTTTCTTCAGTGACTTTAGTGCTTAAAAGTCCTCTTCGACCCAGAGATATGTGAATATTGGGTTTTACCCTCTTCTAGCTTGACTTTTAAATATTTACCTCTTTAATCCGTCTGAAATTTATTTTGGCATATGGTATGAGGTGAGGTCTGAATCAGAGGTTGAAAATGAAAATTCCTCTAGGGGGCAGGCAGGTAAGTTAAAGGAGTAAAGCAGGCCAGGTACATGTAAGAAAAATGGAGGAGGTGGAGATGGGTGAATTACAGAGTATGAGTTCCATCCAAAGGGGGCAGGGCCTTGTTCTCACAGGAATTTTGGTCTTCTAATTTTTTAAGGGAAGCCATAAACCTGTAGTTTTATGGAGGGTCATCCAATGTTAAATAGTGGGCCAACACTGCAGGCTAAAACTCCTTCTCTGTGTCTTATCAACTGCATCCATCTCACTGAATGCCACTTTGCAGACTCGGGTTACATTTGATGCTTTTCCAAGTTATTGCAAAAACATTTATTGATCCAGCCTTCTCTTCTCCATTAATTTGTAATTCTTCATTTTTCAAATAATAAATTTTTACATGTAACTGGTAATATTTGTAGTACTTCACTAATCTGCTTGACTCCTATTCTCATTTATTAAGGATTTATGATATATTAAGATATTTAAAGATGAGTACCCTTTCATGATTCTTCTTCCTGTAATTTCTTCCATACTTTCATCTGTTTATTATTCCAGATGAAGTCTTTAGCCATGCAATCAAATCTCTTCAATTCCCTTTAGGATTCTGTTTGACATTCCATTAAACTTATAAATTGACATATTTAGAGTATTTCACCTTCCCATCTAGGAACATGTTATAGTTCCTAATTATTCATGTCCTGTTTTATAGCTCTCAATAAAATTTTGCAGTTTTTGTCACACAGGTCACATGTAGTCCTCATTCAGATGATACTTTAATTTTTATTGATTTTTTTTGACTGGGGCATTTTTCATTATATTTCATAAGTGGTTGTTGCAGGTATATGGGAAATCTATTGACTTTTGGAAAAGCTATCTTGTGCCCCAGTTACAAGTTCTGAATTCCTATTAAGTAAAATAGTTTTTCAGTTAATGTTTTTTTTTTCTCTAGGAATACAAACACACCCTTCACAAATAACGATGACTTTTTCTCAGCCTCTTGTTTCTATGTCATATCTTATCTTGGACAAAGCTTCTAAAACAATGCTAACTAATCGGTGCACCTTATTTTATTAGTGATTTTAAAGATAATTTTTCAAACATTTAACCAGGAACCATAATATTGACTTTTGACTAAAAGCTGATGTTCTTATGATGCTGTTTCTTTTTCTGTCTTTCGTTTTCAGTATTTCTATGACTTAGTATTGTCCTCAGAGGTGTTTCTGTTACTTAGTGAACACAAAAGACACATCTCAGCACGGTGCATTCAAAAGTGTTGGGGGCTTGCAAAATACATGTGAACCAGATACACCTGCTGGGGTCCCTAGCTCTGCCTCTGCCTGCCTTCAACACAACTCCCTGCCTAATCTGGAAAATGGAGATAGTAATTCTGACTGCATAAGTTGGTTATGAGAATTAAAATAAGTTAACGTAAATAAATTGTGCTTAGGGTAATATTTGGCACCTAAGAAAAGCTCAACAGATTTCACTTTCTTCCTCCATCACTTAAAAGAAAGAGATAATGGTAGAACAATCTCCCAAATGCAAGCTTTCCAAGGAATAGCGTGCACTTACAGGCCTGAGAAAACTCAAACTCTATTTGTGGAAAACATCACGTTAGCCTTCTGCTTTAGGTCACAGGGCTTTTTCTCACTTTCTCAAAATTATACAGTCCATCCCTTGTACCCTGACTAGACTCTCTTGGCCTATGACACAAATGAAAATAAAAAAAAAATCAGGCTGACATGTAATATGAACCAGGAATGAAACAAACTGGGCTTCTTTTAGCCGAGAACATGAGCATTGCTTAGATAAAGGCATGAACAAGCAGCTACTCAAACTAAAACCAGATGCTCAGAGGTTTCTGGCTTACAATTTGTTATAACCCTTCATATAACACTCATTGTGCTGGCGTTTCAACAGAAAGTCTTCTGCTCTGTTTAAGCAGCAAGAAACCAGCCCTAACCTCCCTCAAATTTGCCATCACTAAATCTTTGCTTAATTGTAAAGGAGCTCTTCCCCCAAACAGAGATTCTTGGTATATACTCTTCCGCCCAGAGAAGTGTCAGGGAGTGACAAAGCTCGCACCCTGCAGCATCCTCAGTCTGAACTGTCTTCCCAGTGTTGTATGAAAGGAAACACGGGGGTACTAAGGAACTGGGTACTGACTTGGGAGGGGCCCAGGAATGAAAGCCAGTGTGGATAGAGCATGATTCTTCAGGCAGACTGGCCTAGATTCAAATCCTGGCTCTGCTCTTACTCAATGTGTGACTGGGCAAGTTTGTTAATTTCTCGGAACCTTGTTTCATCATCTCTATAAAGAAAATAAGAGTTGTTCCTGCTTTCCCAGGTCTATTACAAACTTAAAGTTAGGTAATGCAGGTATAACACTTAGCATGCTCCTGGGACCCTGTAAGCCCTCAAAAATGTTAGTGCATGTTACTGCCAATAACAATAGCGAACACTTATATAGCACCTATTACATGCCAGGCACTGTTCTCCATATTTTACAATTAACTCATTTTAACTTCATAATTACCTTCATGAGTTGGGTACTAATATTATTGTCATTTTTCAGATAAGGAAACTGAGGCACTGATGGGTTATCTTTCTTGCCCAAAGTCCCACTGCTATTAAGTGGCAGAGACTGTATTCAACCAGCTACCTGGCTTCAAATCCATTCTCTAACCACTAAGCCACACTGCCTCTCTTTATTGTTATATTGCACACTATTTTATTTAGTGCCACCTTGAGACTGCCTTCACACAGAAGGGAACACACACAATTTAGGCCATAAGTGGGTTACTCTGTCAGGCAATCCATTTCTGGAAAGCACTGCTGACCCTGAGATCAGTGTGAATCCTACCCTGTATCCCACTCCCCTCCACCTTCAAGGTTGATCTCATCTTCCTTGCCCTCTCCCCATCCCATGGGAAGAGGTGTGTCTCCTCCTTTCCTAGGCTCCTCCTTCTGCCTCTGCCTGCCATTCCATGCCTCCCACCTTCTTCCATTAGTCATCTCCCCTCTCTCCTGGGCCTCCAGTCTTCCCCCCTGGCTCCTTTCCCACAGCTGACAGCACGTCCAGGGCTTCCCCACCTTACATAAACCTTTACTTGAACCTGCCTCCTCCTCAGGTTACTCCCATCTGTCTCCTTCCCTGCTCTGTCTAGAAGTAACTGTTTCCACTCTATGCCTCTCATTCACTCCTGAACTCGTGGTGACCCTGCTTCTGCCTGCACCAATGGGTGGAAACTGCTCCCAATGAGGGCGCCAGTGACCTCCTAATGACCAATGCCAGCAGCTTCTTTGTAATCATCTTCCTAAGTTTTCTCTACTTTTTCCCGTCTGTCTTCTGAACGTTGGGGCTCCATCCTTAACTCCTTGCTTCTTGGTTGATACATCTCCTCAGGTACTCTAAGCTCCACCTGCTACTCTGTTACACCCACACTCATGCTGTCCACCAGGTAACTGTCTCAAATTCAGAGCTATCTCCAAGTCAAGACCTACTTACCCATCTGCCTATTAGTAACTGCCAACAACTAACTTCCACTGGGAAGTTCCATTAGCAGCTCAACAACTAACTTCCCCTCCTTATTTCCTAATGTAATTAGTGATATCACCATCCATCTATTCTCCAAGGTCGAAACTCAATGCCTCTCCCTTACAAGGTAAAATACAAGTGGTCAATAGAACCAGCCTATAATGTCCTGGAATGTCTTCCCTCCTTTATACAAAAGCGGTGGCATTTGCTTTAGTGTAGGTTCTCTTCTCTCATCTAATCCCACTGGCTAAAGAAACAGTCTTCCAATTGGTCTCCCTGTCTCATTTATATATGTTGCTGCCAGCCAAAGATACCTATACAACACCCAACTCATGCTACATCTTCACTTAAAAACCATCCTGTGCTTCCCACTGCTTTCAAAACCAGACTTCCAAGCTGGCTAGCCAACAGAGACAAAGCCTGTCCCAGGCTGGCCTGAACCTCATTTTCCAGGCTCTCCTCTGGGTATCACCCTCTCATGTACTCCTCCTACTTCCAGTCTCCTGGACATACCAGGCACTCACACAACAAGCGCATACATGAGAGAGGACATGGTGAGAAATGTGTAGATATTAGGGTCAGACAGAACTGGATTCAAACTCTAGCCCCTTCACTAACTGGGTATTTAACTTCTGCCTAGTCATTTAAATATTCTGAGCTTCATTTTCCTATGGAGGGGTGGTAGGCAGAAAATATTTGCTTCATATGCCTATTGTAAAGGTTTGAAATAGTTTATGTAGGCCAGGTGTGATGGCTCATGCCTGTAATCCCAGCGCTTTGGGAGGCTGAGGTGGGAGGGTCACTTGAGGCCAGGAGTTCAAAACCAGTCGGGGTAACATAGAGAGGCCAGGCATAGTAGCTCACACCTATAATCCCTGCACTTTGGGAGGCCGAGGCGGGTGGATCACCTGAGCTCAGGAGTTCAAGACTAGCCTGGCCAACATGGTAAAATCCCTTCTCTACTAAAAATAAAAAATTAGCTGGGCATGGTGGTGGGCGCCTATAATCCCAGCTACTTGGGAGGCTGAGGCAAGAGAATTGCTTGAACCCAGGAGGTGGAGGTTGCAGTGAACTGAGATTGCACCACTGCACTCCAGCCTGGGTGACAAGAATGAGACTCTGTCTCAAAAACATAAAAATAAACATAGAGAGATCCTACTTCTACAAAAAATAATTTTAAAAAATTTAGTCAGGTGTGGTGGCACACATTTGCAGTCCTAGCTATTTGGGTGGCTGAGGTAGAAGGATTGCTTGAGTCCAGGAGTTCAAAGCTGCAGCGAGCTATGATTGTGCCACTGGACTCCAGCCTGGGTGACAAAGCAAGACCCTGTTGCTAAAAAACAAAAAAAAACAAGAAATAGTTTATGTTAAATATCTAAGATAATACTTAGATACAGTATGCATTGAACAAACAGTAGCCAAAATTATTAATTTTGCCAAGTAGTTCCAGAGAAGAATTTGTAAAGATTGAAAAGCCCCGAAACTAGAATGGGACATTGGAGAAGTTCCTTATGAACTCTGAAGAAAGCCAAATTTATAAGAACAAATAAAAGTTAGTGCTTTGGAATGTTCTGGAACTCACATTTCCATTTTTGAGTTAAGGAGTACTGGCAAAGAAAGATGGAATCTAGCAGCCTTGGGATGCATAAAGTCCTGAGGACAGAAAGAGCCTTCCTTAGCCAGGTACCTGGCAGTGCCTTGAAAGGGTGGCTGTGCCTTCATTCCCTCAAAGCTGCCGATAAGAAGTTCATGCCCATAACAGAAGCTTCTAGCTTGCAGGGAAAAACATCAGTGATGCCTGACCTTCTTGCTAGGTGTTCACTGACCCTCTGATGGGGGTCTTCCATGTTCCCTGTCTTGTCAGGCAGCTGGGCTCCAGGGGAAGTTACTGGAGTTGGATTCGAAGACTCGGCTTTATGTTGTGTGAGCCACTGGTCACAGACTGTTTCCTCATCTTTAAAATGCAAATAATGATCCTTTCCAGCCAGTTCATCTGTGTGGTTGAGCAGAGACTGCTACTATCTTATGGTCTTCTCAATTCCTCCTTGTTATTAACTGTGTCCCCTACCAAATTCATATGCTGAAGCCTAACCCCCAATGTGACTGTATTTGGAGATAGGGCCTATATGGAGATAACAAAGGTTAAGTGAGGCTCACAGTAGTGGGGCATTAATCTGATAGGACTTATGTCCTTATAAAAAGAGGAAAAGGCCGGGTGCGGTGGCTCATGCCTGTAATTCCAGCACTTTGGGAGGCCAAGGCAGGCAGATCACGAGTTCAGGAGATCGAGACCATCCTGGCCAACATGGTGAAACCCCGTCTCTACTAAAAATACAAAAATTAGCTGGTTGTGGTGGCGTGTGCCTGTAATCCCAGCTACTTGGGAGGCTGAGGCAGGAGAATCGCTTGAACCAGGCAGGTGGAGTTTGCAGTGAACCAAGATTGCGCCAATGCACTCCAGCCTGGCAACAGAGTGAGACTCTGTCTAAAAAAAAAAAAAGGAGGAAAAGACACCAGAGATCTCTTTCCCTCCATATATACACAGAGAAAAGCCCACATGAGGACGAGGACAAAGCAAGAAGGCGACTGTTGCCAGCCTGGAAGAGAGGCCTCACCAGAAACCAACCCTGCCAGTACCTTGATCTTGGATGTGCAGTGTTCAGAACTGTGAGAAATAAATTTCTATTTTAAACCACTCAGTTTGTGGTATTTTGTTATGGCAGCCCTAGCAGACTAACACACTCCTTTATTTCTTCTTTTTAGGGTGACTCTTTTCTTGTATTTTTCTTTCTGGATTCCCACTTCTGCTCTGGCCCCAAGTTGTTAATAATTATTTGTACACTGCTTTCCAGCTCACTAAGTACTCTTCTCAAAATATGTCCTTTCTGCCTCACAACCTCCTTCTACATGCCTGGCAGAGGTAGCAGCCCTCCTCTCTGCTCCCATGGAGCTCCCACAGACCCCTTTGTTGGCCCAGGCCACATTATACTAGAATTATTTATGAAAGGGTTGGTTCTCCCGATTGATTATAGGCTCTTTGAGGGCAAAGCTTCTGTTTTATTCACTGTGAAGCCTCTAGCACTCAGCAAAGTAGATGTTCAGCAAATGCTGAATACTTGACACATTTAGAAACACACTGAGTACCTACCACAAATCCTATGCTTTCACATCATTGTCAGATTCTCTAAAGTAAGTTTGATTCCCAAGGATAGATGAGTTTGGTGAGGGTAAGACTTATCCAAAATCCCACAGCTCATAACTAATACAGCCCGCATCTAAACCCAGGCTGGGCTGACTCCAAAGCCTTTGTCCTTTCCTCGGACCACACCATCTATCTGGTCAGCTCTACCCCCAACTGTACTCCTGCCTCCAACAACCTCAACTATCGACCACCAGTGCCAATTCCAGCAGAGATTCACATGTTACTTGCAGCTAGGTTATTCCTAAGAGGGTGTTACCGAACAGGCGGCCTCACATTTAATTATGTCCCACATATCAGTGGTGCTGTAAAGGGAAAGAAAAAATAATATCACTATGTGAGAACCCTCTCAAAGCTGCCGTTCTGTCAGTGGAAAAGCCAGCTGGCAAACGGGAATGAGCAACTGCCTTTAGCGACTGACAGAAAAAAAAAAGAGCTAAAAGAAAATAAAAATTTAATCATCAGTTATAAAAATTAAACCACTGCTGACAAAATATCTTCTATCAGAATCTACATCTGAATGGAGGATAGGAGCAGGGGTTCCTTCAACAGGAGTGAGTACCAGGTTAGAGATGTTCTATAAATAAGTCAGATGAGCGGACTGCAGGCACGTGGCCAGCACACTGTGAGCCTAGGAGGTGTGATGCCATGGTCTCTAAGACCCTATCTGTCTTGCTGATTCTCTGACTACGAGAGGGTATAAAGACACACATGGATGTCACCACTCCAGAAACTTGGATTTAGACCTGGTCACTGAGATGTAAGAGTAAGAATGTGTGTTTTGGATTGCTAACCTAACTCTGCTATTTCCTATTTATGAGATCTTGGCAATTAGCATTAGATCTCTGAGCCTCATTTCTGAATTAGGCTTCTACGTGTTTCTCTGGATATCTTTTCTAGGACGTGTGCTTACCACTTATCATTATTTATCTTTACATATGTGTATATATATTTGATGATTGTATTTAAACTTGAGAATCCATCTCAAACTGCCTCAGACCTGTCTATGAACACCATGGAGGCAGAAAGCATGGCTATTTTACATACCAGTGACAGTACATGCCTGCTCAGAACTGGCACATGAAAGGCAATGAGTAAACACGGGTTGAATAATGAACAAATGAACAGATGCAGTGTCTAGGTCTGTCTGCAACTGGCGTCTACCACTCTGGACTTGCTCCTGCTGTCTGTCCCCGTTAAAGCATCATGCAAGGTGCTTCGAGGCATAATGGAAAACGTCCATGGTTCCTGGATGATACAAAGAGACTGAACCAAGCCATTTTCCTTCCACCTCAATTACATGGGCAGCTTCTCCTTTTTCTCAGCTTCGCTTACCCTAACTTACTAGCCCATGAGAAACCTCAAGGCCAAGTACCATGTCTGCCTCCTGGCTATACCCAATGTCCAGACAAGGGTCTGGCACACAGTAAGAGGGGGTCTCAGTTGGTCTTTGTTGAACCAAACAGACCTGATGAAGTCTGTGGCAGACACTGCTATGTGCCTACCCCATATTCATTTCCCTTCTCTCTGAGAGAACCCTAATTTTGTTGAGAGTACCAATGTAGCAAGCTAAAAATATCCCCTTCTTCAGACTTCCTTATATCTCTGAGTGTCCAAGTGACACAGCTCTGCCAAAGAAATGTAAGCTGAATGTTTTAGGAAAAATTCTGCTTTCCTACTTCCTTATCTTTTCTTATTTTTCCTGCCTGACATGCAGACATAAGCCCCGGAACTATAGCTACCATTTTATGACCATGAGGTAGCAAGCATAAAAACAGCAGCCCATCTCCTAGACAAAAAGTGTGCACCAGAACATCAAAACTCTACTTAAATGCTACTCTAGTGGGGATTTTGGTTATCTGTATACCAAATGCCTTGCTAAGTATTTCCCACAGAAAGACAAGCCTTTATTGCTTGGTTCCTGCAGTGTCCTTGGGCTACTTTTTCTTCTTTCCTGCCCTTGCAATTCCAGGTAAAGATTCAGAAGGTTCAGCAATCGAAGGTAAGATCCCAAGGGCAGCAGAGATGCTGGGGGTGGGGACAGTGGGGAGCCCTGCCCTTCAGTGAGCAGAGACAGCTACTGGCAGGGCTAGTCTCTGAGTCTGCAGATGTAGTGCTCTGATACTCCTAGCTCTCTTCCCCTCAGCAGAATTTTAGCCACAGTCTGTCTCCAATGTGCTGACCTGAGCTCCCTTGGCCTACAATTTCATTCCACTTATACCAGATTGCTCCAAATAAATCACTGTATCAGGGAGAGGTAAATTCACAGGGTGCTTTTCCAAAGAAGTGTTTCCATTAGAAATTTCACAAAGTGCTGCCAATGTCATTTACAAGAAGGTTAATTTATTACCAAGAGACCTCAATTCTTCATTGCTGTATTTATATCTTATAATATAATTCAGAGGAAGGGGACATAAGGAGAGGTAGAGAAGGGGCTTATTAAAAACCAAAAATCACTCCTCAATCATTTTTCTTAGTGTCTTCAATGAAGTAGTGCAGGTTTTTACACAAATTATGGTATATAATGTCAGAGATTTTTCTCTCCGGATCTTTGCAAATGCACTCAGAGGCAAATACCCAATCAAAGTAGGAGAAATAAAGAAATAGCACAGGCCAGTGTTCTTTGGAAAATCATGAAGGACCCAATTTTGGTGACTCTTGGAAGATAGGAACTTAGGTGAAGTATCGAGGCATACCTAGAGAAAAAGAGGAATGGATTGTAGGGAAAGCAAATGAAAAACACCACTGAACATCATTGAACAAGTCCTTTGTCCTTCCTCACTCCCTCCTTCCCTCCCTCCTTTTTTTTTTTTTCTTCTGAAGTCACTAAGTTCAATCCCAGTAACCTCCCTTGACCACATAAATTCATGAGCTCTTGTTCCGGGTCTCATCAGATAGACCTCTAGCTCTAATCATTTTATTCCCTTGCTCAAAAGCCTGCGATAGTGCCTAATACTTAAAGAATAAACTTTTTGCTTAGCGTGGCATTTAAGGCTCTCCTTGATAACTCATTTCTGCCCTTTAAGGCATCCTGGGCTCTAGTCAAACAGAACTGCTGGCTCCTTATAGCCAGCTCTTAATTTTCTGCCTACTGAACTTTCACTCATGCTGGTAGTACCTACTACCTGGAATAATTTCCTTAACACCTGCCCTCCCATTTTCCTTTTTTAAATGTAAAAATTTCACCCATTCTTTAAGGTCCAAATTAAATGTCACTTCATCCAGAAAGCCCTCCTTGACCCATCCAGCTAGGCAAGTCCTCACCTTCCTTCAACCCTCATGGGTCTTTGACCAGTGACTCCAGGAGTGACTGTTCTTACTCTTTTCCTTGGCTTAGAGCTGTTTACCGTATAAATCTTTCATCTCCCTTAATCTGGACTATGAGCTACTTTTGCCAGAAACCATGTCATACCTTCCCTGTATCCTCAGCTTGGGAAAGAGCAAGGATGCAATCCTTGCTGGATAATGGAAAGCAAAGAGGAAGGAAGGAAGGAAGGAGGAATAGAAGGAAGAAAGAAACTAAATCTGTTTCTAATCCCTGGACATAAAGAACAGACTGATTTACAGCAACCACCTGGATACGAACAAAATGACTCTTCTCTTCAATGAGCACCAGAGAGGCCAGAGCAAGTTTCTCGTAAAAATTCCCAGTCCCTACATTTTCTAACAGCAATTCTCATTTCTTTTCTCTAGGTTTCTAAATCCACTGCAGGGCACCTCTGTTATGCTCCAGCCTGGCTCACATTGCCACAATGTCAGGCTGATCTGTCCTCTATGCTTCAGCATCAGCCAAAATGAAAAGATAAGATGCTACCTGAAGAATGAAAACGAACTTGTTAGGTCTTGAGTTGCAAGCAATGCATACAAAGGTATTTTTACTTTTAAAGTTTTAGATGTGAGACTTTCCTCATGGTCTTCTTAATGACTTCTCAAGAAAACTTCTTGGGTTGATGTAATATGGTTATTAATAATGGAAGGCAAGGGGGAAATTACATTCCATATAATACAAATGGAAAAAATATTTAATAGTAACCGTGACAAATAGTGAGAGACTGTGGTATTGTGGGGACCTTAACTTTGGGCTAGTCAACCAAGCTTTCTGAGCCTTGATTTCTTCATCTGTAAAGTTGAGGTCAACATATCTATTGTCTAAACTTCTTGTGAGGATTAAATAACATAAAAAAGAGAGCTAAGCATGGTCCTCAACACACAATAGGTGTTCTGTAAATATTTGCTGAATGAATGAATGAATGAATAGATGGAAAAGAGAAGTAAGTGATACCAAAAACGGGGGTTTGATGCTGGGAAGAAGGCAAATTGCTAAAGGAGGAGGATCATAAGCTTTGGAGTCAGACAGACGCAAATTCATGTCCTAACTTTTCTTTTAACAACCCTGAACCTTAATTTACTCATCTGCAATAGGGAGGTGATAATAAAAATAAGAATAATCATCTCATGGAATTACTGCAAGTCTTAAAGAATGTATGTGAAAACCCTTTGCAAACTGCAATGAGTGAATTATAGTTCAGCTAGTGATATACATTCTCCTCCTTTATTCAACATTCTGGGGTCAGCTAGGCAGCCCACCTCGGCCCAGCCAGGACCAGGGTCAGTACCCTCAGATTCTGGATCTCCACCTGCAGGGAAAGCCTGTTGTTTCTGAAAAAAGCTTCCATGTTTTATTCTAAAACTTGCTTGGTTTCAGTGCTCTGTGTGTGTGTGTGTGTGTGTGTGTAAATGCATCTAGTTCACTGGGAGCTCTGTCAACATCAGGTCTCTGTGCGTATATATTTGTGTGTACGGTTTGTAAAGTGCTTTTAGATTTTTTAAAGGCAAAAGTTAAACTCATTTCATTTAAAATCATCAGCTGGATTGCATTAAATGGAGGAGAAAGCAAAAACATACACAATATAGCCATTTGTGAAACACAATTATTTCTCCTGTTACTTAATTACAAACAGACATAAATACTCTGGATTCTGACATCTCAGATCTTCTTAAATTCTAGATCTGCATTTTGACATATAATGAAGGAAGGGTCAGATTCCAATTTGTGTGTTAAGCAAACCCGAGAGTTACAATTATATATTGGGGCCATAATGACTTCACTAAAACAAGACCTAAACTTTTAATTAACCTGCCAAGACAAATTACTACTCATAGCTCACAAGTAATGATCACAGACAGCTGAGACTCAATGCCAGGGACTCTTGGGGAAAGCGGGATTAATAGCAACATCAGAATCAGTCTGTTTTTGTATTAGAGAAAAAAACAGTATTCATTAAACCATCACTGTAGCTTGAAGGGACACAGACAGGTCAGAAAGGCAGCAAGAGAAAGGTGGAAGGAGAAAGAGGATGGGAGAGAATATTAAAACAGCTTCCATTTATTGAGTGCTTGTGGTAGCCCAGAGCCTGTGCTAAGCACTTTCTATTTCTCTGTTTAATTTTCACGATGGGGATTGCAAAGTACTATTGTTCCATTTTCCAAACAAGAAGAATGAGGCTCAGAGAGGTGGCATGACTGTCTCTGATCACAGAGCTAACATGTGACAGTGGGGAAGGAAGGAATGGAAAGTAGTTCTCATAAGGCGTCTGTCTTCAAAGCTTCCTTGACAGAACACCAGAATCAGGATCCCCTGGGCTTCACCGCAGGCCTACTGAGTCATATTTTCTGGAGAAAAGGCCCAGGAATATGAATGTTCCCCTGGCTTCCCAGGTGATTCTTTTATTCAACAGTATTTGAGAACCATCTGTAAAGTACTATGTCTAACCCCTTGCCACTTAAAATGTGGTCCACAGCAGCTTCAGTATCACTGGGTGATGGTTGGAAATGCTGAATCTAAGGTCCACCCAGACCTGCTGAAGCAGAATCTGCATTTTATCAAGATCCTCAGGTGGTTCACTCAAGTCTGAGAAGCACGGTATGACCTATTGGCCCTAAAATACAGGGTTAAGAGGAAGTGAAGACAGGTGTCCACATTTAGGTGAGAATGGCAGAACCAAAGGGAAAAGAAGACCGTCTCCCTAATTATGAGAAGACAGGTTAGCAAGCTCTGACAAGCCAAGGGTTGGCAAAGATGCCTCACTGTGCCTATGGTTTATTCCTCTAAGATGTGTATCCTAATTAAAAGTGGCTTTCTTCTGGGGTTTGATTAATATCCTTTCATATTTATGCTAAGTTATTAAAAATAAGGAATTCTGATTGTAAAAGCACTTAGTTTTGAACAAGCACTACTCTATGCTTCTCTGTAAACCACGCTTAAGGGAAATCAGGCCACGAGACCATGAAGCTGTAACTCAAGCACCACCACGACTTGATGATCATGTCCCTAAACTGTCGTCATCCTATCCGGAGAGAAAAAAGAATCAGGGCCTGTAGCCTCCCAAACCCTGCCAAGTGACAGCCTAACAAGATGACGGCCAGACTGGGGCCTCTGATGACAGGGAACAGGCTATACTGTTAGCCTTAATGTCACCAGTGACTCTGAGCTGCAGCCTCAAATACCAGAATCCTGAAAAACTAAGAGCTGGGAACCCCAAGTGATTTGTGCAAGGTCAAAACCCAAGTTTGTGCTGGAGACTGAAAATGGAGCACAATCCCTGCCACAGTTCACAAGAAGGTATCCAGGGAGGAAACCAACAGCACCACAACTGCCTGGCAGTTGCTGCCGCCAATCCTGCCAGGGGAGTTCGTTCCCTCATTCACTGCACGACACTGCACCCCACTGGGCTGGGTGCCAGGAGGCAGACAAGATCCTGTCAAAGCCCCTGCCCTCTAGGCATTCGGAGTCCAGCGGCTCAGACAGACATCTCTAAAACAAGGACTGTACAAAGTGATAATTTCTACATCAGAGCTAGTTGCCTGAAAGCCTCCACCTCCTTCATTTTGCCAAGAGGTGAAATATTGAGCCTGTATTTAGAGCAGAAGCTTTTCAGCCACACCCTGTATTTAATGGGAAGATACTTTCTGTCTCAACACAAAGGGCAAATTTCAAGTAAGCAGGAAATGGACTGAAAATGACTCCTGTTGTTTAGAAGTAAGAACCAGGGGCTGGGCATGGTGGCTCATGCCTGTAACCTCAGCATTTGGGGAAGTCAAAGTGGGCGGCTCACTTGAGCCCAAGAGTTTGACCAGCCTAGGCAATGTGGTGAAACCTCATCTCTACAAAACATACAAAAATTAGCTGGGCATGGTGGTGTGTGCCTGTGGTCCCAGCTATTCGGGAGGCCAAGGCAGGAGGATCACCCGAGCCCAGGAGTTCAAGGTTGCAGTGAGCCGTGATTGAGTCACTGCACTCCGGCCCAGGCAACAGAGTGAGACCTGGTCTAAAAAACAAAAAGTAAGAACCAGGGTCTTGTAAGAGTTTTGGAAACCTAGTACCAGATTCAGAGATTTTTTGGGGTTTGTTTGTTTGAGACAGTGTCTCAGTCTGTCACCCAGGCTGGAGTGCAGTAGTATGATCATAGCCCACTGCAACCTCAATCTCCTGGGCTCAAGGGATCCTCCCACCTCAGCCTCCTGAGCAGCTGGGACCGCAGGCATGCACCATCGCACCTGGATACTTTTAATATTTTTTTTTGTAGAAAGGAGGATCTTGCTATGTTGCCCAGGCAGGTCTTGAACTCCTGGTCTCAAGCAATCCTCCTGCGTCTGCCTCCCAAAGTGCTGAGATTATAGTATGAGCCACCACACCTAGCCTGGATTCAGAAACTTTTATCAAACTCCATTTTTCCATGTCAGAGAGATTCCTAGCCAACGACTGAGACAGAGTTTTCAGGTGAACTCCAGACCACATAGAACTGTTGATTAAGCAGAAACCCCATTCCCAGGTGTTCTGTTTAATGGAGTTATATTCTTCCATAACTTTTATTTTCCTGTAGGGAATTTTTATCTCCAGACTATGTCATAGTGCTTCTAATATAAACTCAGAAAAAAATGTTTTCTGACCCGAACTGCCAAGACCACTGTGTCCTGCAGCACATTAGGGCAGTCTAAGAAGCAGACACATTCTGTGCAATGTATTGGTAAAGAAGAGAAACTCTTTAAATAGGGTGCCAGGCTTCCCAGACACCTACAGGCTTCTGAGCTGGCCCAGGGGCTCAGGGTGAACTGGGAGCTGAGGCCCTCTTCCACTGCGAGGGAGAGTGAAGGTGTTAAGCACTCATTTATTTCGCACATCAGGGCCCACTCTTTGTCAGAGATTAGGACATCTCTATTCTCAACAAAACCCCAGTCTGACTGATGGCATGGTTCATCCAGCCTTTTGCACTGCTGTTCTTACTCTCTCTTCAAGCCTGTATCCTCTTTTCTCATTGGCCAGGGGTTGTTGGCTCCAAAACAAAAAAGAATGAAAACCAAAACAAAACCCAAACCACAAATCAGTGAGGTGAACCAAGTGAGACTCTAAAGACAAATACGTGGGAGAGAAGTGCCAAGAAGAGAGATGTTGCCTCTGTGTGGCTTGTCCAGGATTCCTGTCTCACAATTCCACTCCCACCTTGAAATGCACTGCACACCAACCACAGACAGCAGGAGAGAAGCAGCGGGCAACAGCCCTGGGCTCAGAAGCCAGCTCAGAATGGCGGGCGATTCCCTGTGTAGCAGGCCCAGTCAGGAGGGTCTCGTGCCAAGCTCCAGGGCCATCCACAGCTCTGACATCCCCTTGTCAGTGTCAGTCCCAGAATCTCCATGCAGCCTCCGACCAAAAGAGACAATATCCCACAGCCCCCAGAGGGTGTGGCTCCCTTACCAATGGCAGTGGTGAGAAAGGAAACCACTTCTGACTCCTTTCCGTCATTGTAAAAAGCCAAGTGCCAGATTCCTGAATCCAAATACTGGATGAAGCCTGTCTCATGGCTGGAGGGGGGCACAGTTCCCCGAGACTGGCGCGGGGTCCCCTCTAGGCTCCGCGCCTCCTGGGTTAGGAGCCTCCTGCCATCCAGCAGCTCCACAAAGTCAAACTGAAAGACAGAGAAAGCACAGTTAGCAGTGGGTCTGTTCCACCACGCACCAGCGTCCTTCCCGGGGCTTCTCCTGGAGAGGACATTGGGAAACACAAATAGAGGCAAAAAGGGCCCAAAGAGGCTAAGGGTGCAGGAAGGTTGATCAATCAACTCAACTCTTCCCCAGACCCATTTTTTCATGGTGATATTCTCCCGGTTCTCCTGTGAGTGAGGCATAATTAGAGGATTATTTTTTAGTCTCATTTTGTTTTAGTTCTTTTTGTACTGGTGGTGAATCTTCCCCTGGCTGAGTCTGTACCAGGACAACCATGCTTTTTTGCAATGCCGGGTGTGTGGTTAGAAACACAGCCACTTTACAATTGGTTGAACTTCATGCAAGTCCTGACAAGAATCTTGGGGGGTGGTGGAGGGGAGCAGAGGCGGGTGGCTGGGACTGGGATTGGAGCATTGGATGTGATTGGAACATCAGTCATGTGCAAATGAAAATTTGATTTATGTCTATTTTCCTTTGGTCAATGGTTCTTTCTGAATGTTCTAGTTTCAGGGAGCAAATTTAGGGGAACTCAACTGGATTAGCTCAAAACTCTATCAATAATTACATGCTGTGTCAAATACAATTGCCAATTGATCGGAGACTGCTTGTGTGAGACTCCAGAAAAGTCAGTTACACTGTGTTAACAACAAGTAGGTGGTTAAGTCCTACTGGCCTATTAGCAAGCAAATTGGGTAGTTATCTAGCTAGCTAGCTAGCTAGCTTTAAAAACCAAACAAGATATTTATTCAATTTCATGAAAAACTGTCTGGAGATATGCAGGCCAGGACTAGCATACCAGTCTGCAGTCAACAGGGTCTCAAGGCTCTTCTCCTGTGATTCCTTCTTTAGCAAACATATCTGTCTTTTAGCTAAAAATCTTAAATAACTACTAGGGCTAGGAAGGCTGCATTTGGCCTAGGAATGCCTGATGAATGCCTATGATTTACATTACTCCAATTCCAGGGCTGGCAGGACCTTGCACAAGTGTCTGTTCTTCATTAATCATGATTGGTAATATGTCAGTCATCCTGGACAAGGTTTTTTCAGTGTTTCTGGTGTGCATGTGTTTGAGTCAATGTGTAACCCTGAAGGAGAGAAGGAATAAGAAAGACTAGGGAAGAATCATTTATTCTGAGCCAGGTCCTGCACTAGCTGCCTTATAAATGTTATTCTTCTTTCTTCACAACAGCCCTGCCAAGTGGGTATTGTTACCGGCATCTTATAGATGAGGAAACTTGCTCTGAGAAGCTAAGTGATGGAGCCAAGGTTACAATGCTGATAACAAGAGGATTCAAACTCAGATCTGTCTGATTCTAAACTGCATGCTTTTTTCTCTAGATCACATTTCCTGGATAATTTAACTTAGGAGACTGAGTAATAGCAGAAAGGCTGTTAAGAGATTTCCTAGAATTCTTTCCTCCTAGAAAGCCCCAGTGATATAACCTTACTCATCTGAAAGGGTGGGTCTGAGAGGGACTACATGAATGAATGGGCTATAAAATATATAAATGTCCCTTCAGGCTTAAGGCTCTGGATTGGGCTTCTTAACTTTGGGTTAAGATTTGAGGTAGGAGCCCATGCAGATCAACAGGGTATGTGGGGTTCTGGTTACCTGTGTATGTGAAGGAGGGAGGCCTTTTCTGCCATAAATGCCAACCAGGGCTGCCTTTCCCAGAGACACATTGAATTTCAGATGCACAGGATGGTCTATGAACACTTGAGATCTCCAGAAAGTGCCAGGAGGAATCTTCTGGGAAGCTCGCCTTCCCACATCAATTTCTCCAGAATCTATGAAACTGTCCTCTGGAAAGAAACTACTGGGCTTTCCTACCAAGATAGAGGGAAGGGAAGACAAAGACATCTCGGTTAGCCACATGGGAAACGAGAAACCAGGGCATCTGAACACCCGGGACTCTCCTTAGCCTCACATCCTTCTCTATAATGTTCTGCTGTCAGCTTCCTCCCCACCCTGGCCCTCCCCACATGGAGGAGTAAAAAGGTCCAGAACTTTTTTTTCCCCCCAGCGATGCTCAAATTATTCTGCTAAAAATATGCATTCTTCCAAAGCAGTATGGGTCCTCCCCAAGGGCCATCTGTTTACTGCATAATTCCACAGCTTGTTAAGATATATTTTGATCCTAAAAATAATCATTTGTGGTCACATGAAAATAGCTCTGTGATTTGGTGTGTTAAGGGGCTCACGGTAAAATAGAAAGGATGGGGGAACAAAGTGTTATTAATTTTCCAACTCAGAATGAGTCCCCCAGCAGTGGGAAGCATGACTTGATGGAGTAAGGTATTTAAAAAGCTCACTAATTTGTGTATACATTGGAAGCCAAATTCTGAGGCTGATATGTGGATGGGGGGTTGTGCTTAGGGCAGGGTTAGGGGCTGGGGAAGATGAGGAAAAGGTACTTCTGAAAAGAGGAAATATTTCTGCAAAATGTTCCTTTGTCTTTGGATGAGGGTAAATATAATATCTGTGCTAAAATGGGTCAAGCTGAGGGAATTTCCCAAGTTCACACACCAAGCCTATGCCATACCTGGAAATTCCACCCAGGCTCCCAACCCTGTGCTAAGCATCCATGCAGGGTGTCATGAGTAAAGTCTCTCGGCCATTTCTATACTGATTAGGAGGGTGACAGCTCTCTGGGGGCACCACAAATGCAAGCAAGGAAGGCAGCTTATCAAACTCCTTCTATTTAGTAATTAAGCACACTCATATGTGAAAAATACAAACCCTAACTTCCTGCCAGACATCAGCCTCCTGAAGAGTTGAGAAGGAACAGGAGAGACTCTAGGGATGTTAGGAAGACCACCCTTAGCACACTGAAAGACCAGCATCAAGTCAACAGGCTGTATTTTATTTGTTGTTATGAAGGACTTCCTGGGTATCCTGGTTCCAAGCGGTTTTTTTGTGATGTTAGAGATGTTCGAAGAGACACTTCAGAGAACAAGAATTCATTTGTAAAGAAAACACACTTTGGAACTTTTTGTAAACAGCATTTGGGGAATAGGAAATTAAAATGTCTTTCTTTCCCCCTAGCTTTGTAAGACTCCTTACAAAGCACATTTGATGCTGAAATGAAGCCTGGCAGGGCATTGTTGTAGTCATAAAACATTTTACTGTTTTAAATAATAAAATTCAATTTAAATGTTAAACTTCTCCATATGTTATCACTCCCTTATAAACTCCTAGGCAGAAACATCAGGTTTTTAGCTTCAAACTGTTAAATGTTATTTTAATTAAAAATATGCCAACAAAAAAGTTAAAATGTGCACTATCAATAAAAGTACCACTAGTATTCTGTCATTAGCATGGGAAAGAGTTTGCTTTTTAATTCCTTTATGGAAGGAATGTACTTCAGACATCAAATATAGATACAAAAACCACCACGCTGTGATTCACAAAGTTCAAAGACAGAACCCAAATTCACAATGCATTGAGATGGAAGAGAATTATTTACATTCTTTCTTATCTGATTTTTGGGTTCCCAATACCACAGCCATTCTATATTCCAGGAGGAAATAGTCTGCCATCAGCTTTTAATTTTGCTAGGGAGGCAGAACTAAGAGGGAGAATGAAACAAAGCAGATGCCTTCTGAGCTTTTTCCTCCTAGAAACTGAAAAGAAATAAGCACAACACTGCTAGTTCCAAGGATGCGTTTCCTTTGTGAGTAGGTGGCAGTCTGAGCTGATGGGATTTGAGAATTGTCTGAATTCAAATAATTCCCATGTCTGAAAATAAATACTGGAAAACTGCTCCCCCATTTTAGCATGCTGCTGGAGAACCCTGCACAGTTCATTTTCTCCCTCAATGAGCGTATTTTTAGGAGACAGTGACTGTATCAGCTAGGTTTTGCAGCCTTATAAGTCAGAGGTCTGCAGGCCTCAGGCATAAATAAGTTGGCTCTTACCCCAGAGGAGGTGACAAAAGGGGACTTTTCTAGCACTTTAGTATTTCACCTAGATGGGCTGGATGGGAGGGAGAAATTGTCTTGAGTGTGTATATGCTGAAAAAAAAAAGTGAACTCTGCTCTGGGGCATATCCTCTATCAGGACCTTGAGGGCCTCTGGTCACCAGTGGTCTCCAAATCCCACCACAGGGACAGGCTGGGAGCTGTTGAGGGGGAAATGCTAACAGCCTGCTGATCACCTTTACCTGAGGGGAAAGAGTCATGACATGGGCTGGGCTGAGGGTTGGGAAAGTGAAATGCCTTCCTTCTGTCTTGCTTGTTAAAAATCCTTATTGCCTTACACTTTCTAGATGCTATAAGACTTTTTGTCCTTAATTCTGAGCACAAAGCTGTGAGCACTAGGATATAAAATATCCTCCACCATGAAGCAAAAGCCACCAGTGGTGGAATCATAAGGGAGAGGAGAGGCTAGAGGCAATTGGAGGCAAAAAGTCTTGTGTATACAATTCTTCTTATCCCTACCTACACTCTGGAAGATAAAAATAGTAATAGATTTTAATGGTGGAAATAGCAATAAAGGTAGAGGTATTAGTATTACTAGTCATATTGGCTTCCACTTGATGAGCTCCAAGCACAGTGGCAGGTACCTTCCTGTGTATCAGTTCAGTTAATTAACATCTGTATATGGAGGCTCAGAAAGCTTAAGAAACCATTTTGGGATCCATCTTTATTTATTAAAATATGGCTTCTGAAGGGATCAAATTGATGAATGATTAATTAAAACACTACAAAGACATTCTCAGTGGTGGTGGGGTGCATTGACCTTCTTAAAGATCAAGAGTCCGATAGGATTCACAGCCCCAGCAGGCTAAATATCAGAGCTTGACCAGGTAGATCCAAGGCCCATTAAAAAACTTCCTGGCATCCTAGGGTACAAAAAGATCATTTGTATGAATTAGGAACCTACAAACAGGTCCAAAAGTTAAAGGGCAACAGTCAGGGTCTCAAAACATTCATGAGAAGGACACTCTACAATCACTGGGTGCCCCCAGAGACTTAACAAACACTGCAAAAAGCTTAGGTCACAATTAGGGCTCCCCTACAGCAAGATTAGGCCTCACAAGGCAGATTTTACTGATAATAGTCCTTTGCTTTGTAAAGCTAGATAGATTCAGGCTTCCCATAGCAATGCTGTGCAAATATGCAATCATGTCTATAAAAGAAATTTCTTAATGAATTGCTAAAATGGATAGCTCAGTCAAAAAGCAAGATTTGGAAGAACTGAAATTTCATGCACTTCTCAATCATAGCCTTTACTTTCTTGAACTGAGATCTACCTATATAGATTCTAAATTCCTAATCAACTAATGTTCTTTCTCTCCCTCCACCTTTTTGGTTCTTTTCAATGCAATAACTTGCATGAAGAATTCTTTAGTTTCCTTAGCAACTGGTTGAAATTTATTTGGTTATCAAAATAAGCTGTTCTGTTTTGGAGAGCCCAGCTGAGCCTGCGCACAGCAATTTGCATGGTTCAAACTAATGGGCAATTTTTATTTCACTGCAGAAAGAAGAAAATGCTATCCCAAGCCCACCAATTCAACCATCAGAAATGCCTGTTTATTCAATGTTTTTTTCCCTTCCCCATTAATGTGTAACACAAGTTCTTGTGGCTTTAGTTCGAAAAGCTGCTGTATTTGGTTTCTGTCCCATCACAACCCTGGAATGGTTACAGCCATTTGGAAAATATAGTATGAACTGCAGTTTCATGTTATTCTCAAGGACATGATGAACATTTACAATTCTTGGATTATCATACATTTAATTCATATAAATAAGAAATATATATTCTTTAACATATTCAAAAATACCTCAAACCTTTGCAGAATCTGTGGCAGGGAGAGAATGTTAATTAGTCTGGACTTCTGGGATTTTAATAACTAATATGGAATGGCATGGGATTTGAGTGGATAAGAAGAAGAGAACAAATATTTGTTGAGTGCCACTTCAACATTAGGCTTTGAATGGATAGATATAGTTATCCTTGTTCTACAGATGAGGAAGGTCAAGGGAGATGCAGTAAGTGCCATAAGTTAACAGAGCCAATATAAAGCAGGGTCAGGATTAACATCCTATACTGTCTGGCTCCAAGGCCCATTTACCCCTTTCTATCACACCACATTGCTTTCTCCATCATTGTGAAGCAGAGACTCTAATCTTAATTCTGGAATCAGCTGTCTTCTTGAATATCCTCAGAAGGGATGAGAAATATGTGCTCACATCAGAGTTAAAGACTTTCTGCATTGAGATATATCTAGGGGAATGCATTTTTAACATCACAATGAAAAACATACACTGAGTAGACATTGGTTTGACCAGGGCAAAATAAAGGAAGAACATTGTGGTCTCACATAAACTATAGGAAGCTTTGTCCTCTGGTTTCCAGTCTGACGTATTTTTTTTGTCACAGTGATTGCTTCTGATGCTGACCACTTTGCAGCACAGTGCTGCATTGAAGGCATTTGCAAACAGGATTTCCATTTGCATCAGTAATGACAGATAATCCCTTTAAGCAAAAATACTCCAATTAAAATAAACCAATAATCTGGTGCAATTTTATTTTATCTCTTATCTGCACCTCCTGTTCCTTACAAAAACAAAACAAAACCTAAACAACCCACAGACTAATTTCATTAGAGTGAGAGATTTCAGATAGATCCGACTCCTGTTTAAAGAACGTCTGATAGAGATCATAGAGGGAAGAAAATACGTTTTGCCAAATGAGATCCTTTACCAGTTCCTTGAGGGTTAAGCATATTTTAAATCTACATTTGTACATGCTGATCTAAAGACAGTCTTCACATTATGGTATTAACCCATGGCATCTGACGCTAGAAGCTGACATGGGCACCACGAGCCAAAAGGCAGGACCATGGACAGGGCCAACATGACATTCTGAAGAGCCATCTGGTTACTTACATGATTCTATTGCTATTTTCATATGTAGAACTTACAAATCAGAATGCACCTTAGAGAGAATCTAGCTCAATATTCTCCTTTTGAAGAGGAGAAAAGGACTCCCAGAAAGTGTGTTCAAGGGATTTGCTTAAGGTGATACCACAGGTCAGTGGCTGCAGCTGGAATTGAACTCAGGGCTTCTGACTTCTAACCCAGAGCTCTTCCCAGGTCCCATTCATGATTCCTCCCTCCATATCCTATTAAGAGGCAAAGAAAGTGTGCACTATTTAGCATTTTAAGACTTAAAATCTTTGCAAATGAGAGGACTGGCTTTGTCCCTCAAAATAGTGGGCAGGGGTTCTGTGTGGAAATGATCTCAGTTCCCACTTCCCTTAAAGATGACCAGAAGCCAAGAGTTGACTTTGGCCCTCAGGATCCTCATTTCAGAGGTCATGAGTAGATACTCTGACCAAGTATATGCCACCCTGTTAAACAAACTGGTGGCTGGAAGGCAAATTATTGCAAGGGCAGAGAGGCTCAGATGCTATGACCCAAAAGTCAACTGAGAGAAAAGAAGATGTAAGCAGTGAAAGTTAGAGGCAGCTATTGCCAATGTGCTGACTGAAGGGTCACAGGGAGAGAAAGCAGGCCATAGCAGGTGCAGGAGAAGGGAACGCCACACTGCCCAGAATGACAACCAGGCTGGGTTATTAGCTCAGACATCTTTCTGGGTGCCAATTTTTGTGAGTCTGTGCCACTCTTGGCTGACAATGTCCATGGCATGTTAGAAATATTTCTAAGACATTGAGAACATGGGCCTATGGATATCCCACTCAGGAATAGCAAACCCAATGCCACCACCATTTCCATCATTGATAGGAAATATCCATGTCTCATTGTACAATAGAATTTCACACCCACATCTCCTTCAGGGCCTTGTAACCTTGGGGTAAGTCAGGTGGGGAAGCTTATGGAGATAGCGAGAGCCCTGGAGTCACAGACCTGGGCTCATATCCCAGACTCTACCATTTACTGGCTGTGTGACTCTGGCCAAATCACTTAATTAGTGCAATCCTTTGCACCAATTCTAGTTTCTATATCTAGAATAATTATAAAATAATTATCTTACAGGATCTCTGTGGGAATTAAATGTGAAATGCTTTTGGCAAAAAGTTTTAAAACAAACATGCTGTACGAACACTAATGATTATTGTTATTATTGCGGATGCGGAAACTGAAGCTCAGGCAAATAAGTGACTTGCTCAAGGTCACACGTTTAGTAAATGACAGACCACTTAAACTGGTGTTTCTATTAAACCACAAGAGTCCAAGAATCTTTCCATTACAACACCCCATCTACCTGCCTCCCCATACCCCACTCCCACAGATGCCCAACTGTCCCATGAGGTTTGCCCAGAAGAGCTCCTCTCACCCCACACAAAGATGGCCACCCCAGCAGTGTGAAGCCCCTAATGCTTCCCTCAAGGCATGGGATGGGATTCTGCTGAGCACCATGAGCCCTTCCTGAGCCTCCCACGAACTCTCAGTGACAAGGAACTGCGATGAAGACACAGGTGGACTGGCAGCTTGACAGCTGGCGTGGAGTGTGGAAGGATGGAGGGAGCGCCAGAGCATGGAGCTGTGAGCCAGGCACATGATGCACGCACGTTATGGAGGGCTCTTCAGCTCAGAGGCAGACACAGAGGACTCACAACACGGACAACGCAGCAACCCTACCTTCTGTGGTTCCTTTGCCTTTCCTGTCAGGGGTCTCTAAGCCAGTGCCCCCTGAGGGGTATAGGGAGACGTCGGTTGGCACAGGCCAACTGCTGGCTGTGTCCTCCGTGATCTCATACATCTGCCCCTCCATCGGCTGCAGGTGCCAGTTTAGGCCAAACAGGTGCATGGCTGTGGTGAGCAATGAGAAAAGTCATCTTTTTCTGCTGGAGGCAGAAACGGGACTCCCAAGCCATAAGGGAAAGGTGGGCAGGGTGGGGGAACACAGGCATTCAGTTCAGTTCAACAAGTAGCCCCAAAAGGAAGCTCTTGTAGTGCCAGCCCTGCAAAGGAGACTGGGGACAGAGAGGATCAAGGTTCAGACCCTGCCCTCAAGGGGCTCACAGTCTGGTGGAACTGGGAGTAGGCAGGATCGGGGAGTCTCAGGAGGTCTTGGTCTTTGCTTCGAAAGATAAATAACAATCTGGGGGAAAAACTGCAATTGGTATGACAATGTTAATTTCCTTAACGCAAAAATAACTTGTACAAATAATAACCAAAGTCCAACAACTCAGTAGGAAAATAGGCATTGGATATGAACAGTTTACTGAATAAGAAATACAAATAGCCCATAATCATATGAAAAGACTCTTGGCATTATTCATAGCAAAAGAAATGTAAGTTAGACTCTGAAATACTATTTTTCACATATGGTTTGGCAAAGATAAAAAAGGTTGAAAATACACTATATTGGCAGAGAATGGAAAGCAAGCATTCCCATATTTTACTGGTGTGAGAATATAATGTACAAAATCTATGGAGGGCAATTTGATAAAAGCTAGCAACATTAAAATACACATACCCTTTATCCTGGGACATAAAGCTTCCAATTCTAGAAATTCCTCCTCCAGATATACTTATACATGTACTAAATGATGTACATACAAGGTTATTCACTTCAGTATAATTTGTTATAGCAAAATATTAGAAACCAGTCCATTGATAAGGGGCAAGAAAATGAAGTAATATCCACACAACAAAATTGGATGCAACCATTAACAAGAATAAAGAGGTTCTTTATGTATTTTTGTGGAAAGATAAGTATAACATGCAGAAGTGTATTTGATATACTACCTTTGGGTTTAAAAATTCCTGGAAATGTATAAAATATTTCTGGTAGAATATGAAAGACTGGTAACAGTAGCTGTGTCCTGTGAAGGATAGAGATACTATGGATCGGGGGATAGGAGGGAAACTTGCTTTTCACTGTACACCTTTTGCACATTTTCATTTTGTGCCATGTGCATATATTTCTGTTCTAAAGATATTTTTCCATACAAAAAATTAGCCGGGCGTAGTGGCGGGCGCCTGTAGTCCCAGCTACTTGGGAGGCTGAGGCAGGAGAATGAAGTGAACCTGGGAGGCGGAGCTTGCAGTGAGCCGAGATCCCGCCACTGCACTCCAGCCTGGGCGACAGAGCGAGACTCCGTCTCAAAAAAAAAAAAAAAAAAAAAAAAAAAAAAAGATATTTTTCCAAGGTAGCAACTGCTAAAAAGTCTTGTACGACAATCTAGAAAGAGACCATAAGGCGCAAAAGAATGAACATTGTCCCTTGAGATATACATGCTTGAGAAGGCTGGGAAGTTCATCTCCAATAATGTTTGTGATCTAGCACAAAATATCTGCTTAAATCCCATTTTAGGATTCCAGGCTTGGGCCTTGTCAGTGGTTCAGGCTCCCCTCTTCTGATGCCCATCTGAATTCCCCACACATGGAAGTAAGCGCTCAAGTCCCTGGACCCTCATGACACCCTGGATGTAACATTCACTCCTTTGCTTGGTGAACACTGTCTGAAAGCCCACTCCATGGCAGATTCTGGAGAGCCAGAATGAAATCAGAGAGTCCTTGCTTCAGTGAGCTCACAGCCAAGTAGGGAAGACAGACAAATAACAAAGTCTCTTCAGCAAGACCAGAAGGCCTAGAGGAGGGGGTGCCTGACCCGCTAGGGGGGCTAGAAGAACACAGGGAAGGATCTTCAGAGAGATGAAGGCCCATAGTAATTGTATTTACTGTGTGACAGGCAGTATGTGGGGGAACTTGTATATATTAATCCTCATGGCAATCTCACCAGACTGAATTTACAGAGGTGCATATTAAGGCTCAGAAGGTTAATTAAAATTAAGATAGCCATAAAACTATTATTTATTGAGTACTTAATGATATGCCAGGCATTAGGCTGAGAGCATTACAAGCAATAATTCCTTTAACTCTCACAATAATCCTATGAGGTATTAATAACCCCATTTTACAGATGGAGAAACTAAGGCACAACAAGACTAATTAACACACGCAAGGTTAAATGGCTAACAGGTTGCAGAGACGAGACTATAATCCCAAACTCTTCCAATCCTGAAAACATGCACTGTCAGTCTTCTCGGCATCAAGGCCCAGGCTTGCCTGCTTGGCTAGGGCACCTCTTGCTTGGTGTATCTATCAGGGTGGGCGTTACAAAGACATCCCCCTTTTGTACATCAAACAGCCTCCAAGGCTTTTAAGTCTCTTTTTAGGCAGTAACACAGGATCCTGTGAGCTAGAGAGGGAACTCTGTTACCTGGCCCCAGTGTATGAAGGTGTCACTGATGGTGGTTTTGAGGGGCTGTGTGACTGCCATCAAGACACACACAAAAAAACTACCGAGGAGACTGGAGCACAGCATACCCGTTTGACTTCTAGTCTGAACACAAGCCATGGGGAACACACACAAGTCTGCTTCAGCCAGGAGGCCACGCTCGGGTGAAAGCAACGAGATCCGACACTTTGCTTTTTTCTTTGGTTACTGTGGTACAGGAGAAGGTGTGTGGGACCAGAGGAAAGAAACTAGTTTTGAATCTCAGCTGCCACTGCCTAGCTGCATTCTTCTCATCTGAGCAATGAGTATAGAAAGCTTCAAAACATTGTTGTACCTAATGAGGTAATACATGGTAAAATGCTTTGCAAACTGTACACATGTGTGATAACTATACGTGATAACCATTCATTGCATTTGTACTGTTGATGATAATGAAATGACAATAGTCACTGACATTTATTGAGCACCTTTTTTGGTACCAGGTACCAGGTGAGGTGCTTTGCACTGCTCTCCTCTACCTCCTATGTAGGTGACAATAATACTTGAACAGTTAACCTGCCTGGAAGCAGTGAATATTCTGCTATTTCCAAGGCTGGATTAGCTCAAAATTCTGTTTACCTTCTTACTTTATATATTAGCAACTCCAAAGGTAACGGAGAAATTGTTTGAGCTACAGACGAATCAGATATATGCAGCTAAGTAAGCAATGCTTCTTTCCCCATTAGAATCAATTATCTCATCTAAGTGTGCAACAGTGCTGTCTTGTTAAAAGGTCATGAGAATTAACTAATCCCAGAATGAATAGAACTCTCACAGCTTTGTGAAGAGAAACATTTTTATTGTCACAGCTTTCTTTTATATTTAACAAGATGCAAATAAGTCCTTGCTTAAAAAAAAAAAAAAAAAAAGATACGTTGTGGGTAGGGGTGGGAATAAGCCAGGGAAAAAAGTGTTGCAGGTGAAAATGATCAACAGGTCTGGGGTCCCAGGGAAGTTAATGAGGGCAGGACAGTCCACAGTTATGAGGGTGGGGGAGACATGGGGGGAGGGGTGTTGGCACCCCTTCCTCTCCACTGTACCCCCCTGGCAATCACAGAGGCCAACACAGCTGTGAGGCTGGCCAATAGTCTCCGTGGCCTGTGGAAGATGCACTCCTGAAAACTATCTGGGAAAGCAAAGCTCTGTATTCAACTCCAACTTAGACTGAATCTCTCAGGAGATTTAACCATTCAAAAATAACTTTAGAAGCTGGTGGGTAGGGAAGGAAACCTAGGGTCACCCAACCAAGGTTGGGCTGAGAAATGGCTACCTGGAAAGTAAGGAGTAGGATGAAGCAGAGATTCAGAGACATGAAGTTCAACCAGTAATGTCATCTTTTTAAAAAAAATTTTAATTTTTGTGGGCACATAGAAGGTGTATATACTTATGGGACACGTGAGATGTTTTGATAACAGGCTTGCAATGCATGATACTCATGTGATGGAAAATGGGGTATCCATCCCCTCCCTCCAGCATTTATCTTTTGTGTTACAAACAATCCAATTATACTTTTAGTTATTTTAAAATGTATTGTTTAATTGTTATTGACTATAGTCCACCCTGTTGTGCTATCAAATAGCACAGTTCTTTATTTATTCTATTTTTTTTTTGTACCCGTTAACCATGCCACCTATCTCCAAACCTCCCACTAGCCTTCCAAACCTCTGGTAACCATCCTTCTACTCTCTATCTCCGTGAATTCAATTGTTTCAATTTTTAGCTCCCACAAATGAGTGAGAATACAGCAAAGTCATCTTAAAGCCAAAATAAAGGGGACATTTAATCTGTGATCCAAGGTTTTAAATATAAGTCATGCTAGTGACCCTGTCATTCTTTTACTGTATTGTTAGGCAGGTGGTTAATTCTATAGTTCTGGGTTATGGGAGAGGGGGAGAGGGAAGGGAGAGAAGTAGTTTGCTCTGCTCTCCTCTTTCCAAAGGACACAGCACATTCTCAGCCAGAGTCTGCCCATGAAATACATATGATCGAGTGGCCTCTCTTCTTTATCCTTTGTAATAATCAAAATCATAACACAAAAATTAGTATCATTTGAATGCACACTACATGCCAAGTGCTTTATTTATATTATTCAGTTTCATACTTATATAAAAGTAGGTTGAAAAAACATTACTGGAGAATGGAAGTAGAATAGAAATAGAGCTATAGTGCTATATTCTGATTTACTCAGAGAAGTAAAGTAAGTTACTGGAGACCACAGAGCTGGTAGAAATTTGAGGCAAGTTTAAAACTCAGGACCCTGTGCTCCCAAGCCAAGCTTCTTCTTTTATATATTTTATTTTAAATAGAAGATAAAGCCAGCAGCAAATAAAATTTGAAATAAATATTTAGGGAGGGGGAGCTGATAGTGATGATAAATATTCCCTGGCCCACAGCAATCTTCATTTAAAGCTGTGTATAGCAGCTGAGTGCGTGTTATCCAAATGATTTGGAAGACAGAGCCACAGATTAAAAAAAAAAAAAAAAGCTAACAAATATAAACGGTTCTCCCCAGCCTGCTAAGGATAGACTGGGCCACTGAAACAATATAAATTATAATCACTGTATTCCATGTTCCCTGAAGAATGAACGGTAACTACTCATCATCTGTGTTACGTCACAGGATTCTCTATATGATACTCTGCAGTGTGTATTTATAACTGTTGTGCAAAACCTTCCTCAAGTACACTCAAAGTGACCTAGATAAGTAACTTGATACTGGTTTTCCCGTTAGACTAGTTTGTAATTCAGTGAAAAGGTGAAAAGATGCTAAGGAGTTCAGAAAAAGGCTGTGGAAAGGTAGCTGGTTCACAAGATCACCCACGCTGAAATGTTAATGATTTCTAAAAGCCAAGAGCCAAGGTGGGGGAAGTTCTGATTCTCTTGGCTCTGGTCAATCTCATCCCAGGGCTGACATTTTCCCCGTCGCCTTTTCCTGTCCAGTGAGACATGAGAGATGGCTCAGAAAGTGCAAGCTCTATCTTGACATTTTAAAGAAAGGCTCCATAGATGTTCAGACATTGAAGGCTCCCCTCAGCACCCGGCCAGCAGGAGGCAATTAACAAAGTCATTATGCAGGAGTCACCAATATCAGTACAGGTGAGTTTCTGCTGTCACGATGCACACTTCCCTTCCAAAACTGGAATGCACAAACCCACTTGCATCTGTGCATCAGCAGCTCCAGGGAGTGACTAGACACGGTTATAACCACAAGGAACTGTTGATTCAAGTGGCATTTTTGGTTTCAAAAGGCAGTGGGAACCAACCCAACCACGCAGCTACCCACTTTTCTGTTTTATATTAGTGCTCAGTTTTTTTTTTTAAATGACTATTTCTATGAAATCAGTCACTGAGGTTCTTTGACTTATGGTCCTCTAATGGGGTGAAAAACTAAAAAGATAAAATAATAACAGAAATGACAGGCTTTCATTCCCTAGGTTATCTTCCTGGTTTTGCTACAAAGCCACCACATTTAAAAGTTCCAAACCAAGAAACTATATACACAAGATGTACACGGCAGGATAACAGAAAAAAAATTGGAAGCAAACTCGATGTCTAAAAATAGGAGAACGACTTAGCTAACTTATGGTACAGGTACAGGATGGAATATAAGGCAATCATTACAAAAAATAACTAAGATAAACAGCGATGCAGGAAAATGCTTAAAACACAATGTCAGGAAAAGAAAAGGCAGGGCACCAAATTGCATGTGTTTCCTGACTGCATCTCTGCAAAACCATGTATGCATATGAAAAACAATTTGTAAAGAAATACATAAAAATGACCTCAGGATTTGAATTACAGCAGACGATTATTTCCTAGTTTCCAAACTCATTTTAGTGCATCAGCATTAAAAAGGAAGCCTCCAACTTAGTGTCACAAGCAATAGGTAGAAGAGAAAGATGATACAGCATGGGGGAGGGGTCCTGACTTTGAGCTTTTGCCTTGTGTCCGACCCCAGACATGAGGAATTACATATGCTCTCTCACTCAATCTTTACATGAATCTTGAGAAACTCGTTTGACAAATGAAGAAACTGGAGGCTCAGAAAGGCTCCTCAGCTGGCCCAAAGACACACAGATAGGAAGTACTAAGGCCAAATTTGAACCCCGATCTAAAAACAGATCTGAATGGTTCCAAAGCCCAGGTTCCCCTCCTGGCACATCACACTGGTGATGAGTTACAATGCCTGAAAACTACATTACAATTTAAAAAAAAATTTTAAGACAAAGATTTCGCTGACAGCATAGCTAGATTTGCTCTTTTGAGATAGTTTGTTAAGAGGCTTTTTTCTCAGGGACAAAGCATGGGCCCCCATCCTTTCATATCCTGACTGCCTGACCAGCAACTGATCCCCACAAACAAAAACCATGTAGATGCCAGTAAGCAACTTGCCACAGGCACAGTCAGTCTGTGTTTGGGTCTTTCTATAAAAGCACTCAGAGCTTGTTGAGTTACTGGTTTTGTGACTTTGGGCAAAGTACTTAGCCTGTCTGAATCTCAGTTTCTTCACCTGTAAAATGAAGCTGATAATATCCACCTCAAAGGATTGAATGAGATAATGTAATTTGCTTAGAACTATGCCTGGTACATACCAGGAGCTCAGTAAATGGCAGTTGTATCATCACTGTCATTTTGCTATGCTGATTTCCCTAATTCCTATATCTACTGAAAACTTTAAGCCAGCTCTGTGATACTGCCTTTTTCTTCTTTCTATATGTTCCCTATTAGTTCCCTTCCATGCCAGTTGCCAATTTCTTTAAATTGAGGGCCCTCACCTGCTCCCATTAGCTGACAGACTTTGGTAATGGGAACTAGAGATATTTGCCCAATAGATGAAACATCTTTTAAAAGCATGATTGCTATAAAACTGCCTGTCAGGATCCCACTGATGACTACGTGGGGGTAATTTTTAATCAAGTAAATATACTGCTTTTCCTCCTGTCTCTGGAAAAACTTGGCTGCAATAATCAGGGCTACTGTCTCTCACTCCCAAATTAAGTGTTTTCTGGAGAATGGATTCTGGCACAGTTAATCATTTCTCTGTGCCATGCAAAGTTATAGGGAAGGAGGCCTTTCAGCAAGGATTCATGGGTGCTGCTCAATGTTTCTTTAAATCATGGCGGAGTTGGTCCCGAGCCAGAGGATCAGGTGCAGTCAGCCACAGAGGCAGGGAACAGGTGAGCCCACCACCAATACAGAGGAGGAATGTCACCTTAACTGGAGGGCACTGAAAACTGGTGACAAGGCAAGTTGTAGGGGAACTGGAACTGAAACCTAATTTGTACAGAATAAACTGCTATTATTGCAGTAATAGAATAAGAAAGCTGTGTTTTCTGGGCACCTTTCCCCGGGTGGGCTCTACTAAGACCTCTTCCGTATATAACTAATTTAGGAGTTGGCCACCCCCCACCAACCTTTGGACTCACCTCAGCCCAGTTATCTGACCTCTCCCTGCCAGACCTCCCACATTGTGCTGGTTCCCAAGTCAAGAAAATGGCTGTGAAGAGCAGTGGCTGTGAGCACAGCCTCTGGAGCCAGAGAGACCTGTGTTCCTTCTCTGGTTCTGATGTGACCAGTTACATGACAACTTTACTCTTTTGAGCCTCTGTTTCCCCATCTATAAGACGGTGATAATAATACCTAGCTTTGAGAGTTGTGGAGATTAAAAGAAGTGACGTGTTTTATGAGCTCCTCATGGAGCTTGGTATTTACTGACATGAACTACCAGATGGGAGCTCTCTTTGTTGGCATCATCTTCATTGTGTATCAAGGTTTTCACTGAAAAATGAAGTGAGGACATATCAGGACCTGGGGAGTGAGAAGCCTGAGTTTTGTATTAGGGGACATTGCTATGACTGACATCTCAGCTCCCAGGTACCTACCAACCCACTCACCGCACAGATGAAGAAACTCAGGCTTGATTAGCGCCTTTGTGTCAGGGCCTGGGACTGAGCTAAGCCCAGTTCTTCAGACTTCTAGTTCAAAGCTCTTCCCACGAAGTGACCCTGTTATTACATTAATCACAATAGAAAATCATGTCCAGAGCAGGACAGCCATCCTCATTGCTTGTTCTTCCATCAGGCGCTGCTTCCCAGGTGAAGGGAACCATCTCCTTGGGTCTAAGGTAAGGGGAATGAACCCACAGCACGGGCCATGTCAGGCCATCAAGCAGCCCTCCCTTTAGGGCAGGGATTATTCCAGTCATCTCTGCCCCCCCAGAACCTGGTCCAAAGGGGTGAAGAAGAAAGCAAGGAAAGGAAGGAGACAGAGTGAGGATTATTATTAAAGAAACAACAGCTCCTACTTATTAAAATTTTACCTTGTGCATGATATAATACTGGAGGATTCACATTTATTATGTCATTCAAACTCACAACTCTTTAAGTTAGATAGTATTAGTAACTCCATTTTATAGATTAGGTGCCTCAAAACAGAGATAAGTAGTACATATTACTACTTTAATTTTCTATCTCTAGAAAACCGAGGATCCAGAATTGTCTACAATTGTACCGTTCAACATAGCAGTGCCAAGATCCAAAAGCAGATTCCAGTGATGCCAGATATGAAGTTCTTGTCACACTGTCATCAAGGAAGCACAGGACAGGCTTCCATTTCATCCTGATCAGGACAAAAATGCAGCTTTTGTCAAATCACTATCAACAGGGCAAGCATTCTAGGAAGCGGCTCCACACAGAAGGGGTGCTTAAACCTAGTACAATGCCTACCATCTGCCCTTCATAGTCAGGCCTCACTAGTGATGCAGTGATCACTGAACCCAAAGGATCTCCTGCCTGTTCAAACTGCTCTGCTGGTGTGAGGAGTCAGCATTGCCCTTTGGGTGGTACAACACGCCACTGCCAGGTCTGGGATGGTGCCTGTTATTTCCCAAGTGTGCCATCATCACATTCCTTTCTTTGTGGCCCTTGAGTCCATGATGACACCATTCCCAGTGCTATCTGAAGTGTCTATATAAAGGTGTTCCAACTTGCAAAGGACCAGCCTCTCACCTGAGATGCATCATCCCCTCCCTCACCTGTGTTAACGATCAAATGAGGCAGGAAAGAGAAATGTGTGTTTAGTTGGTGCTTGGGAGCTCACACAAGGAGAAGGTGCTTGTTGCTATGCTCCATTTCCATAGCTACAAGAAAATGTACTGCTACTTGGCTGTATAGAGCAACCCTCCAGTCTTCTGATTTTCTTTGGTGTGCCAGCCATGCAACTGATTTTTTTCATGATCAAAGTCAATTAGGAGGTGGTCCCCACTGTACCTCAAATGGAGTTTTAATTTGTGTATGTATTATTAGGAGAGGCCTTTTCCCTTTGGATCATTCACTTCAGCAAGAGGAATGAGGGCAGACAGCTTAACGTGGAGCCTGCCACCCAGATTTGTAACTTGGGATAATATTTCTTTATAATGAGAAACATTTCAAAATAGCACTTTAAAATCACACAGAACAGAGTGTTTGATGTCCCTCCTTTACACCCTACAGCTTCCCAGTCTCCAGTCCCATGGGTATTTTCCAGCCCTTGGGGACCATATCATATTTTCCTGCCCCCCTGCCTTTATCTGTGCACGGAGCAAGGCACTCATATGTGAGTTACCTCTGCTTCTTGTTTGATTACACACAGACCCTTGGTTTGGTTTAGTCTTTAACTAAAACTAGGAAGTTTAAGGCAGTAAGGAATTCCAGGGACCATGATGATGATAATGTTAACAGCCATAGTCATTACTTGGAAGCTATACTGTACCAAGCACTGTGCTGAGTGTTTTAGAAACAGTATCATTTAATCCTCACAAAGCCCAATGGGGTAAGTATTGTTATTACTCTCATTTGTAAGATGAGGAAACTGAGGCTTAAAGAGGTCTATCAACTTGTCCCACGTTACCTTCTAATTAGAGGTAGAGACCAAATTCAGATCTGAGTTAAGTCCAGATGGAACCTGCCCCTAACCACTATACCACACTGCTTTTCTGATTAGGTATCAAGCTGTGAAAATGTCAAAAATGGAAAACAAAAAACAAAGAAACCAACATTGCCAATCTCATTGTTATATGGACCTGCCTTTTTACTCAAATTTCGTTGGCAATATTTTTCTGAAAATAGACACTTGACATGGTATCTCTTCAGAACAGAAAGGATGTTAAAAGAGCATTTTAAATGTGTGTTGAACACAATATTCAATGGTCTACGCTACTTCTGCCTGCTCAGGAGTCTCACTTTGTGTGGATTTCTCTGTCTCTTGAGCCTGCCTGGCCATCTAGCCTCCATGCCTTTGCTGATACGATGCCCTCTGCTTGAACGGTCACCACCTTCTCTATTAAGAAAAAATTCCCCCATCCTTCAAGACATACTTCAAATATTGCCTCTTCTGTGAGGATTTCCACCATCACTCCCAGCCAAAAGTAGCCACTGCCCTCAGCCCTGGGCCCTTATCATTATTTCTGCCCCTCTCCCATAAACACTGCCCTCATGGTATGCATACCTGTGCTTCCTGTCCCTTGCTGATTTCTCTACCAGGCTTAGTACCCAGTGGAACAGATCTGTAGAGAGACAGTAAGGCTCCCAGCTCTGGCCCTTACCAGCTGTGCATCAACAGGGAAGTCACTTAACCAACCTGACTCTTAGTTTTTTCATCTGTGGAAATGGAAATAATAGAAAACCATCTCCCAGGCTCTTGTAAGAATTAAATTTAATGAGGATTCTTTAGAATTTAGAATTTAGAGATTATAAAGTATATTGAAAATATAAGGCATTATTATAATATTGCTTAATAGTTAATGAATGAAAGAACACCCAAATGTCCTAATGTAATACAGTCTGTGTTTAATACACAGACTGTTACAAAGATTTATATGTGAAACCACCCACACAGTTTCAGACCTCAACAATTAGGTGTATGCATAGTGCTATTTAATAGACTTACTGCACTACAGAAAAGTCAGAAGACATAAACAAGGTAGAAAAGAAGAATTTTCAGCTTCTAGGTAAAGAAAAGTGCTAATTATCCTAAAATTTTCATTTAAAGCTTTGTTACCCTCCTACTCCATCTCCTCTCAAATACCCTTTTTGCAAAGAGAGTTGGAATCAAGTGTGTGCTTATATACACAGTGCCACACACAGGCTGAGACACACACAGGGGTCTGAGGAATATACTCCATTCTACAGATGATCTGAGTGGTAAAATTTGAGACAATGTGATGAAATGGAGGCCACACTACAATTAATGATACTGGCATTTTTTCTTTCCCACTGGAGGCTGTGAACAAAATCTAACTCTAGGCTCAAGGGCATGATCAATCTAGCTGCCTGCCACATGCCAGCAGGAAGGGCTTTCTCCAAAGTGACATGTTACGCCAGTGACAATCTACTCATGCTGGAGGAAGCCTGGAGAACAGCAGAATCAGATACTACAAGGTGCTGTTGCTCAATAAGCAATAGGTTTTGAGGTCTCCTGACATTCATAACCTGGCCTCCTGTTGGCTCCAGTCCTGAAGCACTTTGGGTGCAAACCGCCGCCCCAGTCAGTGCACATGTGCATGGCAGTGCTGGCACAGTACACGGGGCAGGACAGACGGATGGATGTTCATTTTTCCTTCATAAGAAGATAAGTTAGTTTCTTTCATTTTTTTTTCTTTTGAGACAGAGTCTCACTCTGTTGCCCAGGCTCACTGCAATCTCTGCCTCCTAGGCTCCAGTGATTCTCTTGCTTCAGCCTCTCGAGTAGTTGAGATTACATGCGTGCACCACCATGCCCAGCTGATTTTTGTATTTTTAGTAGAGACAGGGTTCCAACATGTTGGCCAGGCTATTCTCAAACTCCTGGCCTTGAGTGATCTGCCCGCCTTGGCCTCCCAAAACGCTAGGATTACAGGTGTAAGCCACTGTGCCCAGCCTAGTTTCTTTCATTAGCAAGGAGCTACTTGCATCCTCTCAGTAGTTCAGAAGGGTGAAAACCTTCCCTAAATGCCCCCCAGCATATGGGAAGGGTAGAGGCCAATGAGGAGAGGATGGGCTCTGGGTGTGAGTCCTGTCTCTTTCTCTCACTAGAGATCTGGCTTTGGACATATCATTTAACCTTCGTGGCCTCAGTTTCTCATCTATGGAAATGGAAATAAAAACAGCATGGTGCCCCTGTTTGCACTTAACAAATACTTACTGGATAAGTAAGACTGTTGAAGAATATTAAATGAGGAAATACATGTAACACTCAGAATAGCACCTGCCTGGCACAAGGCAAACTCTAGATTTGTGTGTGCTGCCATATTTGTGTGTGCTGTTACATCAGCTTAGGCTTTGCTGGGAGTGGCTGGGAGCAGGGGCAAAGGCAAGCTGCAGACAGAAGGGCAATGTGGCCCTTGTTTGTTCTGAGCCTCAGGTATGGGGACAGGGACATGAGAGGAGGGCTTTTAGAGGCAGCACGGTCTGCATAGGGTTTATAGTTGGAAAACTGGATTTCTAGGTCCAGCGCTACTACTTACCAGCCATTCCAGCCGAACAAGTTATTTGACTGCAGCAGGCCTCAGTTTCCACATCTGGGGCTTGCAGGGCAAGGAAATGCAGTTAATAATTATAGAGAGTGCATTGACTGCTGGAGAGAAAAATTAAAAGGCCTTACATAAAGGCATGGTATTTATTCTGTATTTGCCTAGTGGAGCCTCTCTTCTAAGGGGAAAGGCAGCCAGTGTCTACCAGCACTTGTGATTTCTGTAGTTTTATACTGAAAGTCTTCAGTAAAACAGAATGAAAGTACAGATTGAGGCCCATAGATAGGTAAAATGCACAAATGGACACTTTAATGTGGACTCTTCTGATACAGATGCAGAAATATCCAACATTCCTGTCTACTATCCTCTACCTTTGCTTAGGCTGTTCGGTCTTCCAGAAAGCCATTCCGATCTTCTCTTTCAATATCTTACTTGATTTACAAGCTCAATGCCTTGTAATTTTTTCCTGATCCTCCCAGTTAGAATGAATTGCTGTCTCCTTTGGAATCCCACAGGGATAGGTTCAAACTCCAGTAATATACCTTTATCATCTGCATAGAATTGCCATCAGCTCCTTACACATCTGGCTGTCCAAGAAAGTATGGATGGCTCAGAGGCAGTGACGCTAGCTTATCTGGCTTTGTCTGCTCCTCACAGCCTGGGACACAGTCCAAAAGACAGGCTCAGTGAATGCTCCCCACCAGTTTAAACCTGAATTTGGGGAAGCTCCTTCTGCTTAATCACCTGAAATCCCTGCATCCAGGGATGGCTCTTGGCTGCTAAACCTGAAAGGGTTTAAAATCTCCTGGTGATTCAGCTGCTGGAAAGCTGCGTTTACTCCACACCTACTATGGGTCATCCACTGGACTGGGCCCTTTGCAGATGTTCTCTTGCTTAATGCTCAAAACACCACTTAGATACTAATTGACATTTTACCAATGAGGAAACCAACATACAGAGAGGTTTGAAAACGTGTCTGAGCTGGGTTTGGAATGCAGGTCTTACTCGGCCCAGTCTGTGCTTTTGCTCTGAGATCATATTGCTGTCTTTAGAAGGATGAAGCTGTTTAGTTCTGGTTTTGTTGTTTTACTGATAGGAAGAAGCACTGAGTGGAAGGAGAAATACTGTGGTTTTTTCAGCCCTCTCTCTTCCTCTCACTGCTCCCTTCTTCCTTCCACCCTGCTCTTCCTCCCTGCCATGAAAAGAGGCTGAGCTCTGCTCCCGCCTTGTCCCCTAAGCCTAGCAGACTTAAGTTTGGCCCCTTCCTAACTTCTCCTCCAGTTAGGTATTTACTCAGTGCAAGAATAGCCATCAGGGGGGCTGTTTTCTCTTTCTCTCTGCACTTAAGTGCAATTAAATTATGTTATTTCACAGTAATTAGTCTGGAATACAAACGAGACGGGGAAAATTCCTTTCCAAGAAGGCTAAAAATCTATAAAATCAACTCCTTTTCCATACTCCCTGGGCAATGTTGTAAAAGGAGCACCCAGAGATGCAGTTGGGGGTCCTTCCTGACCAACCATGGCTGTGCTGCCTCCCCTGGGGGCTTTAAATTGCCCCCAGGGCCTCCAACCCCTAGGAGAGTGTGTTGTTTCTGCAGCTGCTGCTGTTATTATTAAAAATGAATATATGAGTAAATGTGGGTCCCTTCTTTTTGACACATTTCCAAACTCAGAAACTGCTTGGCCCTCAAATTCAACACATCTTGTTTGCCAGGGGGAAGGGGCAGGCAGATTTCATTTATGAGTGGCTCTTACTATTAAGAACTAGGTGCCTGAGAATCATTTCATCTCCACAGCAGCCTCTTATCTACATTCATGGGTCAGGAAACTGAGGTCTGGGAAGAGTACACTTCTTGCTTGAGTCATAAGTAGTTAGGAGCAGATGAGCAGTTAGGGCAAAGCCAGCCTGTGCCCCGTGCCGGCTATGTTTCAGCAGCCGCCTCTGGCTTTGTCTCCTCTGGTTTTCCCTCCACATAGTTTCGAGCAGCCATTTTTCACTCACTGATATACACTTTCCACCTTTGATCTCTGTGAGAACTTGGAACCTCTATTCTTTCCTTTTTCTTTCTCCCCTCTCCATGCCTTGCAACATCTGTTGGGTTCTGATCTTGTCATCCTGCCCTCCTTTCTTTCCTTGAACAAACTTTTGCTGGACACATGCAACATCACGCCAGACCCGGCACAAGAAGCTGTGGCTATGATACTAAGTATGACGGAAATTTTTTCGGCCCTCATGGAGCTCATAATCTAATGCTGGGGACAGATATTAAACGATCCACGTCACAGTCATTTAGCAGCAATTGTGAGGAGCACCACAAGCACCATAAAGGCATAGAACTGGGTTCCTGGCTCAGCAGGAGAGGCTCACAGATGCTTCCCTGAAGTAGCGACACTTGAGCTAAGCTCTTGAGAAAGAACTGATTGGTAGAAGTGGGGTAGGAGGTGATGGGCAGCTCTCTTCAGGAATCCTTCAGCCTTTTTTGGTCTCAGAGCCACTTGTGACCCTGCGCCCACCTCCCACCAATTAAACTGGCAGACCCAAGATCAGAGAGAAAGTTTTCTTCTGGCAGGACTGTGGGGAAATTGGATACCTGGATGGGAGCCCTGAAGTTCAGTCCTACCCTTCTGAAGAGGATCTAGCAGTGAGTAACAGAGCTGTTCACGCCTTGTGACCCAGGAATCCTGCTCTGGGGAATACACCCTTTCTAAAATAATCCAGATATGAAATAAGAAAACAGAGCAGAGGCACAAAGATGTTTACAGAAGTGCTACTTATAATGCCAAAGAACTGGAAACAGCTGGAATACAATGATACAGTAATAGCACAAATATAATGGCTTTTACACTTGGCAAGAATGAGAATTGTGTCAGTACTTGAAAATGTTTGCATGAAAAAATGTCCTGTGCACCATCCCATCTGGGATGTGAGGAGCGTCTCTGCCTGGCTGCCCCATCTAGGAAGTGAGGAGTGCCTCTGCCCGGCTGCCCCAAATGGGAAGTGAGGTGTGCCTCTGCCTGGCCACCCCATCTGGGAAGTGAGGAGCACCTCTGCCCGGCCACCCCGTCTGGGATGTGAGGAGCGCCTCTGCCCAGCCGCCACCCCGTCTAGGAAGTGAGAAGCGCCTCTGCCCGGTCGCCCCGTCTGGGAGGTGAGGAGCGCCTCTGCCTGGCAGCCGCCCTGTCTGGGATGTGAGGAGCGCCTTTGCCCAGCCGCCACCCGATCTGGGATGTGAGGAGCGCCTCTGCCCGGCCGCCCCGTCTGAGAGGTGAGGAGCGCCTCTGCCTGGCAGCCGCCCTGTCTGGGAGGTGGGGAGTGCCTCTGCCCGGCCGCCCCGTCTGGGAGGTGGGGAGTGCCTCTGCCCGGCCGCCACACCGTCTGGGAGGTGAGGAGCGCCTCTACCTGGCAGCCCCGTCTGGGAACTGAGGAGCGCCTCTGCACGGCCGCCACCCTGTCTGCGAAGTGGGGAGCACCTCCACACGGCCGCCCTGTCTGGGATGTGGGGAGTGCCTCTGCCCGGCCGCCCCGTCTGGGAGGTGGGGAGTGCCTCTGCCCGGCCGCCACACCGTCTGGGAGGTGAGGAGCGCCTCTACCTGGCAGCCCCATCTGGGAACTGAGGAGCGCCTCTGCACGGCCGCCACCCTGTCTGCGAAGTGGGGAGCGCCTCCACCCGGCCGCCCTGTCTGGGATGTGAGGAGCGCCTCTGCCCGGACACCACCCCATCTGGGAGGTGAGGAGCACCTCTGCCTGGCTGCCCCGTCTGGGAACTGAGGAGCACCTCTGCCTGGCTGCCCCGTCTGGGAAGTGAGGAGCACCTCTGCCCAGCTGCCCCATCTGGGAGGTGTACCCAACAGCTCCAAAGAGACAGCGACCATCGAGAATGGGCCATGATGACGATGGCGGTTTTGTCGAAAAGCAAAGGGGGAAATGCAGGGAAAAGAAAGAGAGATCAGATTGTTACTGTGTCTGTGTAGAAAGAAGTTGGCATAGGAGACTCCATTTTGTTCTGTACTAAGAAAAATTCTTCTACCTTGGGATGCTGTTAATCTATAACCTTACCCCCAACCCCGTGCTCTCTGAAACATGTGCTGTGTCAACTCAGGGTTAAATGGATTAAGGGCGGTGCAAGATTTGCTTTGTTAAACAGATGCTTGAAGGCAGCATGCTCCTTAAGAGTCATCACCACTTCCTAATCTCAAGTACCCAGGGACACAAACACTGCGGAAGGCCGCAGGGACCTCTGCCTAGGAAAATCAGAGACCTTTGTTCACATGTTTATCTGCTGACCTTCTCTCCACTATTATCCTATGACCCTGCCACATCCCCCTCTCTGAGAAACACCCAAGAATGATCAATAAATACTAAAAAAAAAAAAAAAAAAAAAAAAAAAAAAAAGAAAGAAAAAATGGCCTGTGAAAAAGGCAGAAGGACATAAAGCTGTTTATCCACACTGACTATGCTGAGGCTGTGGCTGCTGTTGTTATTAAAAATGAATATATGAGTAAATGTGGGTCCTTTCTTTTTGACACATTCCCAAACTCAGAAACTATGAGCCATGATATGGAGGTCAAGGATAACACACAGAAAACCGCAGAATGTTTCTGTTGTTTGCCCCAGTATCTTGAATTCTGGATGATACCTTAAAAAATTTCTCAACAACACTGAAATATCTGAGTTTGGAGATTATTTTAGGTAATATCTGATTTTAAAGCCAGTAAATAAATCACTTCTTTACTATATTTCTCAAAAACAGTGCCTGAAACTACAGAGACAGAGAATAGATAGATGAGTGATTGCCAGAGGCTGAGAATGAGAGGGGGGTTGACTTCAAAGGGGCATGAGGGAACTTTTGGGGGTGATGGAATGGTTATGTGTTTTGACTGTGGTGGTGGTCACGTAACTCTACCAGTTTGTCAAAATTCATACAGTAGTACACTTAAAATGTGTTAATTTTCTGTATGTACATTATATCTCAATAAATCTGATATGAAGGAAGTGGCCTGGGCCTGGTGGCTGAGTGGGTGCAAAGGTAAGGGACAATGTCTGAGCAGTGGCTGGGGTTTCAATCCTAGTTAGGTCCCTAAGAGCACAGTCAGAGCCCTGTGCATGGCTAGGGAAAGGAATTATGACACAGGGGAAGACAGATGTCATCCCGCTGCCTTCCACACTCACTCTCTATCCTTTTTCACCCTGCTCTGTGCCCTGGGAGGCTGGTCCACATGGCCTGGATCAATGGTTCCCTTGAGCTGTGACTTCTGGTTGGGTTCCACCACCAGGAGGAGGTTGTCAGGGTGGGAAGAGAGTGAGGTGGAGATTTCCGTTCTCCGGCTCCCTCACCGCCATGCCTCTATTGAAGACCATACATCCATGTCAAGCAGCACTCTCAGCTGGCTAACTTCTCCAGGTTCTAGTAACCCCTCCTTCCCCCTTGCCCCTTCATGCCCCTTCATGGTATCCTAGAACCATTAGCCAGGGGGTAGTACCATTCCTTGACACACTGCCCTCACTTTTGTACCCAGCTTCTTAAACTCTCCTCAAATTAAAAGCAAATGAATGATCAAATGACAAACCCCATAACCCGCTGCCTGAATACTTCCATTGCCAGGAAGGGCACTGTCAAACTCTTCTATCATGGGGAGGCTCTGCAAACTGGAAAACGTTCATTTTCTTCCCTCTTCAGCCCTGCAGAGCGAGTTGGTCCCTTCTCCCTTCGTCAGCATTTCAGACAACTGCAGAGAGCCATGCTGGTCTCCTAAGTCTTCCTTTTAGGGATCTGGAAGATATCTGTCTGTGGCCTGTTATAATGAGAACAACCTATATATATCTTGCTATTAGCAATTCCCACAGAGCAGCATGAAGGAATCGATCTTGGAGAGAGAAGGCGTTAATGCAGGATCCTGTATCTTTATCACTTTTTCCTCCTTCTAAAAGACCAAGTTCAATCATCTCCATTTCCCATTCTTTGGGCTATAAAGTTAAATCTATGGCTCCTGTCCAAAAGGCCTGATGTGAAGTCAAAGAGAAAGGAGGGAAAATGAGCCTTACTGCACACAAATAACACCTAGGCCCAAGTGTAATAGGCTCATGCTAATGAGGCAACAGCATCTGAGATCCTGATATTGTATGAGCTGAGCCAGATGGAAATGAATGGGTGTTGGGGGGTGGATAAATTCACCCTGGCCTCTATCTGTAATTCTTTCTCTACACATCTCATGTCCATTTCACCTGTATCTTAGCCCCAGAACATAAAATACACAGTTCGGCCACCATGCTTTTGCCCATGCTGCTCTTCTGCCTAGAGTACCCTTGGCAGACTTAACCATTTTGCAAGGCCTCTTATTCAACCAAGTCTTAATTTAGCACAGGTACCTTGTGCCAGGCTTTGTGCTAGGGATTGAGTATGTGAAAGCAGAGAGTAAGACAAGAGGAGATGGGGGAGTGAAACTCCATTAAAAAGAAGGGAAGTCTAATATGTCTTCTAACTGAATTGCTACCATACTGAAGTCCAGTTTGTATGATGAAATGTCAGAGATATTGACAGTCTATACCACTCTACGCAACTTGCACTTAATGCTCAAGTTCACCTCTATCACCATTTCCTAGATAGCCTCAAGAACTGCATGACCCAGGGTCTTCCAGACCAAGAACTGCAATATTATTCCAACAAGCAAAGCTCTCTAATAGCTGCCTTTTGAAGAGCAGCAATTAAGCATTAAGCTTAGCAACATTCTCAGTTATAAATTAAACTATCACCACTTCAAGCAAGGGTTCTGATTTTTTTTTTGTACTCCACAATCAGTCCTTCTTGTGCAGTTGAAAAATGCAGATGCAACCTAATTTAAGAAAGGATCCCTCATTGCTATTACACAAATTGGAATGTTCCACTGTGGTTACCCAGAAGATGCAGAAGCCCACATCTGAGACTCCACCCTTTATATCCTGGTGCAATTTCCTAGAGATATAGAAATACAGACTAGGAAGGACCTTACAGGACAATCCACTCCTGCCACACTGTGGGTGAGGTCCAAGGACGGGTAACAACCATCTCCCAAGGCGACCAGTAAGGGACATCTCCTTTATCACATGCTCTGTGTTTTTCAACATCATCTCATTTAACCTGCACAACAGCCTTATGAAAGTAATACTATTATTCCTCCCACTTTGCGTTTTTCAACATCATCTCATTTAACCTGCACAACAGCCTTATGAAAGTAATACTATTATTCCTCCCACTTTGCAGATGAGGAAACCAAGGATCAAATGGCTAAACAGCTGGAGAGTGGCAGTGCTGAGATTTCTGCGGAGGTGGTCAGGCTCCAAATCCCATCTTCCTTCCTGATGAGAACCCCACGCTGCATTAGAGAAATCACAGAAAATGGCGCCACTGCCCTGCAGGGCAGACCTGGACCTGATGATACAGCAATCAGCAACCAGTGTCCTCTCAGGTCTTCATTTAAATGTAAAGCCGCTCCTCATTTTAGATTTATTAACAAGCCTTTTTCGTCTCCTATTCCAAAGGCCTACCTGGCAAGACAGGTGCTTGAAGAAACCTCAAGTTACTAATCTGAGGCTCTTCTGCAGCACGCAGTGTCTGCGTTTTACATACACATTCAGAACACAAGGGAAGCTGTCAGTTTTATCTGCACAGAAGCAACAGTTAGTGAATCACAAATCAAGTTTTGTCCTAGTTAGAGAAATGATGTGAGCTGCTTTGCAGCTGACGATTCTTCTTGTGGCTGCATTGCTGGAACAGTGAGACATCCCTACAAATGTTTTCTGACAGGTCCCCCTGGTTGTTCTGTCAGCTGCCCTTGTGACTAACACGGGCCAGGAAGCCTGTTGGTGCTGCAGTGAGACAAGCCAGGTCCAAGTTCTCACTCAGGAGTAACTAATACTCTGTTACATGAGATGCTAATAATTCTAATAATACTTTTAACAACAGTAGTGTCTAACTTTTACTGAGTGCTCTGTGTCAGGGAGTGAGCTAGGTACTTCTTGTAAATTATCTTACAGAAATTTCACCCCAACCCTGTGAAGTAACCACTATTATAATCCTCACTTTACAGATAGGGCAACTGAGGCAGAGAGAGGTTGTGTAAACTCGCCAAATGTCACAAAGCTTGGAAGCAGCAGTGCTGAGATTTAAAAGCAGGCAGCCTAATTTCAGAACCTATGCTCTCAACCATCATGCGGCTCCTGGTTCCCTCTCCTATAAAATGGGACAGTCTTTCCAGCCACTTCCATAAGGAAAGTGAAAACCAAGGTTCAGAGAGGTTAAGCAAACTGCCCAAGTTTACACCGTCAGCAAGTGATACAGCCAGGGTCTGAGGTGAGATCTTTTGATTCTACATTGTCTGTTCCAGCCCAGGGCTATTATATAGCATAGTTGGCTGAAAGCATGGCCTTTGAAATCCCAAGTCTTGGTTGCATCCCAGCTATGTCATATACTGGCTATGTGACCCAGGCAAGTTGCAAACTTCTCTGAGCTTTAGTTTCCTTTTCTAGAAAATACAGAAAATCATACTCATCCCACAGAATTGTGGTGAGGGTCCAGAGAAATGATACACGTAATGGGCCTGGCCCAGTACTAGGCACATAGCAAAAATTCAAAAAGCCAAATATTAAGATGGGAGAATTACAGCATACAGGTTAAAAGTGTGAGCTCAAAAGAGAAAATAATTCGAAAGCATCAGCTCAAGAGCTTGAGTGCCTGTGGTTGGGAGGATCATAGCCCTAACATTTACCATGCAACAGTGGGCAAGCTACTTAAGCTCATGGGGGCTCAGTGTCCTCATCTGTCAATTGCGAATAATAACTCATGATTGTTAGGAGATTTCAGTGAGGAAACACAAGCAACGTGCTCAGAACAGAAGGGCACGTGGACAGCATACAATCAAAACTAACTGCTCTTTATGAATGATAAACAGCAGCCAAATGTGATTTTTACTACTCTATATCACACCTTTTTTGCTAAACATGTTTTAAAAACAATTAAATGCTATACAATAAAGCATTTAATTGCTTAACAACTGGCAGTACAAGCTTCAGGGTCTGACCTAAAACTAGCATTGCCCCTTTCGACATCATCTCATGTAACCTGCACAACAGCCCCCATTGTGTTCTGCCAACAGATTTCTCCAGAAAAGAAAAGACCGGGTATTCAAATGGAGACTAACAAGGACCTGAGAACTGTACTAGGAAGAACTGGTGAATAAAGCACTGTAAACTCATCCTCAGTGGCTGTCCTTCTGAATTGGTGCCTTTGGAGACAAAAATACATATTTTCTCTCTGAAGAGATCCCACAGCTGTGTGAGGGTCCTCCCTGGATTCCCAGCTCAGGCCAGAGCAGCCAAGTAGCACTCCCAGGAGAGGAGGAGATGGCCCATGGGCAAGCCTCTGGCTTCCGCAGTCTCTGTTGGTGGTAAGTGCTGACTCCAGTGTCTCTACTTTCTCATGAAAATACCTGTAAATGTATCTGTAATTGAAATGTCCCTGGTGGCACAAGTTTCTCAAGACACTTTCTAACTAAGAAATGGAACATCAGCTGGGCGTGGTGCCGCATACCTGTAATCCCAGCCTGTTGGGAAGCTGAGGCAGGAAGATCATTTGAGGCCAGGAGTTTATGGCAGCTTGGGCAACATATTAGACCTCATCTCTACACACACACACAAATTTAAAAAGTAGCCAGGTGCAGTGGGGCACAACTGTAGTCCCGGCTGCTCGGGAGGCTGAGGTGGAAGGATCACTGGAGCCCAGGAATTCAAGGCTGCAGTGAGCTATGACTGTGCCGGTGCACTCCAGCTTGGGTGACAGAGTGAGACCCCCATCTCTACACAAACAAACAAACAAACAAACTAAATGTCAAATGAATCTGTCAGGATTACCAACCAGACGTGACAGCCCTAGGCAGATAACAGCAAAAGAAAAACTATTTTCCACCCTCTGTTTCTGCCTCCCACTCTGGTGGTGAGCTGATGCAATTCTTATCTGGAACCTGATAGGATGTAGAAAATAATTACAAATGAAAAGGTTATTCATAATTCTTAAATGAGTTAATTAGTAAACCCAGTCAGACTCACTCATTACAGTAATTAATAATTGATTATACTTGAAATTAAACACAATTTTTCATCAAAAATCTAATTAAATATCTGTGCTTTTGCCTGTTGATTAGATCGGTTGGTCTGCTGGAAAAGGGTCTTTGTTAGGGATATTTGTGCTCAGCTGAGACAATTAATTTGATTTTTAATAATTGATAGTTCCTTCCAAGTTAGTCGTCACAGCCTGTAATTATGGCCAAGCAACAAGATGCTTATGCCTTGTCCTCAGCAGCTGCAGGAGAGCAAGCAATAAGGCTGCTACCCCCTAGCTTGTGAAGCAAGGGTGGGATGGCCTGCACACCTGCAACGCGTTCACCTGCGTTGGCTTATACCAAGCTCACAAGCATCCTTCTGAGGTATGGGTTGTGCCTATTTTCTAGATGAGCAAATCAGAACTCAGAAAGAGAAATGACTTTCCCAAGGGTGAGCAGCTGCTGTGTGGTAGAGCAGGGCCTGGAATCCAGGGCTGTCATGGTAGGTGTAAGCTCTTCCCCAACACCTTGCTGACTCTCCAGGAAACAAAGGGAATGCCCAGGCTTGCCTCTCTGGCTTGATCCTTGTATATGAGCCCTAGCATCCAGTCCAAGTATTTCGACACAGACACAATATTATCTGTGTAGAAATATCTGTGTTATTCTTGGCAAGGACACACTATCAGTGAACTGACCATTCCTGGCTCAAGACACAAATTCTTCAAAATTGACCTTCCATCCACCTCCTCTTCTCCACCTACGTTGTCAGTGTTGTAATTGAAGCGATCAGCTTTTCCTGACTAGTTGACTGCAATAGTTTCCCAACAGGTAAGCTTCTACTCCTCCTTCCTCTACCCTTACCTTTCTAAAATAAAAATCTGTGTCCTATCACTGCTTAAAACTGTTCAGTGGTACCCCAGTTGCCCACCCAATTAGGTCCTCAACTTGTCCTCCAAGCTGATCTCCACAATCTGATGAAACACTTCTGTATTAGCTCCAACGGTGCACCCCACACTCCTCAAATGCTTCAAACACAGAAAACATCTTTGCTACCACATCATCCTCTTTCAAGTCTTTGTAAGCTCCCTTGCTTTGAAATACCCTTTCTGTATGTCTACTTCTGGCTAATGCCTACTTTAAAATTCAGCTCAAACATCACCTTTCCCAGGAAGCCTTCCCTACTCCTCTTGGCTGGGGTTGGGTATTCCCACAGCCTCTGAGCTCTGTGTAAATCAGTCACTGTTTCAGATTTGCCTGCTAACATAGCTATCTCTTCTTTTAAGCTACGAATACCTCAAGGGTAGTGACTATATATTTAACCCTGGCACTTAGCATAGAGCCTGGCTCAAAGCAGGTATTCCATATGGTTTGCTGAGTGAAAAATAAAATTCACAAAATTGTGGATTTGAAGACTGTCAACGTTGGAAGGAAAATTAAAGGTTACCCAGTGAAAACTCCCAGGCAGTGCTTGAATCTTATTCTAAGTGGTCCCTGAGCTCTATCTGTATCCTTCCTCAGACAGAGAGCTCACTAATTCCCACAGTTGCCCCTATCTTTAAATAGCTGAAGACTAATCATGTATTCTTATTAACTGGGAGAGAAAGAAGCCATGAGATGGAAAACAGGAGAGAGTTTGATTAATCATGTAAACACTTACTCTTTCTCACTGAATTAGGCTATATGATATAAACCTTAAGACTTCAACGCAAAACAAATGGATGTGTATAGCAGCAAACTACTCAAATTATGACTTATGACTGCCTGTCCAGAAGTCTACTCACTTATGAAAAATAATAATGTTAGTCAAAACCAAGAGCTGTGCCAGTGGTTGGTGGTGACATACTATTCGTGGTGCCAGAAGAAACCTTCATGCCAAGTAATGGTACTGGAACTATACAACCCTCATTGGTAACCCACTCTATATCAACGATGCACCTCACAGAGCCTGGGTAGGCCTTGACCTCTCCCAGTCTGGCTGTTTCATTTATACAATGACCCATAGCAGGGATGGCAAATACTTGACATGTCATCAATATTCTCCATTTCTGTGACCATAACAGACATCACTAATCAATCACAGATAGTCTCTTACATTGAGCCTAAATATAGCCCCAGTATCTTCCTCAACACAGCATTCTAGGCAGCAGCAACTAAACAATCAGACAGAAGAAGAGATGACATGCATGCCACCTTGGCCTTGGAGCCATGGAATTGTCTAAGCCAATATTCAGAAGGGGAAAAGAGACCTGACATGCCAGAGGAGGCTTATTACAGCTTGAGATATTGAAGGGGACCTCCCTCTTTGCAGGACTGTCATCTTCCTGGTCACTTATTTTTATAAAATTCAAGAATCTTGAGTGGAATTGACCTTACAGCTTATGCCACTCAAACCCCATCCATGCTTGAACCACTTCTCTATCTCTTGAACATGTGATGGCCCATGTTGTATTAATCATTCTTAGTGACACCTCTTACTACTTCTCAAGACAGCCCCTGTTCAGCCACAGTGACTTTGCTGGTTACCAAGTTCTTTTTCACAGTGGGCAGCACTGTCTTTTTTGGCCTCTGCCAGTTAGTTCTATTTCTGTTTACTGGGCTTGTGCTGAAAAAGTCCCCTTTGCTTGCAGAATTATCTTAGAATTCCTTAGCATGGGTTCGAGGCCTTCTCAAGCTGGCCCAACCTACCTTAAGCCTTTGAATTACAGGAAAGGACCTCTAGGGTTAAGCCAATCTCCCTTCCAATGCCTTTACTAAGAGGCTGATTTATATAGAGGCAGCAGATGCTACACAACACCCACAGATCTCTTTGGATTAATATCTTTCCTGGGAAAAGACCAAAGCAAGGGGTCAGAAGTAGGAAGGGGTCAGACTGTGTTACAAATTCATCAGAAGACTGCACAGGGGGAGCCATCTGCTGTATCAAGGCAGAGGTCGGGAGGAGCTCCTTATATCTGTGTTTGCACCCAGGGTCAGGTGAGCACTGCTCCGTGTCTGTGCGCCCTCAGCCAGCGTTCTCTGCTCTCTGTGCTGGCTGGGACCTTCTGCTTCTCAGTCAGAATTTCCCTGGGTTCCTGACCATGGTTTAACTCTGGACCTTGGTTCCCACAATACCCTCAGACTGCCTTGCCAGACATCTACCTTCAGACGTGCTTTCCTGCCAGTTTCCCTCCAAGCCCAGGGTGCTCCACCTCCTTCCTGCTCCTCACTGCAGCCACACAGTCCCAACAGGAGAGGCTACCTGCTGTTCAGCCTCTCCAACTTGTCATTTAGTTGTATTGACTCAATCCATGACACTTATGCCATAGATCCCCATCTCAAAGGCTAGTCTTACTGAGCACTCACGCCTTAATACCAGGCACCCAACACACAAAAGGACAGATGCCCAGCTTCCTTCCTGATATAAGTGCAGAGGGATGGAGAGGAAAGAGAGGAGGGCCCTGAAGAGCTGCCCTTGCAGTGTCAGGGGTGCAGACTGTCCAGAACTCCAGGGCTGCCTGGCTCACACTGCGTGCTTTGCCTGCCATGCTAGTAAGGAGCCTTCAGTGCCCACACGTGTCTTGGTTGCTGCCCTCTGGGCCAAAGAGGAGCAAGGGGAGCTGGGGTGAAGAGGTGCTTACCCACAAAGTATGCCAGCAGGATGACCAGAGTGGCTGAGATGACGATGGCGCTCAGGGCTGCGCACTTCCAGTTACAGTACTTGGAGGGCTTCTTGAGGTTAAAGGCCGGCCGGGCGAAGGTGCTGCGGGGCAGGGGTCGGGGCGGAGGAGAGTACACTGTGCTGGACGTCAGTGGGTACCCTGGTGATGTGGTGCAGAAGAGCGGGGAGGTGCCTCCAGGCTTGAAGAGGAAGTGCCTGCAGATGGAGAGCAGCAAGAGGGTGTCAGGGGCTGCCCACAGACCAGGCACCCAGACAAACCTGGAGGCCAGAGGCGGCAGTAGAAGAAGCATGCAGAGGAGCCTGGATAGAGAGAGTCACCACAGAGACCTGGGAAAGGACAGGAACAAGGAGAGCTACGGACTAGACCATGGAACAGGGCACACAGAGACACGTTTCCACTGAACACGGATGGGACAGCCCTACCCATGGGAAAACCCACCCACGGCAAGGCAGAAGGTGTTAACCAACTCAACAGAAGGCTGGCACTGAGATCCTTTTCCTGGGAACGGATGGGGCTGGGATACTGTTTCTTGGGGAATAAACTTCCTATTCTCTAAAATTATTACAGTAACTTGGAAAGGATCTAAAATCCTGTTGTGTACCCTGGAGATAATGAGACTTAAAATTGTTCTTCTCCCTCCAATGCTTCTGTTGCCGGTGTATCTCAACTGAGGATTGGAATACCCTTCTTTTTAAAGGGGGTTTTATTGGTGTTGAAGCCAAGAAACCACCACTAAGTTATGCCATGGCCATTAGTCCCCTAGTGGCTGTCACACAGCCAATGGCAGCAAATGCCTTCAAAGCACTCTGTCCAGAAGCCAGACTGCTGCCTCCCAAGTCCAAGGTGAAAGCTGTGTCGGGGGACAGACAGGCAACTGCACCCTACAGCCTAGTCATGAGGGCAGCGGGGTATGGTCAAAGCACATGGTTGTGACCAAACTAGGTGTCAGGAGCTCCTCCACAGCTTGGCTTTAACCATGGCCATGGGAGGACTTGCACACAGCCTGGGAAATGGAGTGTGCTGGTTGCACTGTACCCCCCAGAAGCCTTAGGGCAAACCCACCCCTATTGGGGTACAAGGTGCCTCAGGTCACAGAATACACACTCAGGGCCAGAGTCCATACAATACAGGGCCTGTGCTGCATTAAAAATGCTATGTGAGATGGTTTTGGAATGGCAACGGCAGCCAATGAGATGCCAAGAGCTGCATATTAACAAGACTGCTGTTAATATGCTGGGGGATAGGGTATTTAAAGGATAAACTGTTGCAAGTTGAACACGGACTTGGTGATGAGCATGCCACATGGATCACCTCCCCCAGAAGATCCCAGGGAAAGGTCTCAGGGTCTGCATGCAAGTGCAGGAGCCACAAGGAGAGCACACACAGAGAGGAGAATGGGGATGTCACCTACCCGTCACTGTAAGCCCCATCATGGCGGGAGGCGCCGAGAATGTCCATCTCAATGAGGTTGTCCTGCAATGTCCCTAGGAATGGCTGCTTGCCTAGGTTTCTACGCACACATGGAGACATGAATGAAGCAATGAGTCATGCATTGATGAAGGGGGCTAGTAGAGAAACACACAAAGTGGCTGTTTGGTGCAGCTGTGTGCGTAAGACCAGCGGGACACGGTTTCCAGGCAATGGGTCAGTGTGCAAGCCACATGTGCAAGGGGTCCACCTGGCACAGAGCATCCAGAGAGAATACTGTCTATATAAAAACAAGGTTTGGCAGTTGTGTGCATCAAATCACAGTTCTCACTGGAGAGGACTGACATGTGTCCGGGACTGAGCTAGGTATGCTACATCCAGCCTCTCAAATCTTCAAAATGGCTATGTGAGGAAGGCAATGTAATCCTCATTCTACAGGTGAGGAAACTGAGATGTGGAGAGGTAATGGGTCTTGCCAAGGTCACCAGCTAGCAAAGTTCAAAGCAGGAATTAGAGCTCAGGTTCCAAAGCCTGTGCTCTCTCTCTCTACTTGAGGCTGCTTACATCAGCTTAAACAGTGGCTAGAGACACTCATTTGGCTAGTCCAAAGAAAAAAAAAAGTTAGCATTTTTGGCCACTGTCTTCTAAAGCCATGGTTCTCCAACTTTCTGGAGAGCTGAGCATTGCTGAGGCCCATCCCTAGGGATTCTGTCAGCAGGTTGGGTGGGGCCTGAGGATCTGTATTTCTCCCAGGCCCCCAGGTTAATGCTGACCATGGTCAGAGGATCATCGTCCTTTAGCGGTGCAGGGACCTGGGTGATAACTGGCTAGCAAGGATGGAGCTCCACGGAAGACAAAAGAGGATGCTCTTTGTTCCCCAAGTGCATAGCATTTTGTGACTTTACCTATTTCTAACCCAGAATGAAGACAGACATACTTGCCCTTTTTGGTCTCAACCAGGTCTGCTGAGTGACATGATTCACACTCAAGTAGGCTGGAGCCTGTCTCCTGATCTTTTCAGGACAGCTATCACCTCACTTTCAGACTCTGTGGTGAATCATTTGTAACAATCCAGTGGTGGCTTCAGCCTGTTGCATGCACCCAAGAAAGGAACTGACTGCAGAAAGCCAACTTTGGACCCAGCCCTGCCAAGGACCTTCTTTCTGACTTCGACCAGGTCTTAGAGCCAGCATTCCCAAATTCAAGACCCTTTTATGCCACTCTCTTCCTGTGCAACTTTGGGTATAACCCTTAACCTTTCTTTATCTTATGTTCTTCATGTAAAAAGGGATTACAGTACTGAGCTCACAAGGTTGTTATATGGATCGGCTGAGATAATGGTGGAAGAAGTATTAAGGGCTATACAAATATTATAGGAGTACTAATGCTAAGTATAATAGTTACTACCTACCCTACATCTACCACATATTATTTATTGTTCCAGAAGCTCTGCAACTATCTAATTTAAATTTTATTCCTCACAATAACCCTACAAAGTCAGTACCGTCATCTCTATTTTGTAGATTGGCAAAGCAAAGCTTGTAGAAGCAACTTTTCTAAGGCCATATCATAAACAAGTGGAGAGCCAAGCTGGAGCCTGGGGTTATCTGACCCCAGAACTCAGGCTCTCTCCACTTTATAACCCTGTCTCTCTCTGCACAGCTTTGTGGCTACTGCCCCTGGTCAGCCTCAAAGACCCAAACGAGGAGGGGCTGTAAGTACTATCTGGAAATCCCCTTTCGTTAACATCCCTTGGGACAGTGGAAGCATATGGCAACACTATTTGCAGGTACAGTGCTGAGTATGCAGTGGTGGTGGGGACCTCCTCTTTTGGTGAGTCGTGAAGCACTGTCTGGGCCAGCGGCCTGGGTGGCAGTCTGTTCTGCTGGTGTGCAAGCCCCTAAAGTCTTCCCCAGTGCCTGGGAGGAGCTTCAGAGGTGTGGACATCCCTCAGAGTGGCTCTATTTCCATCACCAGGCAGATAACCCTGCTGATGGGAGGCCTGGTGGCCCAATGGGAGGCATACAGGCCCTGAGGCCAGACAGATCTAGCTTCAGGTCCCATAATCATCATTCACTGGCCCTGGGCAGGTGACCCAATCTCTCTAAGCATCCACAGAAGGGGATAATTGTTCATTTTACAAAACCCAAAGTGTAATTTGGATCATATCACTTCTCTGCTCTCAACCCTCCAATGGCTTCATAAGCATTTTAGAATAAACCATAGTCCTTACCAGGGCCCACAAGCTCCTATAAGCTCTGGCCTCTAGTACTTCTCAAGCCTCATTTTCTATGCTACAGGTACACTGGTCTCCTTGCTGTTTCTTAAACAAGCTAAACCTTGGCTTTCCTCTGCCTCCCTCAACTATCTTTATGAATCAGAACCCTCCTGAAAATATCTTCATGGAATATAACCTCCTTCCTCCCCTCCTCAACTATTAGCTTCTTACCCTAACTAAAATAGCTCCCAGCCCACTCTTCCCAATCACTCCCTGGCCCCTTGTACTGATTTTTCAGGACTTCACATACACACACACACACACACACTCCTCTCTTTCTCTCTCTCTCTTTCTGATGAAAAATAAAGCAATACCGGAGCAAGGGGCCAGGAAGTGATTAGGAAGTGATAAACACACACACACATATCCAATATATATATGCTTATCTGATTATTGTGCTTTTTCCTAATGCATTTTAAGTTCCACAAGGCAGAAGTCTTATCTGTCTTGTTCACTGCTATGTGCCCAGAGTCTAGAGGAATATGTGGTACATGGTAGCAGGCACTCAATAAATATGTGCTGAATACTGCTGAATTCAGGATACACAAAGGGAAGCATGCCCGGCATACAGCAGGCACATAGTCAGTGCTTCATTGAAGATGGCAGCAGAAGGCATTCTGATTGTTTCCTCCATCCCTGCATTTCAGGAGGGAACTGTCCACTCTCTCTACAGCATGAGCAGGTCCAAGGAAGAACTCCTGCTGCCCCCCGGGACCTGAGGCTGGCTGCATGGCATGCTCCCTAGAAGACCTGGGAGTCTGGCTTGAGTCAGAAGGCTCAGATCCCATTTTAAGATACAGAGTCAAATTTATACCTTAAAACCATCAGAAATAAACAAAAAAATACATTCAGAGAAAAAGACATAAAGGATAAAGATCAAAATGTTAGCAGTAAGGATTTTCAAGTGACTGGAAAAACAGTGATTCTGATTTTAACTTTTACAATTTAAAAAGAAACAGTTATTTTTAAAAAAAGAGAGACTGGACAATTATCTTCTAAAAGTACAGATCTGTTAGGAGAGGGGAAGAGGTGATGCAACAGAGTAAAGGATTTCTAGAGTAAGAGGGTGCCCCAGTCTCCTGAAAGAGCTTCCACACTCATGCTCATGTGCATATTAATTATTTAGATCTCTCTGGAATTTGGAGAGACATGAGCACTTGCTGAAAATGTTGGCTATTGGCCAGGTGCAGTGGCTCACACTTGTAATCCCAGCACTTTGGGAGGCTGAGGCAGGTGGATGGCTTGAGTGCAGGAGTTTGACGCCAGCCTGGGCAACATGGCAAAATCCCATCTCTAGAAAAAAATTCAAAAACTAGCCAGGCATGGTGCCACGTGCCTGTAGTACCAGCTACTGGGGAGGCTGAGGTGGGAGGATCACCTGAACCCGGGGAGGCTGAGGCTGCCATAAGCCTCTGCACTCCAGTCCGGTCCAACGAGACTCGGCCTTAAAAAAAAAAAAAAAAAAAAAAAAAAAAGAAGACAATTCTGGCTATTCAGAATGCTACTACCGCCTTGAAATAGTCTTGTTCTGCTGGGCGTTGTGGCTCACGCCTGTAATCCCAGCACTTTGGGAGGCCAAGGCAGGTGGATCATGAGGTCAGGAGATCGAGACCATCCTGGCTAACACGGTGAAACCCTGTCTCTTACAAGAAAATTAGCTAGGCACGGTGGCGGGTGCCTGTAACCCCAGCTACTCAGGAGGCTGAGGCAGGAGAATCGCTTGGACCCAGGAGGCAGAGGTTGCAGTGAGCCGGCGATTATGCCACTGCATTCCAGCCTGGGCGACAGAGTGAGACTCCGTCTCCAAAAAAAAAAAAAAGAAAAAACGAAATAGTCTTGTTCTGTACTTTTAAACTTAGTTCTGGGTCAAATTACTTGGTGTCATTTGATTGATGAGGAAACTGAGGCCCAGAGAGACATGTGCCCTGCCCTCATACCCATACCATAGCAAGTCAGTGGCAGAGCTGAAACTAAAACCCAGGCACCCTGACTTCCAGTTAAAGGAACCTCCCCTCAAATCTCCTATCCACCCACTCCCCAAAACTCTAGGTGTCTAGTTCTTCTGAGAAACAAATGCCCACCTTTCTTGATGGGGACCCTAAGCTGCAGAGCCCACCTTGGGTCATAGTCACGCAGGGTCTCCTGCTCACTGCTGCTGAGAGCTCAAGTGTGGGCACCTGATTCACTTGACCCTCACACTGGTGGGTGCTATTACCTCATTTTACAGATATGGAAACTAAGGCCCAGAAAGGTTAAGTGCCCAGCATACAGGAAAAATTAGGTGAAGATGGGATTTAAACCAGATCTCTCTGACCTCACAGCCCTGAGCTGCCTCTCAGGAAAGAGGTTCCTGAGTACTTGGAGAGGAACCTTCAGCTAAGTGGTGGGCTGTTCTTAAAGAGGGGATAGACTGGTTCCCTCTAAGCATGTGGGGAGGCCTTGGACTAGCCCCTGAACTGCCTGTAGGAGGGGCTCCCAGTCCCATGTGTCTGACTTAAGGCAGGCTGAGCTCACCTCTCAAGGGCAGAGCAAAGGGCTTTTGGGAAGGAAGTAGCCAGGAAGCTGCAAAGGCCAGTAGTTCCTCAGGACCGCCCTGATCAACGGTTCACCCTCTCACAGTGAGCCCGCTGTCCTGGGCCGTGTTTCCACCCACAAAGCCACGGGACAGCCACAATTGCCTCTGATTCTCACAACTACCTACTGGGGCAGGACAGGCAGGGATCACACCCCATATTCTGTAGCTGAGACCTCCAGGTGTGCAGGGGGTTAGTGACTCAGCCAAGACCACACAGAGTTAGTGATGGGGCTGGCAGCTGAACAAATGAATGGAAAAAAAAATGAACCAGGCACCAGGTCTTCCAAGCCACGGTCATCCTTCTAAAAGGCCAATCCCATAATGGCACCTTCTGATTTAAAAGCTCTTGCTAGCTATTCACCCTCATGTCTACCACCCCAGCCTCCAGGCCCACAGGGAAAAGTACAACCTCCTTTTCATGTAGCCCAAGATCCTCCATTGCTGATCTCCATTTAATCTCATCCTCAAGAGACTCCCTGTGCTCCCGCTTGAGCCAACTACTTGCCATCTCTCCAAAATGCCAAGCTCTCTCCTGGCTCTGTGCCTATCTCTCAGCTAAAAATTCCTTTCTCCCCTGCAAACTCCTACCAATTTATGCCTGGAGAAGCTATTTTGAACAATCAGGAAGACGGCACTGCATAGTGGTTAGGTGTGTGGGCCCTGGAGCCAGCCAGCCTGGGGATGGACCCTGGTTCTGCCACTTACTGGCTGTGGGACCTGAGGCAAGTTACTTAACTTGTCTGTGCTTCAGATTCTTCATCTCTAATATGGGGATGAGAATATGACTACCTACATGCGCAGAAGAGTGAAGACAGCAGCCCTGACTGCTATCCTTTGCAATGCCTTCTTATAACAGTGGCCCTGGGCTGGCATCTGGGAACTCAGGTTTCAGGAGAGTTGCCACCATTAACTGACGAGAGTGGCTGGCTCACTGTGCCTCAACAATTATGATGAATAACTGCTTTCCTTTGGGGAGTCTGGAATCCAGGTACTTGCCGGGCAGGGGGTGCCGACATGAGCACCCCCAGTAAAAACCCTGGAGCTCAGGCTTTAATGAGCCTCCCTGATTGGCAACATTTCACACGTTGTCACAACCTGTTGCTGGGGGAATGAAGTGCGTCCTGTGTGACTCCACTGAGAGAGGACCCCAGAACCTTGTGCCTGGTTTGCCCCAGAGTCTACCCCAGGCTTCTTTTCCCTTTGCTGATTCTGCTTTTCTGCCTTTCACTGTGATAAACCAGGGCTGTGAGTATTAACACCTATACTCAACTACGTGTTGAGTCTTGTGAGTCCCACTAGTAAATCATCAAACCTGGGGGTGGGGGCCTGGGGACTCCCAACACCCACCTTATGGAATAGCTGTGAAGAATGAAGTTAACATGTGCCAAGAACTTAGAACAGCACCTGGCCGTTCCCAGTAAGGGCTCTCTCTACTGCTGCTCCCAAGCAGAGGGAACCATGCTCTCTTCTCTGCTCAGAGGACTCCCTCTGTCACAACATCAGTCATGGTACCTGTCCTCATTCATTTACAGGTCTGTCTCCCTCAAAAGACGGTGAGCTTCTTAATAACAGTTGGCTGTGTCTTCTGCATGTCTTTGACTGAATCACCAAATTACAAGGAAGACTGTATATCCCAATTCTCTGCAACGCTCTGGGGCTGACCTGGCCTGCCAGAAGGCACTGTGTGTGCCATTCTGGGAACCACACTAGGGCTGGTCTGGAGACCACCAGGATGGCCCCCATCCCTGAGGGTGGGCAGGGTTTTTCCCCAAATTCAGTGTGACCACAAAATGGACCCCAGGCTTCCCTACCAGGCTTGAGATGAGATGAGCTGGAGCCAAGGTCTGGCAGCCTTCTGCTCTGACTTCCCCTCACCCAACAGGAACCTGATGGGTTATTAATCAGACAGTCCCTGGGAAATCAATTAAGTGTCTGATGCTGCAGAGTGCAAAAGAAGTGGATCAGGGTTTGGGGGACCCTAAACATATGGCTCCCTCCAGAATGGATCACAGATGCACCTATAGAAGCTTAAAGCAACATCTTACCCCAGCTCAAAGGGAGCACAGGTAGGCCCAGGCTCCTCAATGGGGGACTCAGTTAACATTGGAGACTGCCAGAAGTATGGCAGGTGCAGAGAAAGGAGCACATTTACCAAAGCCCTCTCTCTTCTTCATCCTCCTGCTAGCCTTTCTTTTTCTGCCAGCATGAAATCTAAATCCCTCTTGGTCATTCTACCAGCTGTTATAGTATTTATTCAGCCATTAATTCTAGACTCTCAATACAGACTGAGTTTGACAATCAGGGAAGGGCCTGTGACTATTTCTCTGATATCAAGAGGCTCCCATTCTGGTGGGGACTGGCAAAAGCTGTTTAGGCTCCCATTCTGGTGGGGACTGGCCCAACCTGCTCTGTTGGGCCGCTAGGCCTCTGCTCAGACTGTGCCCTCTCAGGCCCTCCTTTCTGCCCCTCCTCTGCCTGGGAGACTCCTGCTTGCTCTTCTCAGTCATGCTGTACCAGGTCTTCCAGGAAGCCTTCCTTTCTCCCCACTCAAGTCTCAGTTAAGTATACATATTCATTCATTTATTTCACCTGTGTTAATAATTATCAAACAGCTACCATGTTGTGGGAAGCCCTGTGTTGTGTGCTGGGGATCTCAGGGCAATTAAAAAGTAGCATTATTTCCTGTACTTTTCTCTATCAAAGCACTTATTCTATTATAGGAGTCTGTTCTCTGAAATGTCTTACCTGGTAGACACATAGTAGACACTCAGTGAATATTTATTGAATAATAAAACACTACATAATAAGTAGTTGAGCATTTACTATATGCTAAGACATTTTCAGACATTATCTTAATATGTTTGTTACAACAGCCTTATGAGGTGGTGTGGTGGATTAAAGATGGCCACAAATTCTTGGACACTTTTTCCACTGAGAAGTGGGGTCTGTTTCTCCTCCTCTTGAAGCTGGCCAGCTTATGACTGCTTTGACTAACAGAATATGGAGGAAATGACACTATAGCATTTTCAGGCCAAGCCTTAAAAGCATCAATAGCTCCTGTCTCAGTGCCTTGGAGCCGCAAGCCACTGAGTATGAAGCACAATTACCCTGCTAGGAAGCCTATTTGGAGAGGCCCTTAGAGGGAGAGGATGCTATAGTTTGGATGTTTGTCCCCCCAAAGCTCATGTTAAAATTTAATACCCAGCTGGGCACGGTAACTCACACCTGTAGAACCAGCACTTTGGGAGGCCGAGGCAGGAGGATTGCTTGTGCCCAGGAGTTCAAGACCATCCTGATCTCTACAAAAAATAAACAAAATCAGCTGGGCATGGGGGTGGCACATGCCTGTAGTCCCAGCTACTTGGGAGGCTAAGGTGGAAGGACTGCTTGAGTCTGGGAGGTTGAGGCTGCAGCGTGTCAGGATCATGCCACTGCACTCTGTCTCAAAAAGCGGGGGGGGGGGGAAAAAGAAAAAAGAAAGAAAATTTGATACCCAATGTTAGAGGTGGGGCCTAATGGGAGGCGTTTCGGTCACGAGGGTGGATCCTGCATGAGTAGATTAAAGCCCTCCTTGGGAGGAGATCAAGTTCTCACTTTTATTAGTTCCTTCCAGAGCTGGTTGTTAAAAAGAGCCTGGCACCTCCCCACCCCTCTCTCTGTTGCCATGTGATCTCTGCACATACTGGCTCCCCTTTACTTTCTGCCATGAGTGGAAGCAGCCTGAGGCTCTCACCAGAAGCAGATGCTTGTGTCATATTTCTTGTAAAGTCTGCAGAACTGTAAGCCAAATAAATCCTTTTTCTTTATAAATTACCCACCCTCAGGCATTCCTTTATAGCAACACTAAATGGACTGAGACAGAAGGGTACTGCCAAGACCAGCTTTCCAGCCATCCCCCCACAAGATGTCAATTATGTTAGTGAAGTCATCTTGGATCCTTCAAATGAGTCCAGTTGCCAGCTGAATACTACCAGTGGACCCCTGTCAACGCGATGTGGAGTGGATGAATAGCCTAGCTGAGCTCTTCCTAAACTCTTGACTCACACTGTGAAGTGTAATCAACTGGATGTTTCCAAAGCCACTAAATTTTGGAGTCATTTGTTTGTTGTGCAGCAATAGATAATCACAGCAGAAAGTGACTTTTATTTTCTCCATTTTAGAGATGAAATTGAAGGTCTTGGTCCATAGCTAGTGAGCACTAGGGTGGGGTTTCTGAGGATAGGGTATGTCTGATCCTAAAACCGGTGCTTCAAACTCACTATGGTGAATGGGCCATCACTTGTACCCTCAGAACATAAGGCCAAACTTACTTCTCTGAAGTAGAGAAGAGGTAGAACCTACTATTTCCCCTCAACTCCTTTGGGGCGAGTAGGAGCTCAAGAAACTCTTTTTGAATGACATTTTTATCCACAGGGTGGATATGGAGAGAAGATGTATATGAAAAAAATGGGAAATAGCTTTTAGAGTGTGTTTTCTAAATGCTAGGCACTGTGCTGTGTGCTTCTTATATATCACATTTACTTCCTCCCAACCTCTTTGAGAGGCACGAATTCTTATCCCAATTTATAGATGAGGAAATCAAGGTTCAGGGATGTTAGGGAACTTGGCCAGCTAGTAAGCGTTAAAGCCAAGGCAGGTATGAAGGTCCCTCTGACTTTGAAGGCCATATTCTGTCCACCTTGCCAAGGTGGTCAGCTTGTGATTCAGTCTGCCAGACTTGATGCTGATCCCTCCTAAACCGTGCCTTGTTAGTTTTGTGCCTTCAACCAGTTAAGGTCAGCATCAAGATCTAGAATTCTGATTGTGTATTCACTGAATTAAGCACCTTTTCCGGCTTTAGGTCATCCTTGGAGGGACAGGACTCTGGGGTCACAGAGGAAGACTTCCTCAAACATTTCAACCGGGGCTTCAAGAATAAGTAGGACTGGATAGACCACGAAGTGAGAAGGTGAGCGACTCTGGCAGAGCTCTGCAAGACTCTGTGAAAAGGCATGAAAGGGCCTCGCATTGGGGGAAATACATGTACATGCACATACATGCATATACATACACTGAATATTAAATATATATGATATATATCACAAATAATGTTATATATGTATATAGATGTACATAAAATGGTGTTATGTGAGTATATACCTACATGTTAACAATGGTTACTTTTGGTGACAAATAAAAATGATTTTCTTTTCTTCTTGCTTATTTCATTGTCTAGCTGTTTTACAATGAACATTTCTTATTTGAGTAATAAAGTATAAATAAAAAGAAAAAGCTGCATGTGTTTGAGCAATGGATGTGGGAAGATAGAACATCAGAAAGGCAGGTGAGCACAGAAAGACAGGAGACGTGAGCTGGGACCACCTTTACAACTCACACTAACCATTAGGAAAACCGCCTTGCTGCTCATCCTCTATCTTCCTTTCCTTGAAAAACCTGGAGACTCAGAATAGGAAGTTCTAACTTGATCCTAAGTGGGAAAGATGAACATCCAAGCAGAGGGAGTGGTGACTGTGGTCCATGCAGAGCATCAGAACCATCGATTAGTGGCTGGCTTCTTCCAGTCATGTTCGGTCTTTCAATGAGCACATTGGAAATAATGGAGATCTGATTAAGCTACCCTGGGCAGGCTGACACACAATTATCCTACTCTGTTACTGATGAGGCACACAGGGAAAAATCACACACGATTTTAAAGGATGCCAACAGAAATAATATAAATTAAGAGACTGGAGGCGGGAGCGGGGAAGCTGCTTGGGCTGCATCTCTAAGAATTTTGCTTTCGGAAAAACAATTCTACAGGAGTAAAGTGGTACAAACAATGTTCATTTTCTCTTACTGGCCTCCACAAGCTTGATGTGCCATTACCATAGCTGTGTGCTAGGCAGTCACATGTCCACACTTTTCACATGCAGGTTAATTTTACTTCCTTAACTGTGGGATGACCTTTGTTCTCTTCACAGATAAAGAACAGGAGTTTGGGGAAATAAAATCTACGTTTCCCACTACTTTAGGAAGTAGGGTAGAAGATAAAGTGGTTCCAGTTTTGCCAGCCTAGGACACTTCATCTACAGTTTAGAGAAAGGGAAAGGCTATGCTCCCAAAGTCAACAGCGCTTATCTCAGAGTGGTAGGATTATGGGTAAATCTTAATTTTTGTCTTCATAGTTTTCTGCATTTTCTCCGGTGAGCTTGTATGGTTTTTAAAATCATAAACAAACTTCATTTTGGAAAAACAGTGTGTAGGCAGAGGGAAGGAGAACAGCTACAGAACTCAAGGAGACTGATGTCCCTGAGCTGACAAATCACTGACCAACAAAGCTGGAAGAAGGAACAGGGCAGAGGGATCCCGGCCAGCAGAGACGAAGAGAAGGTGGCTGGGGTGTAGGTGAAGCAGCACTGGACAGGGAGTCAGGCAACCTGAGTTCAAGTTTCAGCTGTGCCTCAGTCGCCTGTGTGAAGTGAGCTAGTGATGGACCCGCTCTGATTCTCAGCTTCCAAATTCCCAAATGGGGATTATCATCCTAATACCCACTTCATAGAGGTATGAGGATTACATAATGTCACACACAGGAAAGCCCTTGTAACCCAAAGCTGATGTATACATGCTAGGGGTTATTAGGGCTTTGGGCATAAAGGTGGTAGCACAGCAGGGAAGGAGGAGAGGTGGGGAGACTGACATAGCTGAGTGCCGACGCCAGGCCAGGCAGGTCTGACACTAGGCATTGGGTGGTAGAATCATGTAGGGAAAGGCAAAGATGAGGGCCCGAGCCAAACCAGACTGAGAGCCTGCTGTTGGTCACACATCTGTGAAAGCCTCGTTCACACATTAGCTCTCATCTCCTTTAACAGTTCCGTCCCGCAAACATCATGGCCATTGTGTAGATAAGGGAAGAGAGGCAAGGGGTTGGTGCGGGGGGTGTCTAGCAACTTGGCCAAGGTCACACCTTTGGTAATCAGCAGGCTAGCACTGGACCTTGGGTCTCTCGGGTTCCAAAGCCCATGCTGGCAGTCAGGGAACCGCATCCCTAAACCGTGCACCCAACCCCAGCTCCTCCGGCCGGCGTTATCTGGGGACACTGAATGGCCCCGCCAGCCAAAGACCTTGGTCCGGGCCCCGGGTGCCCACCCTCCTCAGCCTCACCCTCCCTACCGGCCGCGCACCTGGTCTCCAGGGGGATGTTGCTGTTGAGCAGCCAGTTCTCCTGGGCGTGGGCAGGCTCCTGGGCGCCGCCGGCAGGGGGCTCTCCGGAGAGCGAGTGGTCCGTGGGGGCCGGGCTGGGGTTGCTCCTCGGCGTGAAGTTGCCCCGGTTCAGGGAGTTAATGGAGGCCGCGTGGTGCTGGTTGGGGGTGTGGGCGTGCGAGAGCGGCGGCGGCGGCGTCCGGAGCCGCGCGTGGTTCTGCAGGCCGCCCGGATGATCTAGGGCACAAACATGGCGGTCAGCGGCGGTGAGCTTGGTGCTGCCCCTCGGCTGGAAAAGCAGCCACGGAGGTCTGAGCAAGACCACAGAAGAGGGAGCCGGCAGATTATACATATTGATGCAGTCAATCAGTAATTACACGACAGTTGTTTATTGAGCACCTACCATTCTAGGTGCTAGGGATACCTTAACCAACTAAACAGACAAAAATTCCCGTCCCCACTGAGCTTAAATTCTAGCAGGGGAGTGAAACAATAAACAACATAAAAAAGACTAGTTACCCATCTCAGCAACTTCACATTGTTTCATGCTTTTAGGACGTGGTTTTTAAAGTGTGGCCAGGGACCAGCAGCTTCAGCATCGTCTGGGAACTTGTTAGAGATGAAAATAAGCCCTGCCCCAGGCTGACTGAATCATGAACCCTGATAGGGCCCAGGAAACTGATTTTACAAACCCTCCAAGTGACTCTGATGTATGCTAAAATTCTAGAACCGCTGATTATATATGATGGTACACAGTAAACGAAACAAACCAAGTTTTTAAAAGTAAAACGTGGCCGGTCGCGGTGGCTCAAGCCTGTAATCCCAGCACTTTGGGAGGCCGAGGTGGGCGGATCACAAGGTCAGGAGATCGAGACCATCCTGGCTAACATGGTGAAACCCTGTCTCTACTAAAAATACAAAAAATTAGCCGGGCGTGGTGGCGGGCGCCTGTAGTCCCAGCTGCTCAGGAGGCTGGGGCAGGAGAATGGCGTGAACCTGGGAGGCGGAGCTTGCAGTGAGCTGAGATTGCGCCACTGCACTCCAGCCTGAGCTACAGAGCAAGACTCTGTCTCAAAAAAAAAAAAAAAAGTAAAACATAGAGTTTACTGAGATGGTGATAAATCTAAGAGCACATACAGCCAGGAAGGGGACTGTGGCCTGTGTATGTAAGGGCAGTGGTGAAATTTTAGATAGGGTGGCCACGTAACGAGAAAGATGACTTTTGAATAAAGTGAGCCATGCTGGGGTCCGGTGGTTAAAAACCACTCAACATTTACTGAGCACATCGAATGTGCCAGAGTCCCGTTCTGAGCCTTCTACAAGTGTAAATTCAGCTAATTCTCACAACCACTGCAGAGTAGGGACTGCTTTTATCCCCAGTTTACAGATGAGAACATTGAGATACTTTATTTATTCCCTTTAATTATTCAGAACACCAGGTATCATCACCAATTTATAGATGAAAAACGTAGACTTGGAGCAGGTAAGTAAAGTGCCCAAGGGTTTGTGGCTAAGTAGGTGTTATTGGCAAAGAAAGAAAACAAATACAATTTCTGGTGATACCACAAATGAGGCAAGTTGTGGAGGTAAATCTTCACCATCCATCTAAGCTATGCTCACAGAAAGCCTAGTCTTTCAAAGCAGATGATATTATGCGGGTGGTGAAGAGGCCAAGAAATTAGATTCTAACCTAGATTCTACCACTTATTAACCACATGGGCATGGACAAGTCATTTAACCTCTTTAAGCCTCAGTTTTCTCATCTGTAAAATAGGGGAAATAGTTTATTTGGGGGATCACAGGGCTACTGTGAGATCAAATGAGGCAATTGGTAGGAAATAAATATTTCTGAAGTATTCTGCTTCCTTTGTTCCTCATGAGAATTCTGTATTTTATAGAGGAGACTAAGAATCAGAAAGAACAGCAATATTCCAAAAGCTGTGCTCTTCCTTGGATAGGGAGAAGGCTTTTTGGAAATCATCAAGCACAGTCAAGTATGAAGCACCATTAGTGTTATGGATTTTTTTAGTGTAAGATGCATCACTCTGCTTTTTGAGTAAATCAACCTTTTATGCCAAAGAGGTACAAAGCCAATCTGGTGGGGAATTCGGGAAAGGGGAGTTAGGGGTGGAAGGGAGAAAGAAACAGGAACCCCTCTAAGTGGATCACTTCCTTATTACAAGCTGCTACTTTCGGCATAAAGCCCACACCTGGCTTATTAATACAAAACCCTCCGGAATCCGATCCATGTCTTCCAGCCTCTTCTCCCATCAGCTCCATCATGCATCCTCCACTCCAGCCACATTTTTCCTCCGAGGCCAGGAGATGTACTGAGACCATCTGAATGGCCAAAACCTCAACTCCCACAAGGAGGGTCCCCAGGAAGGTGACAGAATGTGAATGGTACTCCCTGAAGATATGCAGTTCTGTAGTGCTGGACCAGAAGGGAACTAGCAAGGATGTTCCTTGCTGGGAAGGGAGAGAACCTGGCAGGCGAATACAACTTGTCCAGGCAGAGTGGTGTCCCACTCAGAGAACAGGGAGTATTGGACGAGAAAGAAGGTGAGAATGTGCAGGGTCATTTGTTTTGTCCAGCTGTCCTCAGGTGGCACTTCGGTGGAGACAGACAGAGCCTGGGACAGAAGCCAGCAGCAGAAGCAGCCTCTTGGGCTGACTGAATGTTCTTCCCAGCCTTGGCCTTTCAGGCTGCTGGCAGTAGTTCACCAGAGCAGTGGGAGGCAGTGGCTGAACCACTACTGTCCAATGGTTATCAAGAGGCCAGCAGAGAAGTGTGACCCAGTCCTTGCTCCTGCTCTGGTCCTAGGAGTCAACCTCATGGCATTTTACTTAATTGATATAGTTTCTGCTATGTATTGGAGCATCTGTAATGTGTGCTTTCAAACCCTTAACGTTTCTAATGCTCACAACAACCCTTCGGGGGCAGTATTTGTATTCCCATTTTACAGATGAGGACGCTGAGGCTTACAAAACTAGTCAGTTCTCATAAACACAAAAGCCAAATTCAGTCTACCAAACCATGGTGCCTTTGCATAAAACTTAAACACCTCCTGGAATGTCTGTCCATGGCTAAATGCAGGAAAAAGGTCCTCAGTGAAGACAGTAGCATCTGATGTCTGAGGCAGGCAAGCCTACAGACATTTGCTTTGTGACTAATGGGGACACCAGGCTCTGGCTTGATAAATGTTCAGGAGAACTGTCAAAAGTCCTGCAATGATGAAATTTTAAGTAAGATCACTGGTCCAGGTCTAAAAACTAACTTCTAAAAGGAAATTCTCCTATGGGGACAAGGAATGTTTTCTATGGGGACAAGGAATGTTCTGGGCCAAATCCTTTCTATCTTTTGAGCTCTCAGCTCAACTGCCTCCCCGTCCAGAAAGACTTCCTTGATCTGTCCTTTTCCTCTTGAATGCTGACAGCAGGCAACCCAGACCTCTCATTTTCATTTCCTCCCCAAGAGCATGCATACTGATGTCCACATGTTGCCTCCTCTGGGAGGTGTGAAAGTCCCTATCTTCTCTTCTCTGTGCTGGGTGAACACAGAGCCTAGAACTGAGCAGATGCTCAATTAAGTTTATTGAATGAATAGCCATGTGAATGGCCTGAGCTGTCAGTGCAAGCAAGTGAGGTTCATGTGGGGCAATTTGTGTGCAAAAAATCATAGTAGACCACTCTGGGCCTGCTAGACCATGGGTCTATGCAGGCCTTCACTTATTTGCCTGGAGCCAGAGTTGCAGAGGCTTGAGCTAGGCCCTTTATTTCCCTTCCCTCACCCTTTCTAGCTTGAGAATGTTAAGAAAGGGGACCTTGATGTTTCCTGGGTTCCCAAAGGAAAAGCTCTGTATTTGGGAGCTCAGCAATGGAAACCTCACTCACAAACCCCAGAAAGAAACATTAACTTCCCAAAGAGCAAATGTTTCCTCTGGTCTGAATGGACTCCTTTTTTTTTTTTTTTTTTGCTCCTATGGCCAGGAGGGAAGACAGAGGTGAGAGGCTACAGAGGAGACTTCTTTTATCCCCCGACAAATATGCACCCTCGTCTTTGGAGGGAATCTCAGAATCAGTTCACCCATTCAGCATTTATTGAATGCCTATTCTGTGCCAAGTATTGTACACTAGGTATTGGGAATAAAACAGTGAACAAGATAAACATGGCCTAAGAGAGAACTCTCTTATAGTTTCTATTTACTGGCTGGGTGACCTGCAACAACTCACTTCTCTTCGGTCCTTGGTCAGTGTGTGTGTGAAAGGGCACACTTTCCTACTTCACCACTTTCTGGAGGATGAAGAGCCATGGGTACCATCAACTCCTACTAAGCCCTGAGGGAAAGACCCATGTGTCATTTCTTTCCATATCCCCAGCGTCCGCACAGAGCTGTGCCTGATGCATGGTAGGCCCTCAGTAAATATTTACAGAATGTCGGGGAAAGAACAACAACTCAGGTAGTTGGGCTTTTTGCCTGCACAAGCAGTTGCTTCTCTCACGCTACCTGGGAGTACACATTGGTACACTTGCAAAGCTGTGATGGAAATTCCAATTTATACCCTCTTCTTACAGATATAGCTACCAAGTATATCTGTGAATCAAGCCCAAATGTGAGTCATTTTACTGCTATTTGTGCACACCACTGCCAGTAAAGGTCACTTGCTTACCTGAGTTTTGCAAGCCTGGTTTTCCAGGAAGTTTCTTTGCTTCCTACAAGTTCTTAAATATATTTGCAGTTACTAGTGTCCTCCAACACGTTAGGCAGTTTTCATTTTAGATGCACAGAAATCCTGAACACCGAAACCTCCTGGCTGCACCTCCCTGAACCAAGATCATAGTGAGGCTCCTTTACAATGCTGGGCAGAGCCGTATGTAAGAGAAAGAGACTCGGCTTTGGTGTCAGAGAGCCCTGAGTTCAAGTTTTGGCTCTGCCACTTAGAAGCTGTGTGACTGTCATCAAGTCACTTACTTTCTCTGGAGCTTTAGTTTTCTTATCACTAAATGGAAATAACGCCCACCTTATAGGATTGTTATGAGAATTAAAAGAGATAATGTATGTGAGTACTTAGCACCATGCTTGGAATATAGGAATTCTGAAAAATGGTAACTATTAATTCCACAATTACAATAAAGTCATGTTGAATGAATAAATCGCAAAGCCCTGAATCATCACCATGGTGATCACTCTTCAGCGTTTACAACAGGGGTTCCAAAGCAAAAAACCTTGAGAGAAAAAGAGCAGAACATATCTAACAGAAGTGTGATACTATTTTATTACACTGAATCCCACTCTGGACAACCTGCTGGCTCCTAGGAGCTCTAGTCGCAGGAGGGTGCCTGTAGCTGAACTTGCAGTTCAGAAACTGATGAGAATGGCTGTAGCCCTGACACTCAGAATAAAACCAGACACATGGGCTCACCATGTATTCAAAGATGAAAGCTCCTTTCTGCATTAGACTAGCATCTCAGAGCAAACCAGGCAGGGGCTGCTACCCAAATCCATACCTCTCTGCCCTGGGTTGAAGGTGTGCCATAAGGAGAAGGCCCTAGTGTTAATCAGCCAGGAATATTAAACAGCCCCTTGTTGTATGCAGGGACTTGATGGATTAAAAGATGGGGATAAGCCTCATCCTTGACAAGTAGTCAGTGGTTGGGAGGACAGCTGGCAAAGATACAAGAGCAGAGCTCGGGGATCTCACAGACCTAGACCTTAATTCTGTCTCCTACTGGCTACATTCACCTCTATGAGCCTCTAGTCATTCATCTATAAAATGTATATATAATAGTAATGGCAATAAAAGGAAGAGAAAGAATATGGACTACCGTAGGTTGAATACATAGAGATTGAGAAATAAAACAAATATGGTCCTTGACTTTGAGATGCTCATAGTCTAGTAAAGAAAATGGATATACAAACAGATATATACTACACAAACTGGTGATGATAAAATTACACATCAGCATCATCATCGCATACATTAGTTAACATTTACTGAGTATTTACTACTTGCCGGATACTTTCTAAGTACTTTGATTATTTAATCCTTATAACAGCTCTGTAAAGAAGGTACTGTTATTACTCCCAGTTTTGTAAATGAGGAAACTGACACATAAAGGCTAAGCAATTTGCCCAGGATTTCGAAACCTTTAATTGGTGGAGCCAGAATTTGAACTCAGGCAGTCTGCCTCCATAGACCCTACTGTTAAACATTCTTTTTTGTGTGCATTCAATGAGTGAATGCAGGTAAGGTGCTTACATCAAGGCCTGCCACATACTGAGCACTTTCCAAGTGTCGACCACAATAATTCTTATCGGCATACGCCACAGCCCCAGGGAGCACCACAGGTATGGAGGGCAGCTGCCAGACTGACTGTCAGGCTCAGGAAAGGTTTCTGAGAAGTGACATGAGACCTATGTCTGAGGGGCATTCTAGGCAGAAGATAATGCATGTGCAAGGGTTCAGAAGCAAGGCCAGCTGGGGACAGTTTTATAACTAGAGTGAAATGGCTATGTGAAAACAGTGGCTGCGGGTGAGGTAGAGACACTGGGGCAGGCCCAGGTGGTCACTTCCTGGAGGTGCCAGGCTAAAGACCTTGGCCTTTATCCAGAGGGTGGGGGGTCACATTAGTATGTGAGGAAGATTTCTGGTGGCCACGTGGAGGATGAACCAGGCCGGGACAGGCTATAAGAACCCCCTAGACTGATGGCAGGGTGCCTCCCTCGTGGAAAGATTCCAGTGGAGTCTACCACTATTCTTTTATAAGATCACATTCATGAGAAAAAGCCATAAACTTCCAGAGCTTTGGCTCAGGCAAGGAACTCAATCATGTCAATAGCCCTGTGATCTAAGGACAGCTCTGGCTCCAAGAAAGGGTGCCAGGCTGAGTGCCCACATCCAGCCCTGCAAATGGCAGACAGGTGCCTGAAGGTCTCCTTGCTACGGAGCTAATGATGACCCAAGCATACACTGCAGTCATTAATTGGGTCCTAAAGATTGTCAGATATGAAAGATGATGGTATTTAGTTATCATAAAACAAAAACTCCAGCTGCCTGAGAATGCCAACAGAAAGAGTTATTTGGCTTCCATTAAAATGCCATCGACTACCACTGACATGGGATGGTGATGTAGCAGTGCTGAGAGCTTAGCTAATGAATCTTGGCCTACACGACCAATTTATGAAGGCCGGAAAGCTCTTTATCAACACAGTCAGCAGTCGGAATCTGATAGCCTGACTTCCAGTCTCAGTTCTGCCTCCTTCAAGCTGTAGAATCTCAAGCACTTTATTTAACCTGAGTTTCAGTTTCTTCACTTGTCAAATGTGTATGAAAGCACCTTGCAAACTGTAAAGTCTTGTGCAAGAGTTAGAGAAAACAATCAGTATTATTGTTACCTGAACCTAGAATGGATCAAAACAATGAAGTCCACAATGTAACCACCAGTCTGAACATGAGGCTAGGGGTCACACTTTTTGTAGTGTTTTCTCTGCCTATTCACTCCTTCTCCGGACAAAATGGTTTCGGTTCATTCTCACTTTAGTCCTATGTCACGGCCAGTGCTCAAGGCTTCTAAACAGTATTTGGCCTGAAATCCCAGATGGACTCACACACAAGGAAGGGCCCACAGAGGACAGCAGACTGTGGGGCTTCCCTGGCTCCCCTTCCAGTATTCTGATGGGGAATAAAAAATAGCACCTTGAGGTCATAATATGGCTATTTCTGCTTCCTCATTCATTTAGTCAGGACAGAACTTTCGGTGAACACTCAGATTATTAAATTGCTTTGCATTTTACAAACAGTGATGAAGGGACAATGTATGAAAAAGCCTCATTGTATGATGCAGTGGTTTTTAAACAGGGGTGTATGGAAATGAGGAAGGGTGTTTTCTGGTTGTCACAATGGCTGGGAAGCACAGCTGGCCTTTGGCAGGAGGTGGCCAGGGAGGCTAGCTGCATGCAATGACTGGGACCAGTGATCCCAGGGGATATGTACTCCAGTTACAGTAGGATGGGTAAACAGCTACTGTAAGACTTTATTCTCTGTTTGCCTCCTCCAGCCCCATCCTTAGTTCCAGACCATTCTCTGCCTTTCTGTGTCCCAGGAGGCTGACTCCTAAGGACTGCATCACCTGGGCTCCCTTGCCCACTGGCTTCTGGATAGGTTTGGCTAATGGTGAGCACAGCAGGACACTGAAAGGTAGGAAGAGAGAGAGGCTGGAGTAACCTTCTTGCTATTGTTTGGATGTGTACCCCAAATGTCATGTGTTGGAAACATAATATCCAATTCATATATTGATGGCATTTGGAGGTGGGGCCTTTGGAAAGTGATTATGGTGAGACAAAACCATCAGGGTGGGGCCCCAGTAGTGGGTCTGGTGGCTTTATAAGAAGAAGAGAGACCTGGTCTGACGCACTCTTGCCCTCTCACCATGTGATGTCTTCTGCAAAGTTATGACATGCTAAGAAGGCCCTCACCAGATGTGGCCCCCTGGACTTTGGATTTCCTAGCTTCCAAATGTAAGAAGGAAATTTCTTTTCTTTAGAAATTACCCAGTCTGCTAGAGCACAGATAATGAACAAGACACTTCTTTTCCCCCAGCCCGTGGCAGCTCAGCTTCCGCTCTGAGTCTCAGGCAGTAGCCACATCCCTCCAGGATACAACAATTTACACATAGAGTGGTCTAGGAAAGCTTCTAGGAAGAGCAAGAACTTGAACAGAGCACTGAAGTAGAGGCAGGACAGAGGCAGACAAAAGGGGAGCAAGAGGGCATTCTAGGTAGGGGCCTGGCATGAGTGAGCAAAGGCCCACAGGCTGAAAGATACAGACCCCTTGTGGCAGCAGTATGGTGAGAGACCTGGGCACATGGAATAGAGATCTGGCAATGGACCACAAAGAGAGATGAGGTTGGAACCCACCTTTAAGAGCCTGGAGCCAGAGGGAGTTTCAAGGGTGTTCAGAAAGAGGGCTCACCCCGACTTCCAGTGAGACAGAGTCTTGCTCTGTTGCCCAGGCTGGAGTGCAGTGGTGCGATCTCAGCCCACTGCAACCTCCGTCTCATGGGTTCAAGCAATTCTCCTGCCTCAGCCTCCCGAGTAGTTGGGATTACAGCCGCACGCCACCATGCCTGGCTAATTTTTAAATTTTTTTAGTAGAGACTGGGTTTCACCATGTTGGCCAGGCTGGTCTCGAACTCCTGACCTTGTGATTTGGCCCGCCTCGGCCTCCCAAAGTGCTGGGATTACAGGCGTGAGCCACCGCGCCTAGCCGACTTCCAAACTTTTAAAGCTAAGAGTAGTCATAAGAGTGAACCAGAACTCCCAGGCTTCATTAAAATGCACATGAGGTTCCTCAACCATCAGTGAATGTTCTCTAGGATAGGACTGGGGGAGAGTGCCCTACTGCCCTTTAACTAGACAATTGAGGGAAGAACAGAGTTTTGGCAACTGCCAGAGAGAGGTGTAATCAACAATGCTCTCTATTCCTAGGGTCATGGTAATTCATAGACAAATTAAGCCAAGAGCATCAAAACCTGTCTCTTTTAAGCATGGGGCTTGCATAATTTGACTGGGCCACCATTTGAATCCAAAAGTAGAACTCTCTCACAACATATACTCCACCAAATTTCATTCTTGCGCTTATCCCAATCAGCGGCTAATTTGCTGTGTGACCTTGGGCAAAACACTTAACCTATCTGAGCCCGTTTCCCCAATTGACAAACAGAAAAGGAGGTGGTGGGAGTCCATTCCAATTTTAAAATCTAAGACTATATCATTCTGAACCTGTACTTGTTAATGAACATCTGCTTACAAAATATGTGCACAGCAAGTCGTGTATTATATTGTGTTGTGTGACTGGGCACCAAACAAGGCAAAAGGATGGAATGAAAGAAAGGGAAACATGTGATGGTTCTTCCCTTCCTCCTTCCTTCCCTTCCTGCTTCTCTGCTTTCATTTCTTTTACAAACATCACTTTTTATATGCCTTGTCCTCGATACTGGAGACATAGAGATGGATTAGACAAAGTTTCTGCCTGTAAAATCTGAACAGGCAGATTTTGTTGGGAAAGGCCAGCTGCAGCCGGAGGGGTGGGATCTTTTCTGGATACATGCTTTCCCCCAACTTAAAGCTGTGTCTACCTCAAGGCAGAATTTGTCCTGGGAAAGCTTTCTGGCTGTCAAGTGAGTTTTCCTTCCTTCCATTGCCACCTTCTTACCCTTTTCAAAAATGATCTGATCCATAAACAGTTAGGTCAAGTCCCAAATCAACAAGGAACCATAGTTGATGGGTAAGAGGTATGTGTGTGTGTGTGTGTGTGTGTGTGTGTGTGTGTGTGTGTGTGTGAGTGTCGGGGGTGGAATTCAGCTCAACAGGAGTCGGCAGTGTGATGGAGCGGATAAGCAGCTCATGGAAATGTAGGTAGGCTGCATTCACAGAGGAAAAGCACGAAGAAACAGGGACGGCCATGCTGTGCTGATTTGCTGGAGCGGGCCCAGAGGAGGGATACTGGATGGCGGGGTCAACTCAGTACAGTAGAGGCTGATCCTTCTCAAGGTCTCTGGAGCTAGTTAATGCTTTCCCTGGCTTCCTTGGATGGTGAAGGGTTTAGAAACTGTGTCCCTGAGGGAGTAGGGGGAGGACTGATGCTGTTAGCCTGGAGAGGAGAAGGGGAAGGAGAAGAGCTTAAAGAAGGAGTATGTGTTTAGGAGTCCAGCTGAAAAACGCTAAACGCCTTATAATGTCCAAGTCTCATAGCTTATGCCCACAGAATTCATGTGCTAGGAAATAAAACACCCAATCACACGGTGTATTCAACGGTCCTAGATGGAAGAACTATTCCCAGCCTTGCCTTTAACTCACTCTGTGACTTTGGGGAAGTCCCTTTCTTTCTCTGGGCCTCAATTTGTCTATCTGAAAAAGGAAGTTCCTTCATTTTTAATCTCCTGAGTCCCTTCCAGCCATTGATGGTCTAGTTCCTCTTGGCTTCCCTTGTTCCTCTCAGGGAATTTCTTGGAAAGAAGGAAATAGCGAGAATACTACTGCTGCCTTCAAACTGCCAAAGGGGTGGGAGAAGGAGTAAATCTACTCCATGGGGCTTTAGGAAGATGAATGACAACCAAGACCAGGAAGTTACCTGGAGCAGACAGCAGTTAAGCTTAAGAAAACCCTTCCTCCTGCCAAGCTCTCCAGTATTGAATGGGCTGCCTCTTAAGGTAGTGAGCTCCTTGTCAGTGAAGCAGGGCTAATATAATGAGCCTCAACCTCCTGCCTGAATGTCAAGCCTCTACTGCTCTAACTAAATGTATACACAGTTAAACTTAATGCCTCCCTGTCCCTGCAGCCCCAATTCTATACTCCCTCTCCTAATGCTCCTGATCTCAACATCACCAGCTGCTGTCAGAACCTCCCACCCAATCAATCAACCAGACCTCTGGGAACTGCCACTGTGTCTTCCTTCTTTTTCAGGTTCAACAACTTAACAATGTAACCAATTCCTCTAGCTGTCATCTTCCACATATCTGCTAGCTCCTCACCACCCCTACTGCCACTACGTTAGCTCAGGTCCTCACTGGTGGAGAGTCAGGCCAGGGGCATAGTGAACATTGGTGCCCCAGCCTGCCGGCTCACCCGCTTCAATTCAGTGGCTATCCATCAGATGGAGTGAACTCCCTAAAAGGAAACTGGGTTATGTTGCTTCCCTGATTGAAAGCATTTTTGTGGCTCCCCACTGCCTACAGTACGAGACCCCCCACCATCCGGCATGAGTCCACTGCTCCAGGGTAGCACCCCATAGCTCGCCACCTCCCTCTTTAAAAAGGTGCCAAGGTTAACAGGTTAATTAGACACCACTCATGAAACTGCTCACTGCTTGTCTCATGGCCATGGCTATGCACATATTGTTTTCTGCGTGGGAGGCTTTTCACACCTTTGCCTGGTTAACTCAGATTAGAAGTTTCCTCCTCCAGGAAGCCTTCTCTGACCACTCTCACTCCTAGTTTGGGCTCTCTAGCCTCCATGGCTCACTCTGAGTTATCACCATTTGTTTACGGGTCTGTCTCTTCCACCAGACTGTACGCTCCAAGGGCAGAGGTTGTATCTTAATATATCATAGCCTGTGTGAGGCTAGAAGTGGATGATTACCCTCTCTGGGGTACCAGGTAGGTTCCCATCTGTGGACTCTCTTACCTAGGAACTGTCACTGATTCTCGAGGGGCCTGGGGTGATTTGGGCACTCTGTGCATCCTCATCCTTCTCTTTAAACTTGACCTGACATTTCTCCAAACTGCACATTTAAGACAGCTGATAATTGAGATGGGCATAAACTTTTTATTTTTATCCACAGTTGGAGATGCCATGAAAAGAAAATCAAGACAATGAATCTCAAGGCTCCTGCAGGGAATAGCCTACTTTGTTGAAACTGATGGCCAGCATCAAAGGTCAAGGCAGGTTATCAGGTCATTTTCCAAATTCTAACCCCAATTCCATGGGCCCTGCAGGAGGCTAAATACCAGCACATGGAAGAGGTGAATTCTCATCCATCATGTTCATACCTTTCCCTCCACTTTGTAGCCATCAGTAATTTTGAAGAAACGACTTTCTCTTGGAAAAGACACTGAGATTCCTCAAATGAAAGGGACAGGTTGGCTAAAAGGTCGCTAGAACGCACAGAGCAGTATTGCATGGTGGGTAAGCACTGTGGCTCAGGCTCAAGCTGCCTCGGGATCAAATCTCACCTGCCCTGCATACACACTGGTCATATTACAGACCTTTTCTGGACCCCAGTTTCATGCCACAAACCTCATTCAAACAGCACAGTGGCCAGGAGGTTGAGTGCTGAATCAAATGGAACAAAGTTTGAAACCAGGGTTTACCACTTACTAGCTTTGTGGCTTTGAGTGCGTTTTTAACCTCTGAAAGCCTTGATTTCTTCATCTGTAAAATGGGGATAATAGCATAATCTACTTCTTAGCGTTGTTGTAGGAATTTAGTGAGACAGTGGATATGGAGTCCTTAGCATAGTGACCAGCCAATAGAAAGGATCAATTTAGGCTATTAATTCACTCTCATAGCTCCTTGGAATTACATCTAATTAATTTTTCCTTATGCTATAGGGTCTCCAAGGGCAGAAATCTTATTTGCTTTTCCACTTAGTGCTTGGTGGCTATAAAATGTTTGTTGAATGAAACTAAATTAAGCCTTTGTCCATGTACAGTCTTTAGGTCTGGACACTGGGAGGTTGTCAGGGAGGAAAAAAATAAATATTTATTTTTAAATTTATTTCCTTTATTTTAAAAATTCCACCATGTAGAACTAGAGACTGAATATTTATTGACACATGACAATGATCAGGGCTTTTACAAAGGTTTCCTTAGTTCATCTTCAGAGGAACAGTATAGAGTAGGACTTAATTTCTCCATTTTGCAGATGAGAAAACTGAGCCTCAGAAATCTACTCACATCTTTGTTTATGAAATTTTTCAATTTTTTTCAATGATGGGATATTTCAGGCCCTAGCATTGGGGTCAACTCTGTTAAATGTGACATCTTGATTTAAAAAGCAAACAACATACAAAACAAGAAATCTGCCCATGGTCACACTGCTGGGAAATGATAAAAGCTAAGATCCCAATACAAGCTTCTGATTGCTCTTTCTACTTTTGATGCCTCCTAGAGGCAGAAGAAGAAAAAATTAATTCTGAAGTACCTCGGCTACATGCACTGAGCAATTTATTAAATGCAAAAACCCCTCATGTATTTTTGTTATGCTTGAACAGCAACCATATCAATAGTTATATGAATGATGTTTTGGGGACCACAAAAAGTGTTGCTGTTTGATAACACACCAGAAGGACAATCCTAAGATATGGGTGTTATTATCCTCCTTTCACAGGTAAGAAAATGGAGACTTTGCAAGGCTACACAGCTTGCCCAGGTGGCAGAGCCCATAAACAGAGACTCCAAATGCAGAGTCCTTCCCAGCCTTTAGAGAAGTTGCATGCAAACGCCTCTACCTTCACCGAAGAGCGGCCATCCAAATCCAGCAAGTCACAAGGCAGCATGGTGGCCTCCTACTCATGTGACCCTTACCTTCTTCCTCAGGCCCTAAAAGGCCTCACTTGGGGGAAAAGGTGGAAAGCATCTAACTAAGTGTACAAATCAGAGAGATGCTTTTCATCATTTACGACTGACCACATGTGGGTTTTTTTATTTTTATTTTTTTTATATCGGCTCAGGAGATCTTGGGCAGGTATTCCATCCATCAATGTCCATAAGCCAAGTCATACTACAAACAGATAAAAGAAATTTTGTCTTCCTGAAGTCCTCTCCAAAGTGCCCAGCTCAATCCCTAGGCAACAGAAATGTAATAATAATACCAATGATGGCCTCAAAATATTGAAGGCTTGCTGGGCTGCTAGTTAGTCTGCAAAGCATCTTTAGGCCACTGTCTTTCCATTTCATCTTCCCAAGAGTCCTCGGACATAGGTTTAAGAGGAACGTAATACAGTATGGTAGGAGGGTGGCCTGGGTTTGAATCCTGGCTCTACTATTTCCTAGCTGTGGCCCTGCCCAAGTTACTTAGCTTTTCTTGTGCCCATTTTCCTGGCTTGAGATATAGAGACATTAGTCATAGGGTTGCCATGAGGATTCATGTAAAGTGCTAAGAACACGCATGACACACAGCAAGTACTCACCTAATGTTAGCTATTGTTATCTCTATCTTCCAGAAGAGAAAACTGAGGCTCGGGGAGAGAATGTGTTCATGCTCCATGGCAACTAAGTGCCAAGAAATCCAAGTCTGTCTGGCTTCGACTCCCGTGCTCTTAACGGCGACAGTATAATTTCCACCCCTCACTGACCTGTACGTTTCACCTGGCATGCAGTAGGTGTTCTGAAAATAGTACTATTATTAGTATTTAAGAATGTCCTCTTAAGTGCTGTGGTCCTCGTCAATGCCCTCCTACTCCTTCTCTTACCACAGCATCATGTGCTGTTTATAGAGCAGTCCCCTCACAAACCCCAGAGTCAAGGCACAAACGACGCTAACTTTATTTCAATACAAAAGGTGTACATTCTGTGGGTGCCACCTGGGCTTATTCCCCAAGTTAATTCTTTTCTCTCAGCTGTGGAATATTTTATTTTTCCAATTTTAGAATCTACTTATGTTAAAAAAAAAAAAAAGGGACAGAGAGAGAAATCCAATCAGCCCAGTTCAGGTTTGTGAAACAAATAATGCAGCCGGCATGGAACCTTAATCAAACAGTTATATTCATAACCACAGCGGTCACTGTTCTGCCTAATTTATACAGCCCAGGGCATCCTGAAGAAAATGTCTCTTGACAATGTAAGATGCAATGCAGAGGTGCGCTGACACCACTGAAGGGGTGTAGATCTCCAGGCCTGGCATCCTGATGAATCTGAAGCAAATTGGGATTCGGAGGCACATCCCCAGGAATTCCACCCATGCCTGAATGTCATTCTGTATTTTCTTTTTAAATAAGGAAGTGCGAGAAATAAACTTTTACCTGGCTGCTTCCTTTGTTTTTTGGAAGAAATAAAGTAGAAAGACCAAGCTGCCTTCATGTTCTAGAGAGGACAAGTGCTTCAGAGTCCGGTTGACATGGGTTTGAATCCCAGCTCTGCCACTCACTCAGCTGTGTGGTCTAGACAAGTTACTTAGCCTCTCTGAGTGTCATCTATAAAATGGAGATAATTGTACCTACTCAGAGATTGAAGCTTAAATGAGAGAAAGTGAGTTTCCTATATGAATTTTTGTATTCCTAATGGTCCCAGCACAAGACCTACTTATTGTAAATCTAATCTAAATGTGTATTCACTATGTCTACAGTCCTAATGTCTATGGTTACTGAGTGAATACTATGTGCCAGAGACTGTGTTAAGTTCTTTACATGCATGAACTTATTTTATTCTAAAAACAACCCCATAAAACATGTATTATTATCCAATTTCCAGTTTGAAATAACCAAGGCTTTGAGAAGTGGGTAGACTGGTCCAAAATAACACAATTAGTAAGAGGGGGAGCTATTAGAGGTGCCATGATCACAGAGGTAGAGCCAGGATCCAAATGCAGGCTTGTTGATTCTTCTTCTCTGTCCTGCCCCCTCCCTCCACATCACCCATCAAACTCCATGCTCAGCACCCTGGCTAGGGTGACTGATTCAGGCAAATATGTGACTTTGGTCAGGCCAATCAGAGGCAATCACAAGATTTTTCTGGAGCTATAGAAAAAGTGGCACTGTTTTTTTCCGTTTGGTTACAAGGCTGGTAGTAGATAAGCTTGCAGGGGTCCCTTTGTCATCATATGAGGAATGCCTGCCTGAGAATAAGGCCAAAACAAAGGGAAACAGGGTCAGGAGGGATTCATTAAGACGTCTGAATGCCTAGATCTAGCTGCGCTGATGGGAAAAGGAGCCCCTGGACTTTCAGTAACACCACCGTGACATTTTCCTTGCTTAAAAACGTGAGTTGGAGTTGGGTTTCCATCCTTACAGCTGGGAGTCATGCCTAACCCGCTGTGCTATCAGCCTAGAGTGCCTTTCCTAGACCCTCCTCAATCCGTGAGGTTAGAACTCAACTCAGAGGCTGAAACACCGCGTCACTCTTCAGGCAGACCTGACCACACCCTCCTTCATGTCCCAGGAACCCAAAACCACAAGGTAGCTGTGCTTGTCCAGCTAGCACACTAACTCGTATGCATGCATATGTCCCCCACTAATCTGTGAGCCCCTCGAGATGCCTCTTATTTATCACCATGTCACTTGCACTGAGTCCAGTGCTTGTCACATAGTAGGTGCGAATGTTAGTGAACAGATGAGCAGGAATCACTCTCTCAAACCTCATCAACATCTCAGCAGATGTTCACTATTTCCTCAGACCATCGATATCAACTCAGCCAAGCACTCCTTTCTCAAATATTTTTTTCCTGGAGCACCTCTCATATGCCAGGCATTGAATCAGGCACAGAGGGCACAATGACAAACAAGAGTAGTTTTTAAAACCAGAGATGTTTTAAAATATAATGCTCTACTACTATAAAGTTCTGACTATTTCTACTTCGTAAGAAAAATGTCCTGTAATGATCTGTGGATATTAAGTAATATTAACGTCCATTTCCAGGTGGACAGACCATGACCTGTGTGGAAATGGGAGCAGCTGCACCGCTGAGCCCGGAGGCAGGAATAGGCATCCTCTGGGTAACAGTAACACAGCCTGCAGCTTTGTTCACGGTCTCGTCCTCTCGCTGCATTACTCCTGGACGCTGTTACTAATCACACTTACTCACATTGATTTTTTTTTTCTCCCCGAGGATGAACTACCTCATCCTTCCTTAATCTAATGACTGAAATTAGGCAAAAGCAGCCATCTGATAGATGTTAGGCATCATCCCAGAGAGGAAAACATCAAACAAGATTATATATATGTGTGTATATATATATAAAAGCCTTTTAATGTGTCCATTCTCTTAACTGCCCATGCAAATCAGGCAGAATAATTCCAAATGGGGAAAAATGTATTTGAGTCTGTGGCTGTTTTCATGACCCTTCCTTGTGTCAGGTCAACCAAAGAGTGCATTTTTGTGGCGGCCAGTCTTTCCTCGTAAGTACATGCTGAGCCTCCTGTGTGCCGGGCTCTGTGCTAGGTACTTTAAATCTGGGCTTTCTGATCTGTGTTACAGCACTGTGAAGTTTAACGCTATCAACTTCATTTCACGAATGAGGAAACTGGGTCTCAGGGAAGTGAAGGGTTAGCATGAGTCTGTCCAATAAGTGGTGGATTCAAACCAAGGACTAGCTTGACTCTCCAAGCACAGGGTCTTTCTACCTCTCTCCATTGTCTACCATTGACACTGTATGTTACAGGGATCCAGAAAAGCTGGGAAGAGCCAGTCCTGTGAAGGCTGGCATTTATACGGTGTGTTGGGTCCCACCTATGGCGTGATATTACTTAGGTCTAGAAAGTAATGGGGGAGATGCCTGGGTCTGTCATGTGTCTGGATATCCCAAGCTGAGGTCTGGAGAGGGAGTGCCACGGCACAGCAACCATGTCCAAAGACAAATGCACTGTGCCCAAGGGAACTTGAGAAATACAACTCTGTTTTTCTCTCTCTCTAGAACTCAAATGTGGCATTTAGGAATATTTCTAGATGTCGAAAGCCTCCATGAAGATACAGTCTGACTGTCCCCTTTACATACACTTGAGGTACACAGACACTTCCTTCCTGACTGTTCGTATTTGCCGTGTATGAGCCTGACTGTACAGCATAGCGGGGCTGTAGCCAAAGCAACCAGGCTCCCTGGGGAATCCTGCTTTCCCAGTAGACTGACAGGGAAGGCCTAGAGATGGAAGGTGCAGGACCAAGGCAAGGAGGGAGGTGTCAGTCCTGGGCAGCCTGGGGTCTTATTGACAGCTCAAGGCAATGTTTTGGGCTCATCACTAGACTGAAATCACACACTGCCTATCTCACTTGTGATCTCAGACTGAGGATCATGAGAATTCCCTTGGGGCCCTCAAACCCACAGACTCTCTCCCTTCTCTGCCTTCAGAGTACAGAGGCAAGTCAACCAACTTTCACTGGTACCTACTATGTCCAAGATCATGTGATAGGCATGGAGAGAGGGAATAGCACGAATGTCATCTCTACCATCAAGGCACTGAGCCTCCTGAAGGAGACAGGCTTACAGACAACAGCCCTAACCAGATGCAGTGTGGGAACTGCTGGCACCCAGGCTGTATATTGAATGTGATGAGGCTGGAGTGACTGATGTTTTCTTGCAAAATTGGGAGACAGTGCCCAGGAGAAGGCAATAAATGCCTATCAGATGTCCATGTGCAGCAGGCGCTCTGCAGAACATTTCTATTCAAGGTCTCTGAGGTGATCTCTGGAGGCCTTGAAGGATGGACAGAATTAAATGATAGGGACAAGGTATAAAATATGCAGAGACAGCATGAGGAAAGGCAGGCAGGCAGAAAATAATAGGAGGGCAGCCTATACCTTTCAAAAGCCAATTAATTTAATTAAGCCTTGCCCTCATGATGTCTTTATGATGACAATTCTCTTGTTAACTCCTCATGTGTTTTTGCCTAGTGTCTCCAATTAGGACAACATGTCTAAATACTTCTTTAAATCTCTGTTTCTCCCTAGAGTCCACACAGTGCTCTGTTTGCAATAAAATCTGACTTAACTCTTATGATAAAATGAGGACTACATTCCTACATGCGAAAAAAACAGATTGGACTGACACAGACACAAATATCATTTCTGAATATCCTATCCAAAGGCAGATTTTAACTTCAAAAAGAAAACCCTTTGCATGGTGATCCAAAGACTAGCAGTGAATGAAGGCAACAGCAAGAGAATCCCGGTCAAACACGTCAAACATGTGATTATAGTTCAGCAGGCATCAGCCCCAAAGGCCTAAGACCTGTGACATATCAGGAAAGTGAGTTAAACAAAAATGTTCCTCAAGTACAAAATACAAGGAGAGGCATTCGGGAGGTTAGGTGCACCCGGAGGTAGAAGACTCTCAGGCCTGGGATGAGAATCCGCCAAGGAAGGAGGTGAGATGTATGATGCTAGCCTCCAGCCAGTGCTCAAGACATCCTCAGCATCTCCATCACTACCACTTACCACTATTTCCTCAGACCAGCGATATCAGCTCCACCAAGCACTCCTTTCTCAAATGTTTTTTTCCTGGAGTACCTCTCATATGCCAGGTATTGAATCAAGCACAGAGGGCACAATGACAAACAAGAGTGGTTGGTTCTTGCTATCAAGTGGGAGGCAGAGCAGTGAACACTTAAACATTGTATGCAGCAGGCAGTCTGTGGTGAGGGCCAGATTCACGGGTGTGTGAACTCTTTAGTCACCCAGAGCCCTGCACTCAGAGGGCCCGTGTTTGGTTTGATGGGCTGTCACTATCTTGAAATTCTGAAAAAATTTTGAACCAAGGGCCCTGTATTTTCATTCTGCCTGGGGCCCCATAAAAGACGTAGCCTGTCCTGGATACGATGAAAGACTTTTGCTCTCCAGCTTCCATTCTGCCTTTTCCCTTGAGTAACAACAGTGTGGTTTGGGGAACTGATCTACACTCAAGGTGCCTGAGTGACCTAAGGGTGACCTCATCCCCTGAGCCAATGAGTGTTTCAGGAATGAGCAGGTGACCCAGTTCAAGCCACTGAAACTCCATGGGAAGATTTCCAGAAGTTTCTGGAAAAAATTGTTATTTGTTTTTATTTTTATTTTTATTTTTTGAGACAGGGTTTCACTCTGTCCCCCAGGCTGGAGTGTAGTGGTGCAATTTTGGCTCACTGCAACTTCTGCTTCCTGTGTTCAAGCAATTCTCCTGTCTCAGCCTCCTAAGTAGCTGGGATGACAGGCATGCACCTGGCTTTTTTTTTTTTTTTTTTTTTTTTAAAGTAGAGATGGGGTTTCACCATGTTGGCCAGGCTGGTCTCAAACTCCTGACCTCAAGTGATCTGCCCACCTCAGCCTCCGAAAGTGCTAGGATTACAAGCATGAGCCACCATACCTCGCTATTCTTTTTTTTTTTTCTTTTCTTTTCCTTTTGAGACAAGAGTCTTACTCTGTTGCCCAGGCTGGAGTGCAATGGTGTGATCTCGGCTTACTGCAACCTCTGCCTCCCAGGATCAAGCGATTCTCCTGCCTCAGCCTCCCAAGTAGCTGGGATTACAGGTGCCTGCCACCACGCCTGGCTTATTTTTGTATTTTTAGTAGAGATGGGGTTTAACCATATTGGCCAGGCTTGTCTCAAACTCCTGACCTCAGGTGATCCACCTGCCTTGGCCTCCCAAAGTGCTGGGATTACAGGCGTGAGCCACCATACCCAGCCTGTTCTTTGTTTTTAATACTGAGCAATGGAAGCCAGTCTGTCTTGACCATTCAGTGAACAAGCACATGGTCCACAGTGCTGCTAGCAGCCACCCTACAACAAGGGGAAACTGGCCTGAGTATGGCAGAGCAAAACCAGGATGAGAATCTGGGTCCTTGATGATACTGCTGGTCTCTGGAGCAGCCAGCCCTGAGGCCCACCCTACCTCTGGGCTTCCTTTTATGTGTCACAATATATGTCCCAGTACTTGGTGTTAAGTTTTCTGCTAATTACAGCCAAAAGTATCTCCACTGACGCAGAATCAGATCAACCTCATTTTATAATAAATCTTGATTCTACCACTTACAGCAGTACATCTTTGGGGAAATCCCATTTTCTCTCCTCCACTAGAAAATGAAGGCAAGAAATTACACTGTATTAGACTGTAGTGAGTGTCAAAGGCTGTAATCTTAGTGAAGATGCCTGGACAGTGCCTGGCACATAGCAGGGGTTCACTCCGTGATAGGTATTATGATGATGATAATGTTCGGCCCTAACAGCTGTCTGCCACTGTGTTTCTGGTGATGAGTTGGTTAGGAGCTGAATTTCCCAACTGTAAGAAAAAAACAGCAGAAATCATTTTTTAAAAAGGTGTCTCTTGGCATAAATAGCAATGTATCACTATACTAATAGAATTTAAAGAATTTGACAAGCAAATTCAATCACTTTGTATGTTACAGAAGCAGTAAGTTGGTCAGTTGCCCTCTCGGAAATCTGGACATTCCCTGGTCACCCATAACATTGGGGCTTTCCTCTTTATGAATGCTAACTGCTAGGTTCACTTACACAGGCTGAGAGGGCAAAGCTGTGATTTTGCAAAATTAAAAGTAATTTCATACACGTCACCGCTGATACAAACCCTAGTTTCTTTCTGTTCTTATTTGAGTAACCTTCTAAATCTTAATTCTTATCCTGTATTCTAACTCTGATCTCTTGACATTTCCAGCTTTTTCCCCTTCTCTCCCAACAAAACAAAACAGAGCAAAGAGCGTCAACTGAGATTTGTGTGATTTCAGCTTCAGAGTTGGATGTCTGAGTGTAGAATAAATTCTAATTCACTGGTGATGGGAAATGCACAAATTCTATCCATCAGCATTTTAGCTATTTTTACTTAAAAAAAAAAAAGTGTGTATGTATGTGTGTGTGTGTGTTAGTAGTAGTAGTTTTCCTGTTGCCCATAACCTGGACCTCTTTGAGACTGGATAATTCCAAGCGAATCAGGAAATTCCAGTTGGGTATACTTGTGAGATGATTTTTGCCCTTCCTTATTTTCCATATTTTCAGGGAAGGAAAATGCAGGAGAGCTGGAGTCTGTTAGTGACTTGACAAACTCCCACCCAAGTGTGGGAGTTTCCTAAAGATGACACCAGTTGTGCTGGAAAGATTGTGAAAATGCAGATGCTTTCACACACTCCTCCATGTCAGTTTAAAAACTGTTTCCATATGGACCTCTCACATAGCCATGGGAGGAATGTTCCAGAAGGTCACCTCCCTGCCCTTCCATGGCTCCGTGCTACCCTCAAGTCCAAGTTTCTTAGCCTGGCATTCAAGGTCCATTAAGATCTAGTCCCTTTTACAGCCTTGTCAGTCACTGTATCCCTTATATTAAGGATCCTGTCCCAGCTACACTGAACCACTTAAAATTTCTCCAATAAGGCAAAGAAAAAAAAAAGCAATTAACAACTCCAAGAAAATAAATGAAGGCATGTACAAGAAAAGAGGAATAGTTACAGTGCACTATTTGGCTCAGGAGGAAAAGAAATAAAAAAAAAAAACAACCCCAAAGCCCATATATTACATAATTATATAACCAATGACTACCTATTTAACAAAAATGATTATAATATTATGATAGAGTTCTATCGGGGAGGGAAAACGAGAGAGAAGGTAGTGTGGGAATCTTCTTCTATTGCACAAAGTCAACAGATAATGTATAAAATTAATAAATGAAAAATAGCAGTACATGCATGTTATTTAGAAGCATGGAGGTAAATGGCAGAAGAAACAGGTAGAAGAGATTAGAGTTCCTGTCTCCTGGGGAGTGAGACTTGGGAGTGGGGAGGGATGGGGCAAAGAACTGACTTTTTTTTTTTTTTTTTTTGAGGCAGAGTCTTTCTCTGTCGCCCAGGCTGGAGTGCAGTGGCATGATCTCGGCTCACTGTCTCTGCCTCCCGGGTTCAAGCGATTCTCCTGCCTCAGCTTCCTAAGTAGCTGGGATTACAAGTGCATGCTACCACGCCTGGCTAATTTTTGTATTTTTAGTAGAAACGGGGTTTCACCATATTGGTCAGGCTGGTTTCAAACTCCTGACCTCATGATCCGCCCGCCTCGGCCTCCCAAAGTGATGGGATTACAGGCATGAACCACTATGCCTGGCCAGAAATGATATTTTTTATTATAAACCTTTTACTAAAATGTAACTTTTAAAATTTTGTACACATATCACTTTCATTTAGAAATAATTAAAAATAAAGGTGTTTTTTGTTTTTTTTTTTTTCTGCCACAGAGGCATAGCTTTAACATGAGATTTGACGTTAATATTATAGACACTTTGAAAAAGGACACAGTAAACAGAGCTGCAGGGTGGTATTTTACAGATCAAGATAACTTGTTTTCTAATGTGGTGAACACCAGTGATTAGGAGAACCATCTGGAATCCATCAGTGACATGGGCTTTTGAAGCTTTTAGAAATGTTTATTTACCTGGCTTTGCGTGATTTTCTAGGTTTGAGAGATAAAGATTAAAATCTTTATGATACTGTACATTTTTGTTGCTTGTTATAAAGCATTAATGCTGACCAAAATATGTTTTTTGTACAAACAATTAAAATGTTTTTCTTTGCTTGCTGTGCACTAATATTCAGTGAACTATTTGCTTGTAGTCCATGTATGAGCATGATGTTGGAATTCCTTCACATGGATTATTTTGCTGTATGTTTGGAGCTTGTTTCTGATGAATAATTTGCTTGCATGCATTGTGGCTACTACACAGGAACTGATTCAATGTTAAAATAGTTTGCTAGCTGCTGTGTGCCATTTTTTAACTGATATATTTTTGCTTTGTCTACATGGATTGCACAGCAATTTATTTCAGTTTATTTTCAAAGAAAAGGACCAATGATGTGTTATTTTTATATTAGAAAAAAATGCAGACAAAATTTGTAAGGAAAGTAGCTGGCTCTACTCCACCTCTTCTCTCATTTTTCTACTAAAGATAATTAAGCAGGTGTCAAGAAACATTAGAACATGGTTGCTAAGGGATGTAAATGAGAAAAAGTTTATACAGGTCAAAAATATAAAAGAAATATCTAGGGGATGGAATGGGACTTGAAGAGTGGCTAACAGAGGCTTTTCTTATAGAAGATGTTATTCAAAATAGAGGAGGTTTCGTACCTCCCTTTGCTCAGCGTCAGGCTGGCTCCATCTCAAAGCGCTTATTCAACCCAGACACACATGAATGACACTCATGCACCTGTGTTAAGGCAAAGGGCTCTTCACTTTGAAGCCCCAGAAGATGTGTGTAAAATTTTCTGCCAGTTTTGCTAACCATGTCCTTCAAGTCAGGAACCATGTCAAAACACAGAACCTGTCAGAGTTGGCACTCAACCAGGCTCCACTTTCTCCCTTCCATCCTAAAAGGAAGAAAAGCATCCTGTTCTCTCTCTCTCTCTCTCTCTTTTAATTACACTCAATCTAAAGCAATCCTTGGTGATAGCCACAGCTTCCATTTCAAACTTCCCGACAGCCCAAGGGTATGTTGTAGCCCACTAAGTCTGTCCTGCTGGGATCCCTTAAGCCTCTTCCAAGGAGACCACCAAACCCACATCTCCCTACTGCCTACTGGTTCCTGCCAACTAAAGACATAGTCCTGTGGTAGGGTCACTGTCTTCTGTGAAGCTGTCACCAACACCACCACCCATCCCTAGACTACCCCAGCAAGACCCCACCTTCCCCGTCTCCTTACTCTGCAGCTCTTTAAACAGAGCAGCCCCTGGGGGTCCCCGCTCTGACTACAGTCAGAATTTGTGTGCCCTGGAGCAGTTTCCTGGAAGGAGATTAGGAGGACCAGGGCTGTCCTACCCAGCTTGCTGGAAAGTTTTGAGAGGGCAATATCATACGTTAAGAAGCAAAAAATACACCGCCACCCCATGGTCTTAACACTACAGGTATATATAAAAGCCTGGAAGGAAAAACACCATTCTGCCACTAGTTCCTAAGGTAACAACTCTCAATATTTAAGTGTATAATAAAGCTAAATCAAAACAACAAGGAAATAGGTCAAAAATCTGCAAGGTGCTTGACGGAATAGATTCCACAGCCTTGGAATACACAAGAACTCACTATATAATTAAAAAGGGATAAAGTGGGGGGTTACAAGTCTGGGCTTTAGAATCAGATCCACATAGGTTCAAATTCCAACTCTTCCATTTGCTAGCTGTGTGACTTTGTACATATTATATCACTTTCAAAATCTCGTTTTTCTCACAATTAAACCTAGTTTATAATTATGTAATAAATTGTTGTAAGGATCAAATAACAAAATATAAGGGACTACCAAACAAGTACTGATTGGGTGGAGCAGGCTTTAAAGTGACATGGACCTGGATTGATCTAGGTGCCATCACTTACTAGTTGGAAAGTCTCATTTCACTTTTCTCATCTGTAAAAGGGAGTTAATGGCTACATTTATGAAAGGGGAGATCTGTGAAGGTGGCATGAGCCACTTCCTACAGTTTTGTGTCTGCATCTTGCAGAATGAAAAATGCACTGGCAGAATGAACGAGAGCAGAGTGAATTGTGAACCTCATGGCTGGGCCCGGAGTCTCTGGAAACCCACCCCATCTGTGCTCTGGCAGGTACCTCCCTGCACCTGCAGCTGGGCAGCTCACCATGCAGAGAAGGGAAGTCCATCTCACCCTCAGAATGCTCATTATCCACCCTTTGGCCCCATTTGCCTATAAATCTGGACCCATCAAAAGTTGCCTATAAATTCAGATCACCTTGCCTTCTGCTAGGATATTCCAGACACTCAAGGAGGGTGAACACGGCTGTCAGCTGAGGTTGAAATAGGACAAAGCAACAGCAATCAAACTGCTTCCATGTGCGGCAGGTAATTACAGAATCGGCTACATTACAGTGATTACGCATTGCCAAGGAGAAGTCAAAAGAAGTCTCCAGCAACTTCAGAGGTGGGAGGGGGAAAGTTTAATTAAACAGCTCTTTGCAACTGATTTAATCTCTCTCTCAGAAAAACTCACAGGTTCAGAAGAGAGACAAGAAGGAGAGAGGGCTAGGGAAGGGGAGCCAGGGAAATCCTCCTACAATGGGGCTGCCTAGGTCTTTAAATGGTTCTTGGGGACTATGTGATGAAATGGGAGCTGGTGGCCTTTATTATGGAAATGTAAGACTTAAGCTAAGGATCAGGGCCCCCGGGGGAGATGGTAAAGAGGGAACCTGGTTATAATGGTTTTTAATATCCTGCTGGGGCTGGGTCCACTTGCATAAATACAGCCAAGCCAAGCTTCAGGTGGCTGTAGATTTTCTCTTCAAGGATTTATTCTCTTGTGTCAAAAGTTCACCACCTCCAGACTCTGTCATTTTGGTGCAAAATGTGCCTTTTTTAGCCACCAAACATTGAAAACAAAGCCTTCTCTGCTGGGAGCCTATTTTACCAGCAAAAGTTTCTTTGAAGACTAATTAAATTAAGATTCTGGACAGAACAGAACCCGTTGCAATTGTGGAGTGGAGGACAGAGGACTGAACAATTTAAACTGGTTGGGGCAGCTCTGTGCCTCCGTCCTAAATGAATTTAGATTTTACCATGGGTGCTTTACAGAGAGGATGGGCTTCTGCAGACTACAGTTTGCTGCTGGGCTTGTGGTCCCCAAGGGAAAATGGTGCTCAGACTATAGTTAATGTCCTGGTTAAATGCTAAGCTTGTGACCTTGGGCAGCTTATAAAACTTTTGTGGGTCTCATTTTCCACATCAGTACAAGTGCCTACTTGCTCTGGGTACCTTACGTTATTTTGATATGATGGAGTAATATTGAGATTAAATGTGAATGACTTAGAAAGGAAGAGAAGCTAACTGATCAATGTTCCGAAAGCTCTGTTTATGCCATTATCCTACTCAGAAACCTTCTGTGGCTCCTCATTGTCCACTGAATATGGTCAAGTTTCCCCTTGATTAGAGAGTTAGCTGTAGTGTAGTAAAAAGGGAAAGGAACTTGGAGTTAGTCTTGCACACATAGGCAGGTCCCTCCACCTGAAACAGTTTTCCTCCCTTCTCCAAAGGGCTAAGTGTTACTCATCCATTAGCTGTGTATGATCTTGACAATGACTTATCCTATCTGAGCCTCGGTACGCTCACCTATAAATGAGGAAAATACAAAGCCTCAATGTCAGGATCCTGGGGAAGATGAAATTCACCCACCCATGTGAACTGGCCCGGGCCACAACGGGTTCTCAATGGAAGTTTGCTGAATGTGACAAAGGTCACACTGCAGATTACCAGGCAAAGGACAGGAAATCTTATCCAAAAAATTTTGATTGTAACCTCAAAGAACATTTCAGATATTTTAAAAAGTAAGCGGTGTGGATAAGAGCCCTTTCTTCTGACTGTGGCAATGATTAAAACCAGGCCCTGAGCGAAGAAAAATTCGACACACTCTAACCCTTCAGAGGCAGGAAGCTATCGTTAAAAGGTCATCTTTTGGGCCCAGACTTCATACGGTCCAGGGGAAGGGTTCCAAATGGTTATGCTTTTCATTTTGCTGTGTAGCCAAGAGGATTGAGAATCCACAGGGCCTCATCTGTTGTTCCTTAAGCAAACATCTAACGTAATTTGAAATTTCACTTCATCATGTTGATGGCCGCCAGCAACTCTTCCCCGGCCTGTTAACTCTCCCTTTTAGGTAGACTAGGGCACTTTTTGAGCAGCCAAAAAGGTGCCAGCTTGCTATGAATTCTCATGAGGAAAATTACAAAACAGGCTGTGGAGAAGCGCCCTGTCCACGATTTCCCCATGTGCCTTGCAAGGTTTCTCTCTATCTCTCTTTCTTTACCTCAAAGCCAGTATTTTTAAAAGACATGCTACGTCTGAGTCCTAACAGCAGGCCCATATTAAAAAGAAAGGATATCCACAGCCTTGAAAGGAGGCTCAGCAAGAAGGGAGTTGGCTGGGCCCTGCGGTTTGTCTGACTCTAAAATACACAGCCTAAAGCACTGGTGTTTTCAGTAGTTGAATGCAAAAGAGGTGCAGTAGAAAATAAGTGGTAGGTATAACATTTGCATCAAAGCATCTAAAAGTGAAGTCAGTAAATATTTACTTGCCACTGATCTCATAAGGAAGGAAACACCTTTATCAGCATCCACTGGCTTTTGGCAAATTGTCATCTTATTTAATCCTGACAAAATCAAGTGAAGTAGGTGTTATTGTTTCCGTGATAGAGTATCTGGTTAAGTGGCTGTCCTAGGCTCACTAAGCTGCTATGGGGTAGAGTCACAGTATGGAATGGTAAAGAGTACTAGTGGTTCTGAAATCAGACAGATCAGGATTTCCACCGGGGCTAGGTGTGAATTCAATTCTTTAGTGACCTTCAACCGGTTAATGAAACGCTGTGCTTTAGTTGCTTCATTTAAAAATGGCAATAAACCAGCTGCGGTGGTACATGCCTGTAGTCCCATCTACTTGGGAGACTGAGGCAGGAGGCTCACTTGAGCCTACGAATTTGAGGCTGCAGTGAGCCATGATTGCACCACTGCACTCCAGCCTGCGCCACAGAGCAAAGCTTCATCTCTAACAACAACAAAAAAAGGTAGTAATGGCTACTTCATAGGGTTATGGAAGGATTTCGCAGGCTTGGAAAGCACTTAATAGGCTGCCTGGCACATGGTAAACACTTGATAAATGTTAGCCATTGTTGTCATTACTGTGAAGTAACTAGATGGCATTGCTAGAGGACGTTCTCACTGTAGGCTTCAACTAAACTTCCTGTAGCTGTCTGTCAAAGTCCCAGATCTTTGCAAAACACAATAAACAAGTCAGAAAAACAACAATAACCCCCTCACCACCACCCCCAGGTTGTAGGAGCTCCAGCCCTATGAGATGATGGGCTAATTCCCCATGACAGGAGTTCTGCACATCAGTTCAGGGGACAGCAGATACAGGTCACTCAGTCTGATGATGCTGTGGCCTCCGATTTGCCCTCTGGTGGGAGATGGCTCCGTGAGCATGAGATGGGATTAGGGGGAGGCCAGAAGGGTTCTGGAAGTGTTCCGAGAAGATCTCTGACTACTCTCTGGATTATCTCACTTGATGGGGGGAGAGCTGGTATTGAAAAGGAAGCACTAACACTGATATGTGACCAAGCTAAGCTAAAAAATTCTCTGTTGCAGTTTCCTTATCTGCATAAACTGGGATGGGGAGACTTACTTTACTGCAGTGGTCCCCAACCTTTTTGGAACCAGGGGCCAGTCTCGTGGAAGACAATTTTTCCATGGACCAGTGGCAGGTGGGGATGGGGGTTTGGGATGAAACTGTTCCACCTCAGATCATCAGGCATTAGATTATCATAAGGAGCATGCAACACAGATCCCTCGCATGCGCAGTTCAAAATAGGGTTCGAGTTCCTATGAGAATCTAATGCCACTGCTGATCTGACAGGAGGCGGAGCTCAGGTGGTAATGCCTCCTGTCATCTCCTGCTGTGCGGCCTGGTTCCTAACAGGCCACGGTCCGGTACAGGTTCGCGGCCCAGGGTTGGGGACTCTTGCTTTACAGAACTGTTGGGCTGGAGTTCAATATCTTTGTCACAGAGCTGTTCCACAGGGGAGATTGATGTACCCTGGAGGCTGGGAGCAGGACCCGAACTCCGCTCCTGTTCTCCAGGCACCACATTCCACAGGCAGCACAACCTATAAATTTGAAGCTAGATTTGACTGTGGAATAGGCTTCCTGGCTGCATCTGAGGTAAAAGGCTGCCCAGTGCTTCTCCCTGGGACAAGTGAGAATCGGTTTTCTCATTGGTAAGGAGGGGATAATATCTCCTCTAAAGAGCTGAGGAGAGAAATAAAATAGAAATAATATAAAGGGCTTCACAGGGTAACTGGCACCCAGCTGGGGCTCAGGAAACGGCAGCAATAATTATTACAACACACGTGAAGGAGTGGGGAAATTAAAATGCTGCATAAACTCAACATATTATTATTAGTCTTCCTATATCTACTTCATAGATCCTCAATTAAGGCATAATTAAAGATTAGCTAAGGTTACAAGGTTGGCTGCCCACATTTTCATTCTTGGTTTGGTCTTCAGTGCTGCTTGTAACTTTTATTCAGGCCTCAGGCAAGACATAAAAATACACTCAAACACCCAGCCACGTTAAATGCCAATGAGATTCTGCAACATCTAAACCTGGAGAACACTGCTGCAGATTTGCTAAGTTTCAATCTCAGAAGCGTTCAGGAGGCCAAGGAGGTTCACTCTGGGGAGGCAGTGCAAGGTAGTTGCACTGGAAGGCAGCCAGCCACGTGTAAGCTGGGGGTCTCACTCGGCATCCCAGGACCTCTGTTTCTGTAGTGTGAGGGTAAGAATACCTGCCTCTGGAGAAGAAAGAACATATGTTGCTCCTGGCAGGTGCTCAATAAATGTGAGCACCTCTCTCCCCTTCTGTGCTTTATAAAGAGCTCAGGGCCTTATATTTGGCTATTTCTGTCCACCAACTGCAGATACAAATTAAAAATACCTTCCTGGGGAAAGGGGGGGACAAGAGGACAATTTCTCCTGGGGATTCTAGCACAAGGGTGCACTGGGAATTAGAGATACTGTTAGGAATTTTAAAATACCCCTCAAATGGGCAGTACTCAGGGCAGTATTTTTGCCAGGGAAAGGAGCATGGTCATCCAGTTGACAAAAATAAAGACCAATAAAGGGGGACTGAGGGAATGCTGCCTGGGGAGATCCTGCAGAAAGACAGAGTGGGGCTGTAGTCACAATATTGGGGCTTTGATGCAGGCTCTGTTTATTCACGCATTCATTTGTTCATCTTTCCCAATCCTAGAGAATCAGAGAGGCAATTAAACCTGACATGCTTATCTTAAAAGGAAGAAAAGGAACCATAAAACAAAGGCACAAACACAAACCCTCAGCAAGATCTCAGTTATTGTCCTGCATTGTTTTGCTATGTGATGAGCGAAGGATTCTCAGGGAAACATGAATCATGTGGGATCTTTCCCCAACTCTGCGTGTCTTGGGGACATCTCAGGTGTTCTCTAGGCCTTAGTTTCTTTA